>NC_000012.12:23959650-24584650 GCF_000001405.40 Homo sapiens
CCCTCCATGATCTATAAAGAGCTCTTTGAAATCAATGAGAAAAAGATCAACAAGTCAATAGTAAAATAAGCAAGCAATACAAATTGTTCAAAGAAAAGGAAATAGAAAGTGTCCTTAAATAAGATGAAAGATGCTCAACATCTTCCATTATAATGAAAAATGCAATTTTCAACTACTATATGACAATTTTTTAAATAAACTATCAGCTTGGTAAAATATAAAAACTTATAGGAACATTGTATTAGACTATATCATTCATTTCATAATTTGTTTTCTCCCTTGCAATACTTCCCTGCAGATAGAGTTTACTTCCTACACCTATTGACTTTATCTCAGACATAGCACTTGCTTTAGTCAATGCAGTATGTTAATGTTTGATTTGGCTCAGCCACCTTCTCTTATTCTTGTTTTCCACTGTGAAACCAGCATATACCAAGCAGGGGTTAGTCCACCACCCTGGGTCCTAGAAGAAAAGAATTGGAGAGAAACGGACCCCAGCCATGTCCAATCAAGCCAACATGCATCTGACCCACAGCCAAACCAGAGCCCACATATGTTTACACAAGAAGAGAAAAAGTAAGCCACAGAGAGAACGGGGTTGTTAACACAGCAAAAGCTTACACACACACTGTGTTTGTGACCTATGTAAAGTGGCACTCTTATATATTACTAGTATAAATGTATACTGAAACAAGCTTTATGGATGGCAATTTGGAAATGCCTACCAAAATTACAAATGCAATTCTACTTCTGGTAATTTATGTTAGAAATATGCTTTCACACATGATATATGCTTACACATGTGAATCCATGTTTTATATATATATGTTTTATATATATTTATATACATATATATTTATATACATATATATATATATACATATATATATATATATGAAGTCAGTTACCATAATAGCAAAGGATTACTAAGAACCTGAAGTCCACTAATTAGGGATACAACAACACGATGGAATACTACACAGCTGTTAACAAAAACAAGGAACTTATCTATACACTGATATAAAAAGATATTCAATATATAAATTGATATATATTAAGCGAAAAAAACAAGGTAGGTAACTGAACACCAATTCATATAGTACAAAATGTGTAAAAATTAGACATCAAATTTCCTTTTGCTTATGTGTGGGTAAGAAAACTTCAGAAAGGCACACAGAAAACTAAATTAAAATGGTTATAATGGTGGGAGTAGGAGGAAGTGGGAACTGGACAGATAGGGGACAGGTGTGAGATTAAAACTTTTCACTGCATATATTTTGAACTTTTTATATATTTTGTATTTTTTCTTTACTTTGAATGTGAAGCTAATCTACTATGTTTTTTAAAAGTTAAATATACATCTAATTAAACTACAAACTATCCAGTGGTTGCCTATCAACTATACATAATGTTCTTCAAATTGAGATCTGCAGACCCCAGATAGCTGTTTTCAGATGCCTGAAAGTTACATTTTTATTATTAAAAAATTATTTCACCTGTTAGAATGACCAAAATTCTCATTTCTAATGATAATCCTGAATTTATTTTCTTAAATTAGAATTTTAGTTTCTGAAATAAATGTTTAATTGAGATTCAAACACCCTATTGAATATACTCTATAATTTTTTTAAAGAAGTTTGTATAACTCAAGTTTGGGAGGTGAAAACTGACATTATAAATCAAAACTGCTTAAAACATATCATATATGATTGTTCATGCTCTGGCCTGGCCTCCTTACCCAGCCTCATCTCTCCCTACATATCATGAATTTCATGTTCTAGGTACACCAAACTGGTATAGTTGCTGGCACACAGCCTGTTGTTTCTTTCCAACAAGCTTTTGTCTGAACTGTGCATTACTCTTGGAGTATCTTCCCCCCTTCCCTTCTCCCAATTTATAAGGCTAACGTCTACTCATCCTTAAAGATTTGTTGAGGTATCACCCCCTATTGGAATCTTATCCTAATCCATCACCTGTCACTCTTCTTCTGTAACACCCAGTAGAACATAAATTCCCACCACTCACCTATAAGCTATATAAAAATAAATGCTTCTTTTTCATTATTGTATCCTCAAGACTATTTCACAGCATTGTATGTAGTACCACTGCACTCTTTACCAGAAGAAAAAATCAGAAGACTTCAGGACCCTATTTGTGTATCCTGGTATTCCTAGGCCATTCCATAATCTGTTTCTCAAGATTAGAATATGCTCTTCCACTTTCAACATTACATGTAAGTTTAAATATTACTTCCTCAAAGAAGAGAGATTAAAACAGAAGAAACAACATGTAGTGAAGTACCAATGTCCATTGACAACAGTGATGTTATTAACAGAAGTTTGGAAATTGGAAACTTTTGGTGGAAAAAGTGATAAGTTACATTGAATTTCACATAATGGTAGAGCATCTGGTAGAGGTTTCCAATGCAGAGATGGAAATATTACACTGAAGTGTGTAAAAAAAAGTGTGATATTTTATTTCATGAGTATAAAAGACTGTGTGAGAAGGTGAGTAAAGCACTAAATTAGAAAGGATAAGAAAGAACAAACACCACAAAGAGTTAAACAAACAACAAAAAAGACCTACTTGAAAAGCCATTAATTTGGACAATTAGATAGTCAGTGGTGACAGACTCTTAAAAGACCAGGAGAACAGGGTTCATCTCAGGCAAAATGGAACCATAAATTCTATAGCCCTCCCTCACCCCATGTAAACCACACACGCAAACACACAGACGCAGGTACGCACGCAAGCAAATGTTTCATTCCTTTCAATAAGAAAACATAGGGTCTCCACGTTAAAAATTATACATTAAAAAGGAACAAATGAAGGCATACTCCAGGAAAAATACACTGATGAAAGAAACAATGCTGAAATTTAAAAATGTCTAAAATATTTGAGAAAAAATAATGGACTAGCCTCTGCTTTCATAACATAACGGAACTCTTTATTAATTTTATAATGGCAATAATCCTGTCAAATACAACTGCCATTCCATTTTTCCATGTGTCCAGATGCTATTTTTGCAATTAGGCAGGCACTGCTATTTTGATTGCATTTAAAGTGATCAAATATGCAATTGCCCACTGTTGTCCTTTTCTTCTAGTATGAACGATTTGAGTCTTATTTTTGATCTAAAAATATTCCATTTACATCTCTTTGTTGATAGATTTTCCTGTTGCTTTATTTCAAGGTACTGTAGAAATCATTAGTGACATTATGCCAAGGGCTGAACTTCATAAGCAACCCGAACATTTTGATTCACTGAAAAAAACCCCTCAATTCACTAAAAGAAAATGTAATAATGATCCTGTCCAATTAAAACTGTTAAATTAAATGAATAGAATCTAATGATTTCCCCTTATCATTCTGATATTCTAGAGGCATGGCAGGGGAAAAATAAATACCACCACATATGTTAAAGATGACCAGCCATTTCTGGTTTAAAGAAAGCAAACAAATTATTTTATAAGGAAACTGCACGATTTCATAAAAGAATACTTTAATGGATGTATCTAAGTACCAAAAACCCAAATAACCTCTAAATTAAAACATATTTAATTCTTAACCCAGTTGGCAAATAGGAATCTATCCAACTAACATGCTGACAAAACACAGGAGAATATAGGAAATGCTGCCTGAGCATTAGGCTAGTCATGAAAACTCAAAGGAGACATCACTTATGTTCTATTACTTCAAAAAGAGTAAATTTATCTCATTTCTATTTCTCTATAATTCCAGTCAAATTCCAGTCAAATACATATAATCATGCTTTTCCCTCACATATCTGCAGTTTTTTTAAATTATAAAAGCAGATGCAGGATTCAGGGGAATGTCCTTGATCCTTGAATCTGGCATTTCCATATAGGAGCAAAATTCAGTATCAGGGAGGACTAGGCAGGTTAATTTAACAACCTGACTTTAGAGAGCATTCAGGGATATTATCAACAGAATTACAACAACCGACTAAATCCTGAGTCTAGCATACATGCATGCAGGCATGCATGAATGAAGTACAAAAAAATTGGAAGACTACACATTCTATACAATGGATAGTTTTTGGATTAGGGGTCCTGAGTCTAGTATACATGCAGGCAGGCATGCATGAATGAAGTAAAAAAAAAAAAAAAAAACTGGAAGGCTATATATTCCATACAATGGATAGCTTTTGGATTAGAGGTATATACTATCTTAAACAGGAATTCTGCAAATAAACCAGGCTGCTAATAAACCAGTTATTAAACTAGTTATAACTAGTTAATAAAACATTAAAACAGTAGTCTTCAAACATTTTGGCCTTGAAACACTTTATCAGAAACCAAACTAAACCAACCAACCAACCAAACAAAAAAAAAACTTAGGAAGAATACAAATATTACACTAAAAAATAGGGTTGAATTTGTGTTTGTGTGGAAAAGGTGGGAATAGTGTTCCACCAAACCTCTCTCTCTTCATAGTATAGTTTGATAGCGTCACACCAAAATAATCCTAAATGGCTCCAGGAACCAATTAAGATATATTATGGGAGATAAATATTGGGAAATTAAAAAAAATTAAAATAGTCATAAATATTTATAATATGTTCCATAAAATGCCTCGTTGTAATTATCACAAGTTTGTCTTTTCCCTGTATCTATTATTTTTTCACTATCCCTATATACTATATTACTGTCACCATGTTTCCCACGATTCACACGTATTCCTTAGAAAAAGCTGCTTAATATCCCCTTCATTTACTTTGCAACCATTCCTGGGACAAAAAAATACCAGTCATGAAATATTTTATGCTTGTTTGAAAGATACATAGTTGTCCTGTTAGCATAGTGGCATCAATATAGGATACCCACAAGTATACAGCATACCCACATCTCCTTCAAGGCCAACTTTGTAAGGGAGTTAATATAATATCGTCCTAGAGAAGACTGTCAACCGTCTACAAGTGTAAAGTCCAGCACAACAATGGATGCTTCTTTGTTTGCCTCGTGCTTTATTACTTCTATTTATATAAGTAATATATGAGGTATTAATAATTCAGGACAATCATTTACCTCAGCATTTTCCAAGCATCTAAAATCGAGCAGTAATGACTTTATTAGATTATTTTAAATATAAATGTGTGTTTGTTCATATAAATACATATATATGGGCATCTGATTATACAATTAAAAGTACATTTACATATTTTCATTAATTTATGGCCCACCTTGAGAAATGAGCCTTCGACAGATGACCCATAATATCAAAAAGTTGATGGGCTAGGCTTGCTTTAGCGAAGAAATCAACTTGAAGAACCAGCCAGTAGGGGAGCAGACCTGGGCAATGGTGAGCACCAGGGCTAGCGCACAGGGGCGCGTGGTCAGCTCCCAGCAGCCCCCAGGGGGCGCGTGGTCAGCTCCCAGCAGCCCCCAGGCGAGCACAGCACAAAGGGAATGTGCTGGGTGTGCCTGTCAGCCTTGACATTCTCTATGCACCCTAGCAGGACACCATCTACCGTGGAACAGATGGATTATCTCGATGGTGTCCCTGCCTGCCAACTGACCTTCTGGTGGAACCTGTAAAACCTGTCCACATTCATTGTCCGGAACAGGTGGTCAAGGGCATATGTAGTGGCCTGACCGCTAAGAATGACCATGTGTCTGGGCACTCCTGGGTGGCCTGCACTACGTTTGAGGCGAAGGCTTACCTTCCTATCAGCTTGTCCTTTGGTTTTACTGACCACTTCAGGTTCAAAACTGTCTGATCCTGCCTCCTCCACACCAGCCACCACAGTTAGATGGGGGGGACCTCAGGCACGAAGACCAGAGGTAAAGTTCTCTAGCACTGGACAACTTCCTGCACAAATTGTGGACAGACCATCTGTGCTAGTGCTTCCCATCCTCTTGTGATACTCAGATTGTGATAACCACAACCACTCCACAAACGTTCAGACCTAAGCAACATTTCATTGTTTTCTGTTTCGTTTTGTTTTTGTTGTTGGTTTGTTTTTGAGATGGAGTCTTGCTCTGTCACCTAGGCTGGAGTGCAGTGGCACAATCTTGGCTCACTGCAACCTCTGCCCCCCAGGTTCAAGCAATTTTCCTGTCCCAGCCTCCCTAGTAGCTGGGACTACAGGCGTGCACCACCATGCCTGGCTAATTTTTGTATTTTTAGTTGAGATGGCGTTTCACTATGTTGGCCAGGCTGGTCTTGAACTCCTGACTTCAAGTGATCTCTCCACCTCAGCCTCCCAAAGTGCAGGGATTGCAGCTGTGAGCCACCATGCCCAGCCATTTCTTTGCATTTTTATAATTGGCTATGTAGTACCTTGAGACTGATTGTCCAGAGCACAATGATCTTCAACCATAAAAGTTTCTGTGCTGTCCATTGCTTAATGCAGGTTATTTCATTATTCATCCAAGATTTCAAAGAAGCAGCAAAAATGTCCTTTCATAGGAACATATTCAATCATTGAAATTGAGGCCTAGGATTGTAGGGCAAGATGATTGTGAATCTAACATCTTTTTTTCCAGAATCCCCGCCTCCCCAGATTTCTTCAGAGGGACACTCAATATCCAAAAAAAAAAAAAAAAAAAAAAAAAAAAAAAAAAAAAAGCTGTTTGGGTAAAGGGCCTGTACTGACTTTTTCTCCTACCAGAATGAGGGAAGAAACAAGTTTGCTTGTATTTAGGCAGAAACTGAAAGGCAGGAAATTTTGTTCAGTAACTGTCATCATAAACATCTAAGTAACACATTTAATTCTGGGGTGAAAATGAACACATTAAAATTAAGTTGATTTAAATGAAATGATTTGGCCAGAAGTGAAATTAAAGAAATGCAATGAAGAAAAATATATTGAACTGCCCAGTACAGGTAAATTTTATTAATTTAATTAGCAAATAGGCCAATTTCTGAACATCAACACTTTATATACATACCAGCCAGGTATAGATATATATTGATTTAGATTAAAAAAATCTGAGAAGTGATATAATGAATAAACACAAACATTTATTATGTGCGTGTCTAAGAACCTAGGTTCAAATTCTAGTTCTGACCTATAACCTCTCTTATGATCTTCAGTTGCCTCCTTTGTAAACTGGGGATAACAATACTTATCTTGCAAAGATGGTATGAACATTTAATATTACAACTGATACAAAAAATGCTTTGTAAACTGAAACGTAATATGTATTCACAGTTATTAGAGCCAATAGTGTTGTTTATAAACTTTAAAAAGTAACACCAGCATATAAAACAAATCACACAAATTCCTACATAAAATGACCTCTTTCAATAAGACTACTCTTCATACCAGTGATTATATTTTCCTCTTGAGTGAATGATGCTGAAAAGAGCAATGAGATGCTTTCTAGCAGCTGTCTGTTTAACCCATAGTCAATTATTTTCAGATTGTTTATGTTGCATACAATGCATAGCATAAGAAATGAAACAAAAACATTAAGCATCTGAAATGAGCTTTTAAAAGTTAAGATTATTTAAGCATTTCATTTATTACTCAATATATAAGATGTATAGCATAAGCATACACACACAGTAAGGAAATGAATTTGAAAAGTCGACACTAGGTGGGTCCATAGTAATGAACTGAACATTTTAAATTATAATGTGAAAAATATCTCTGTTTAAAATAGATGCATTACAGCATGAAAAGTCAATTGAAACTGAGCAAAATGAAAAGCTCAACTGGTATTTTAAAAAAGTATATTAAATATACACAAATAGAAAATATAAAAAGTAACTAAATATGCAAAATATTTTAAGTTATTTCTTAATCTGGTGACAGCATATGCAAGTTTCTTTTCATAAAATTATACAGACAATAATGCAATATACAGTAGAAATAAGATAGATATAAAATCTATAAATTATATTGAATAATAGTTCCCCAGAGAGGTGACTTTTCTGACTAAAAACAATAATTTTAAAATATCCTTGTGATTTCAGAATAATTTTAAGCCAATGGTTACAACAAAAACACTACATTTTATCTCTGCAATAAAACATTGTGAGATGATAGTTAGTGTAAATAATAACATAGCTTTGGTTGCAAGAGAATGAAGGATTGGAAAGACTTCTTAACTAAGTATTAGTAAAAAATGATTAAAATTATTATTCAGGATAAACAGTCCTTAGTTTTTCCTGTCTGTATCCTCTGATTGTTCTGGCTTTGGTGTTCCTAAATAGAAAATTTTTGAAGAATATTAAGTTTAATTTTGTTGCTAAGAAGATCCCATAATATCAAGGGTATTACAATATCCAGACCAAGGATAATCATAGCTCACATTTATTAAATGCTTACTAAGTAGCAAAGCTCTATTACAAAGCACTTTGAATGCAGTAGCTCTTCTACCAACCCTTTGAGGTAGGCACTCCTGTTTGCATCATTCTCATTATAAAGAATAGGGCACACAATCAGAGATAGTAATTTGCCAAAAGTCAAATAAATAGTTGATGCCAGAATGCGGACTCTACTAGTGTTCCTAGTAGTTTCTTTGCCCCTTTTCAGCTAAATAACTTCAAAGGGATGTCTGCATTTGTTGTTATCACACAACCACCTTGCATTCACTTCTCAGTGAAATAAAGTATGGCTTTTATCCACATACAGTGTGATCAAAACTACTCTATTTGATTAACAGTGACCTCTATATTACTAAATCCAGTGGAAACTCTTCAAGTCTTATACTACTTGACCTTGGCTAAGCCCTCTGCTATGGTTTGAATATGTCCCCCAAAGTTCACATGTTGGAAACTTGATCTCCAATGTGATGGTCTGGAAGTGGGGCCTAATGGGAGGTGTTTAAGCCCTCATGAATGGATTAATGCTGTCATCGTGGGAGTGGGTTTGTTATCACGGGAGTGGGTTTCTTATCAAAGGACAAATCCGCCCCTACTCCCCACCCCATTCTTCCATCTACCCTGAGATGACACAGGAAGAAGGCCCTCGCCAGATGCTGGCCCCTCAATCTTGGCCTTCTCAGCCTTCAGAACCATAAGCCAATAAATTTCTTTTCATTATACATTATCCAGTCTTGGATATTCTGTTACAGCAGCACAAAACAGACCAAGATACTCTCCTTTATTCAGCATTCCCTTCTCTTTACTTCCATTGCAGCAGGACCCCTGCTTTTTATCCTACCTCTCTGTCTGCCCCTTCATTGATTTCTTTGAGTATTGTTTCTTCTACGCTCAACCTTTGAATCTTCGAGATGCTTGGTCTGAGATTTCTCACTTTTCCCTCTCCCACTAGGCAATTTTATCTGTTAGTTTTGTCTATTTGCCAAGACTATTTCTATTTCAGACACCTCTTCTAAATTTTATATGTCTTCGTGGATGTCTTACAGGCATATCAAACTCAACACGTCCCCAAATTAAACTCATCACCTCTCTACCTTTGACCCCAAATATTCTATCATGATAAATGGAGTCAACATCCACCTAATTGTTTGGGCCAAAAACCTACAAGTCATTTATTCTTGATACTTTCCCCTCCCTCACCATCCCAAATCTATTGATTCTCCAAGTCTTTCTAGTTCTATTTCCTAAGCATATCTCGAATCATGTAATTGTCTCTACTGTCATTGTCACTGTAAAAGTCCAAAGCATCACCATCTGCTGCTAAAATATAATTTTCTCTTAATTAGTCTGACTCTATCCACTCTTGCCCTCTTCAATCCATTTTTTTTCCCACACTGTACCGAGACCAATGTTCGTCAGACAAAAATCTGATCACGCCATTTGCCATGCTTAAAATCCTTCAGAGTCTTCAATTTCTCACATAGAATAAAATCTAAAACCTTTAGTATGGCCTACACAACACCTTCCTTATTGCTACCACGTGGCAGTTACAGCAGTTTTATCTCTGTTATCTAGATATAGGAAGTTATTGCTAAACTAAGGCTTTTGTCCTCAGCTATTTTCTCTGTTTGGAATTGTCTTTATCCAAATTTTTATTTGGCTAATGTCTAGCTACACTTCAAATTTCAGTTCTACTTCTTCTGAGTCACTCTTCTTTATGTCCAGACTAAGCTAGCTCAACCTAGTTTTTACTGTTACAGCATTAGAGTTGTTAATTATTCCATTTATTTTCAGGGTGAAAAGTGATAGCTTTACATCGGTAAAAAAGTCATAACATCTGGAACAATATTGAGCCAGATCAGACTATAGCATCAGGTACCAGTTCAAAGATGGGTGGGTATGATTCAGGATTGCATTCTTTTGGTTTACTACCAAACCAGCGAACAAACAGTACAAATGTTTTACATGAGCTCAAGGACGCAAGTGTGCCGGCAAAACTCCACAGTTACTTTCCAACAAGAAGGACCTCAAAGTTCTGTGGCCAACTGTCCCCTGCCCCAGCTAAATGGGAACTCTGCCAAAATGAAGAAGCATGTCAGCGTGCACAAGTACACCCTACTGACATATAACACATTCTTGCTGTGCAACAGTTTATCACAATAATATTCTATTTTACTCTGTTACATTATTCAGTATGGCCTATCCCAGTCTATCATAAAAAAAGGAAAAATAATGACTCCTTCCCTCTTCACAAAGGAGCACCTCAAAAACTTTCAGCTGACTTCTTTTTTTTTTGGTTTTTTAACAGTTTTGTTGAGATATAATTCGCATATAGAATTTAATGTGTATAACATATATATATATCTTACAAACTTTGCTATTTAAGTACAATTCAGTGGCATTAGTTACATTCACAATGTTGTGCAACAACTACCACTATCTGTTCTCGAAACTTTTTCATCGTCCCTAACAGAAACTCTAACCATTAAGGAATAACACCCCATTCTCTCTTCCCTTCAGTCTCTGGTAACCTCATATCTACTTTCTGTCTTTATGAATTTGCCTATTATATATACATATTTCATGTAAGTGTAGTCATAGAGTATTTTTCTCTTGGTGTCTGGCTTATTTTACTGAGCATAAAGTTTTCAAAGATTATGTAGTAACATGTATAATTGTTTTTTATGGCTGAATGATATTCTGTTTTATGAATATACCACATTTTGTTCATCCATTCATGTGTTGATAAACACTTGGGTTGTTTCCAACATTTGACCATTGTGAACCGTGCTGCAATGAACATTGGTGTCCACTGGTGTCCCTGTTTGCAATTCTTTTGGGTATATAACTAAGAGTGGAATTGCTAGGTCACATGGGACTTTATATATATATATAATTTTTTTTTTTTTTTAAGAAATGGGCTTGATTCTAACTCCTGGGCTCAAACAATCCTTCCACCTCAGCCCTCTGAGTAGCTGAGATTACAGGTGCATGCCAGCACTTGGCTCACAATGGTAATAGTATATTTAGCTTATTGAAGAACCATCACACTGTTTTCCATAGCATTCCTACCTGAAATGTATGAGGGCTCCAATTTCACTATATGCTTGTGAACATTTGATACTTTGTTATTATTTAGTAGTAGTACAGCCATCTGAGTAGGTGTGTCAGCTGACTTTTTTTTTTTTTTTTTTTGAGAGGGAGTCTTGCTCTGTCGCCCAGGCTGGAATGCAGTGGCGTGATCTCAGCTCACTGCAAGCTCCGCCTCCTGGGTTCATGCCATTCTCCTGCCTCAGCCTCCCAAGTAGCTGGGACTACAGGTGCCCGCCACCATGCCTGGCTAATTTTTTGTATTTTTAGTAGAGACGGGATTTTACCGTGTTAGCCAGGAAGGTCTAGATCTCCTGACCTGGTGATCCACCTGCCTCAGCCTCCCAAAGTGCTGGGATTACAAGTGTGAGCCACCGCGCCTGGCCATCAGCTGACTCATTTTTATTCAACTCCCATAAATTTATCCAGGGGGATTTTAACCACAATTACCACTACCCCATTGCCTACAGTGGAGAGGTTTACTTCCACTTCAGAATATATATATATATATATTAAATTAAATATGTAAATTATATCATTGATTCACAGAAGGCAATAGCTTCATACTTTTTTCACATCAGCCAAGTATAGAAAATGAAATATGTATATATCATAGTTATTTAAAAAATAATTATTTTGAAGAGAATAATTCTCTATTCTTTTAATAATTCTCTTATTCTGAAATGTGAACTAGAGTCCCTGTTCATTCTTTGACCCTTCCCAAGTCTGTTAATTATTTTGCCAAATAACAGATTTGGGGAGGGGAAAAGCAACAGAGTTTGAAAGCTGCTGAGTGCTAAACATTGTGCATGTACTTTATATCACTAAATTACATATTCCTCCAAATAGGTAATAATAGGTACTTATTTTTTTCCATTTTATTGACGAAAACACTGAGGCTCTAAAAGAAAAATTTATAAAAAGAGTAAAATTAGAATAAATGAATGGTTCTCAAATTTTTACTGTAGTATCCATTTGGGCATTCAATAAATATGTGTTAGGTATTCAATGTAGTCTTATATAGCATCACAGAACACAAAAGAGATTAAAATTCTATTGCTTTGGCCTAAGGATGGGGGAGACCTGTAGACTGCAATAGAACCTTGCCCTGCAAGGACACCCATAGGACTGTAACATGAAATAAATAAAACTAGTGATATCAGCGTTACTTCAAGGTATGTCAGTTGAGTATTTTTACTTAGGAGTCAGAAGCTGAGCATAAACATTTCAGGGTATCAGATTATGAAACTAAAATGCTAAGCCACTAAAATATCCTGGTCAGATTCCTAAAAATATTTTTCTTCCTATGGTTTTTTTGTTTGTTTGTTTTGTTTTGTTTTTAGATGGAGTCTCACTCTGTCACCCAGGCTGGAGTGCAGTGGTGCAATCTCTGCTCACTGCAACCTCCACCTCCTGGGTTCAAGTGATTCTCCTGCCCCAGTCTCCTGAGTAGCTGGGATTACAGGCGCCCACCACTACGCCTGGCTAATTTTTTGTATTTTCAGTAGAGACAGGGTTTTTTTATGTTGGCCAGGCTAGTCTCGAACTCCTAACCTCAGGTGATCCACCCACCTCAGCCTCCCAAAGTGCTAGGATTACAGGTATGAGCCACTGCGCCAGGCCCTTTTTATGTTTTTTATTTAAATAATTTTTTATTTTTTAATTGACAATGTACATATTTATGGGGCACAGTGTGATGTTTTGCTCTATGTGTATATTGTGGACAGATTAAATAAAGCTAATTAACATGTCCATCAACCCATCAATGTATCATTTTTTGGTGAGAACGTTAAAAATCTATTCTATTAGCTATTTTATAATATACAACACATTATTACTGTGACCACCATGCAGTGCAATAGATCACTAAAACTATTCCTCTAGTCTAACAAATTTTGGAATCTTTGATCCACATCTCCCCTTTTCCCATCCCTTACCACTCCCTCCCCCCAAGCCTCAAGTAGCGACCTTCCTACTCTGTTTATATGAGATTGACTTTTTTAGATTTCACATATAAGTGAGATAATAAAGTATTTTTCTTTCCATGCCTAGCTTGTTTCGCTTATCATAATGTCCTCCAGGTCCATTCATTTCATCACAAATGACAGAATTTCTAACTTTTTTCTTTTTTTTTTTTTTTTTTTGAGACAAATTCTCACTCTATTGCCCAGGCTGGAGTGCAGTGGTGTGATCTCAGCTCACTGCAACCTCTGCCTCCTGGGTTCAAGTGACTTCCTGCCTCAGCCTCCCTTGTAACTGGGACTACAGGCACGCACCACCATGCCCGGCTAATTTTTTGTATTTTTATAAAGATGGGGTTTCACCATGCCGGTCAGGCTGGTCTCGAACTCCTGACCTCATGATCCACCCACCTCGGCCTCCCAAGGTGCTGGGATTACAGGTGTGAGCTGCGGTGCCCAGCCAGAATTTCCATCTTTTTAAAGGCTGCGGTTAGGGGGAAGCCACTGTATATATACAAAACAGAATACTATACAGCCTTTACAAAGAATTTCCATCTTTTTAAAGGCTGTATTCTGTTTTGTAAATATACAGTGAATTCCCCTTAACTGCAGGAGACACATTCCAATACTCATGGTGGATGCCTGAAACGTCTGATATACCAAATCCTGTATACCAGGGGTCCCCAGTCTCCAGGTTGTGGACCAGCACTGGTCTGTGGCCTGTTAGGAACCGGGCCACAGGAGGTGAGCGGCAAACGAGTGAGCATTACCATCTGAGCTCTGTCTCTTTCTGTCAGATCAGCGGAGGCATTAGATTCTCATAGGAGTGGAAACCCTATTGGGAACTGCACATGCGAGGGATCTAGGTTGCGCGCTCATATGAGAATCTAACTAATGCTTGATAATCCGAGTGGAACAGTTTCATCCTGAAACCATCCCCACTCCCTGCCTGTGCCTGAATAAAAAATTGTCTTCCACAACACTGGTCCCTGGTGCCAAAAAGGTTGGGGACTGTTGCTGTATATGCTGTTTTTTTTCCTATACATATATACCTATGATAAAGTTAAATTTATAAATTGAGCACAGTAAGAGATTAATAACTAATAATAAAATAGAAAAATTAGAACAATGTACTACAATAAAACATATACGAATGTAGTCTCTCTCTCTCTAAATATCCTGTAAAATACTATGGGTGACAGAAATCACGCAAAGCAAAACCACGGAACAGAGGGACTACAGTTACTATGTTTTCTTTATCCATTCATCTGTTGATAGACAATTAGGTTGCTTCCATCTCTTTGCTATTTTGAATAATGCTGAAATGAACATGGGAGTGTTGATATCTCTTTGACGTACCAATATTCATTTTTTTTCATGTTTTTGTTGCACTTATTGACACTAATGTTGTTTACCTTAGGTGACCCAGACAAATTCTACTCTCATTCCAATGTAAAAGAGAAAAAAAATCGCCAAAATACAATCTAACCAGTATTATAAGATGAAAGGATTACGGGGAAAGGAATCAGCATAGATAAAGTCATAATCAGCCTATCTTCTTTCTTTTCGAAATCTAGATTAGTATCTTCCTTCAAACAGTTAGGTGCATTCTTCAGTTCTCTGAAACCTCCAAGCTTCCTGGCAGGAATGACGGGAAGATAGTGGTAATAAGAGAGTGAATCATCTTGCAAGAAAATATAAGGGAAAATTCATTTGTGGGATCATAATTTTTTAGTGAATGAAATGATGCAGAAAAAGGGAAAACAAATAATTAGTGATGATGTTTTGGTGATATGAAAATTAAGGAAAACTGGTCAAAAAAAGTGGGGAGAATTAGAATAAATTAATAAAAGAAGGAAAATTTGAAATATGTTATAAGAAAAGGAGAGAAGACAAAATATTAAGGAAGAAAATATTCTAGATATGTTTGGGGGGAAAGTATAAAAGCAGCCTGACAAAAAAGAAACTAAAATATCAATCTGAAAGTAAATAACTTCTATTTGATGCTAAGGTAAAATAAATCACTTCTTTTTCACTGTATGTCTGCCTTGTTTTCGTTTTTTTCAGTTACAAAAATAATTTACAGTATTGTTTAGTACTTGTATAGTCATTTTAGACTCCTGTTCACTAGAAATAGTCATATACTCTAACATGGGAAATATTCAAGTATTCTATTTAAATGAAAAAAGATTTGCAAACATATTAAAATGTTGCATAGCAAGTGAAAGAGCACCACCTAAATCTTCTTTTATTGTTTTCCTTTCTTACTGATCCTCGATACTATAACAATAAACCAAACCAGAACTTTACTCTTAAGATGAATTTGATATATAATATGATATACTTTTTTTAAAAAAAAAAATTAAGTGTAAAGCGTGAAAGTAATACAAAATCATTGAATAGGGTCCTGTGTATTCTTCATATATCTAGATATAACTTCTTTCTTCAGTCATTTATGTTGGTTGTTCTGAACTACGGTTTGTTTTATCTTTGTTAGGGTCATTATTGTCCTACTACAAATCATTAGTTTGCATTCCAGAAGCTCTGGAACGCTCTATGTTTCCTTGTAGTGGGACAGTGTGATGTCATGATTAAGCCATGGGATCTAGAGCCAAACTATCTGGGATTACATCCTGTCTCTGCCACTCATTAGCCACCTTCTGGGCCTCAGTTTTCCTATCTGGAAAGTGAAGTTGATAATAATTATATCTGCTTGTTAAGGTTATGTGAAGGATAGAATAAATGAATATAAATAAAGCACGTAGAAGAGTCCCTTGAACATAATATGCACTATAAGTTTTTCTATTATTAAGACCAGAAAGGAAGTCAATAGTTTTATACTCTGTGACTTCTATTTAACCAGGCTTGCTACTTAACCTGGCAGATTATCCTTCTTAACTTATAGATAAAATTCTGATGTGTAAATTATAATTAGTATATTTCTTCTAGCTGTAGACATCAACTTCACATATAGTCAATATAATTCATTTTAGCTATTAAACACCACAATGAGCAAAAAGAAATATTTTATGTATAATATAAATGTACAAATTTAAAGAACAAACCAATTTTGTATTTGACTCTCTTGAGACAGCCATTTTAAAAATAAAAGTTGAATAATTTAAATTCCATCAGATTGTAGAACTTAATAAAATCCTTAGATAGTCATAAAATACTTTTCTCCGAGATGATTAAAGAAAAAAATTCTGTCTGGAATTAAATAAACCTAAAACTTATTTTGCCAAAATTGCTTAGAAACAGATACCAGACAGTTGTTTAATTCTTGGAGAAATTCTTGGAGAAATGGATGTGCAGTCCCGTAAAAGACCTTCAGTTTCTTAGAGATGATGTATTTAAATACAGGTAAACACATTTCTAAGAGGTGAACACTATTAAAAAAACAAAAAAACAAAAAAAAAAAAAAAAAAGAAGAGAAGGAAGGTAAACAGGATGAGGAAGAAAGGTAAAGAAGTAAAGACTAGTAGAGCCCAAGAAACAAATCCAGGGATTGGCCTAATTTTAGTTATTTTACTAAAAACTAAATGAATATAACATTTGCTAAGACTAGAAGTAACATGATTATAAGTAGATTTGGATAATATAATGAATATTGCTTGCGATGTGATGTGGAAGTCCACTAGACATTCACTCGAAGGTGGATTTATAACTGCAACAAAAGTCAGTAAGCAACGTCATTATACTACAAAGAGTCCCTTTTATATGCATGGAGTGTAAGGAAGAACATCAGTCCCGCTGATAACTCCCCTTTCAGTGATTCTACTCACTGGAAACTCGCGACTTGTTTTTTTCTGTTGTTGTTGTTTTTTTTTTTAAAACAAAAACAAAAACAGCATATATAAAACAACTAGTAAAACCTGTTGACTTGTAGAAGAATAGAATAAACTGTGAAAAGCAAATACAGGAAGGAAAGAAGGGAAAGGAGGAAAGAAAGTAAAAGAAGGAGGATTCTGATTCTACAAGATGGGACCATTTCCCAAATATACCAATATACCTACTTTATTATGACTGAACTCTGTATTTAACCTCATTATCCTTATGGAAATATCATTAAGTTCATACTTAGATAAAAACTACTTCGGGATAGAAACTAGAGACAATAATAAGACTGCATTAAGAGCTATCATCTATAATTTAATGTAAATTAATTTACTCAAGATTAATTTCTTTCAATATTTCATTGAAGCCATCGCCACAATACAGGAGAAGTTTCAGAGAGGAGGTAGTAAGGAAACATAATTTTGGAATTTGGAGCATGCTATAAAATGATGCTTTGCTACTCCATCACCCTTCCACCTCCCAGCCTCCAAAAAAGTAAAGTCAATGGGACTGAAGTCTGAGGAAACAGAAAAATGGTATAATAAATAAAGGTGGGCCAAGCATGGTGGCTAACACCTGTAACCCCAGCACTTTGGGAGGCCAAGGTTGGCAAATCTCTTGAGGCCAGGAGTTCAAGGTGAGCCTGGCCAACATGGCGAAATCCCATCTCTACTAAAGAATTAGCCGGGACCGGTGGTGCATGCCTGTTATCCCAGCTACTTGGGAGGCTGAGGCACAAGAATTGCTTGAACCCAGGAAGCAAAGGGTGCAGTGAGCCAAGATCGCACCACTGCACTCCAGCCGCCTGGTCGAGAGTCTCGTTCTGTCTCAAAAAAAAAAAAAAAAGTGAAGATGCATAAAAGGAGATTGAAAGTGTTGGAAACAAAATTTATCTCATTATTTTATCTAAGACACCCTTGTACCTAAGAAAAGAAAAAAATAAATAAATGCCTTCCTTGTTCCTCTTGAACCATAACCCCGTTTTCACCCCACCTATTGGTTCTAACTCTGTTAGAACTGTAGTCCAGATACTAATTTGTGGAATAAATAGGCTTTTGTTCGCTGGCCTGGTTAGGCAAACACAATTCATAACTTTATTTCTGTAAGAAAATGTGTTGTGAATTCCAAATTCCAAACAAACTACTTGAAACAACCTGTTCACAAGTTTGGGACAGCTTGCACACTGTATGTTTTGGATTTAAGAAGTTAAATGACACCTTACTGGAGAAAAACGTATCATGACATGTGATTCATATAACTATTATTAATCTTCAATAAATTCTGCTGGAGTAAGGACCCAAAGGTGTGCTAAATTAATTTAAACCACTGCAAAATTTGCCTGGTAAATTTCCAAGAACAGATTGACTCAGGATATTTTCAATGTCCAAAAATTTGTCTTTCAGTCATAAAAAATATCATGTTGCACATTTCAACACTTATGTCTTCATCTTAAATTTAAAAAATGAGTCTAAATGTAGCCAATATTAAAAGTAAACCAATAAAACATATCAAAGTTTAAAACTGTATCTTTTGATTTATTTTTAATACAGGAAATAAAACTTTGGGGTTAATAATAGGAAGCAGAAGCAATATTAGTTACACACAGAACTAAAACATGAGACCAGAGATGTGATATCTAGCTTCCCTAAATACTATCACTGGTTTGTGCTATATATCGTTTTCTAAGCTGTTCAATGCACCTTATAATCATTATGCAGTCCTTCGTCACAATACATGGTAGAAATAATGTGAAATATTTGCTTTAAACCTAAAGGATAAGGAATTCATTGCCTTTATCACAAACCAATCTAGAGCCAAGCCAATGGCAACTCAGATTTTTTTTTTCACTCTGTGTTCTGTGTTCCATATCTAGCTCTAAATGATGTCATTCGTTTGTCTGAAACTTTAAGACTGGTCAACACTAACAGAAAGTTACTTAATACCTGTTAATTTTTGTACCTCTATAAAGGAATTATATTTTTCCCAAATACTCTATTAAATGATTCATCACCTTTAGACACTATCCAGACAATTAAGTGTTTAGGAATCTTGCACTATCTATCATATCTCCTCTTCCCTCCTCCTTTATGTCTTTAGATACATTTTTCCTTAGTTCTGGTCATTGCCTTTCTGAACTTAAATATTATACTTAAATGACAATTTTTAAAATGTATCAATTAAGGCAATATCTACTTATTCTTTGCTATGAAAAATGTGATAAATAGTAAACCTTTTCTTCACCTCTCCTCCTCACTTACCTCAAACAACCATTAGGTATAATTTTTTTTTAATTAATTATGAGGGTTATTTATATTGTTTGGTTGCTTTATTTAGGACAACTAAAAGCTGATTCTAGGACTTTAAAATGGTAATTAATACCTGTGGGTTTTTTGTTTTGCTTTGTCTTTGAGACAGAGTCTTACTCTGTCAGCCAGGCTGGAGTGCAATGGTGCGATCTCAGCTCACTGCAACCTCTGCTTCCCAGGTTCAAGTGATTCTCCTGCCTTAGCCTCCTGAGTAGTTGGGATTACAGGCGCCCACCAACATGCCCAGCTAATTTTCCTATTTTTAGTAGAGACCAGGTTTCACCATGTTGGTCAGGCTGGTGTTGAACTCCTGACATCAGGTGATCTGCCTTCCTTGGCCTCCCAAAGTGCTGGGATTACAGGAGTGAGCCACCGCACCTGGCCCCAATACTTGTAATATTATTTAACTGTAGAACTGAGTAATTTTACTGGCCTCCTAAAAAAAGAAAATGTAATCTTACATCTTAATGTTTTTTCTTTTTGATGATTAATTTTCCCAGCATGAGAACCTCACAAATCGTTTCTCATTTTCTTTCTTCCTTCCATATATATATATATGTTTTTTTTGTTTTTTTTTTTTTTTTTTTTTTTTTTTGGAGACAGGGCCTTACTGTGTCACTCAGACTGGAGTGCAGTAGTGTGATCATAGCAAACTGCAGCCTCAAACCTCTAGGCTCAAGCAATCCTCCTGCCTCAGCCTTCCAAGTAACTAGGACTACAGGCACATGCTACCATGCCTGGCTGGCTGGCTGGCTGGCTGGCTGGCTGGCTGGCCAGACAGACAGACAGACAGACAGATAGATAGATAGATAGACAGACAGACAGATAGATAGACAGATAGATAGATAGATAGTAGAGACAGAATCTCGCTATATTGCCCAGGATGTTCTCAGACTCCTGGCCTCAAGTGAACCTCCTGCCTCAGCTGGCCTCCCAAAGTGCGGAGATTATGGGCATGAATTCGTTATCTTCGTATGGCCATAATGAGTTTTTTTAGCACTTGCATTTCATATATTCTTTTCTATGATTCTTTTTTTGTTTGTTTGTTTTACTGGTGAAGCCCTTGAATATTCTTTTCATACTGAGAGACTAAATAGTAAGTAAACTAAGTTTCTGAATGACTGGAAGTAGCTTTTGCATAATATAAAGTGCAGGTAAGTATCTTTTTTCTTCCTAACTTTGAAGACATTGCTTCATTTTCTTTGAGTATTCATTGCCATTGATGAAATTTTAATGTCAATAATATTCCTTTAAATGTAATATTCCTTCATATATATATAATTTTTGAAGAGGGTGAGTTCTAAAATCTCAACACAATGTAGTAAGATGTATGTCCTGTTCATGAAATGACTACCATTGATGTTGGGAGGTAACATCAACAAAGAATCCTGATGCATATTTGAGGAAATGTTTCAAAATGTTCTATTTTTTGGTTGTCTTAGTTCTAACATGTCTAAAACATCTGCCAAATGACAACATTTCTGGTATATTCCCATTTGGCATTTCAGACAGAAAGAGAGGGGACTCCCTGCTTCTTTCCCCCCTCTTCCGTTTTCCCCTCTTCTTATGCCCTGCTGTATCTTATGTTTGTCCCCATCTCTCTCCCAGAGAACCACATGGCTCATGAATCACCCCTTTGGCCCAAGGATGAGTACCCACAGCAGCAAGCTCTTCCATTGGAAACCACGCTGAGGAAGACATGGTCAAGCTCTGGCAGCAGATCAAGCTGTTATGGCAAGAATTCCTGGTTCTGCGTCCCCAGCATGTAATATAGAAGATCTGGGAGTGGGGTCTTGGGTCTGTAATGTCTGTGATATGGCTCCTCACATCTTCTTGTGTAGAGTGTCATGGCCAAAACAGGAATAACGTGTTTGCCCTTCTGAATTCCCCAGTAATGAGTCTGAAGCTAGTCTGAAGCTACCACAGTCTATTTTAAGGGATTCCATAACATGTTTGAATTATATCTATATGGTAGGGACTTTCAATCAGTAGCCAGGATCTGCTACTAGATCTAATTCCACAATTCTAATTCCACAAGCTACATACCTCCCTTAGAGGCCTGCCAAAATTCTTAGTGGAGGACATGGAAGTTCGTAGCCTTCATTTAGGGATTTTATTAACACCTTCTCCCTCTCCACAGCCCTAGTTTACAGAATTGCTTAGTCTTTCCATTCTGAGAAACTCAAAATTTCAATGAAATGAAAAATAAGAAAATGAAACATTTTTTCCAACTGCAATTCAAGAATACTTTTTTATGGTGGTGGTGATGTGGTAATTAATAGTAATTAAATTTGAAACCAATGTTGACATTTAAACTTTGTTAAAATATGGATCATGTACTCTTTAAGAACTGCCAGGAATAATGAGCAGAGATGAATTTGTTTTATTTATTGCATTTTTTCACTATAGATTACACATATGCACTTATGAAGAGCTTGGTTTTAGTTTCTGGTTGATTTTGTTCACTTTTATTTAAAAAATTGAATGTGGCCTCTAAAATATTATTTCTGAGCAAAGAATCCTGAAAATATTGGATGACATTTGCCTATTTTTTGTTTTTTCTTGTTTCTGGAGATGAGAGTTTTTATGTACATTTCATCAAGAGGCTAAAGACTGTTATCAAATTAATTAATTAATTAACAATTAATTCTTCTAAATTCTCAATATCCAAGTTATTCTTTCTAATTCATAAAACACAATTCCTTGTTTTCTAGTAGCCTCAATGATCACCAGAAAAATTAACTAGAGTTCTTTACACACTGATATGTGAAAATATTGCATGTGTCATTGTAATATTTATGGCAATACTCTATTATAATATTTAATAATTTAAAGGCTTCTAGTGGGTAACCTAGAAGACAAAGACCATATCATTTTCTATATGTGATCAACATCCAGAATATTCTGTGAAGTATGATTGATGGAGATATATACACGGAATGATCTCCTTGAGAAGGAATTGGGCACGAACGAACATTTGAACCTGAACTCCGATTCAAAGCGTCAGGAAATGTATTTGGAAGAAAGTCTCTTGAATGTGTATAACCATAAACTATCTGCTTATCATAAAAGCCCATTTTCATGACCTCCAGAAAAATGACTTTCTCTGCTTCAGAATTTTCACCCTCACCAGAATAGATGCCAGGTCTACCTGTGAAACAGGAAAAACTTAGAATGCTTGTAACATTACAGTGGGTATAACATTTACACTTCCTTCATGGGAATATATGGTACAGAGAACTGGAGAAGAATCATTGCTTTTCTTTTTGTGTAAGTATATGCTTACACAAATCTCCATTCGGAGAATGTATGAGAGTGTCTAGAGATTCATTATGTAATAAAAAATGTTCTGCTGGGATACACTGGTCACTCATTCTGAGTAAACCAGAAATGCTGCATGGTATATAATTTGCAGTAATCGTGCTTTGGTGACTGAGATTCCTTGTAGTGGTCACTGACACTGGAGCTTTTATGTTACCTACCCTAACTAACTCTTAAAGTAGAATTGTCCAGTAGAAATAGATACACAAATCACATATATATTATGTTTGTGTTTTCTAAGTAGTAACATTTAAAAAAAGGAAAAAGGTGAAAATAATTTTAATAATTTATTTAACCTAATATATCCAAAATATAATAAATTCAATATATAATTGATAGTAATAATAATATCTTTTAAATTTATATTTTCTTACTAAGCCATTGAATCCAGTATATAGGTAGCACATCTCAATTTGGACTAGCCACATTTCAAGTGCTCAGTAGCTAGTAACCAATGTTTTTGACAGCCAGCAGCCACTGGCTACTCTATGGAACAGTGTAGTAGGTGTGTCATTCTCGGCCTTCACCAGCACTTTTCAGGTTTTTGCAAACCACTAGCCCAGCACGATCAAGATCCTGAGTTAGTCTTGGACAGCAACACACAGAAAATTCTCAGGTTTGGTAGTCACTGGGATCTGGAGTCCATTTTTTTTTTTTTTTTAAGTAAGCCCTGATACCCATGTCCTAAGAGAAACCTTAAGCATCTGTATTTAAAAATGGGCAGATGCCATCCTACCCACTGCTTTATATCAGTGATATGAAGCCTTTGAACAGACTATGTGGTGCTTCAGAGTTTGTAAGCATCACCTGCTTCCCTCTGAATGTTAACCTTCCTGAGTGATTCTCCAACTTTTGTTGGGTAGTGCCAAGCTCAAATCATGCTTTCTGATTAGAAGTTTAGAATTTTCACCAAAGCATCAAATGATAACACTGTGCCATTCTGTATAGTGGGAATAATCATGGGGTCGGAAGACTGGCCTTTGAAGCTCACAGCTGTCACAGGAGGTCTCATGAGCAGTTAGTTGCAGAAAAGGGAATTACTTTTCCTCATCTGTAAAATTAGTGAGTGGTTGGGCTAGATGAGCTGGAAACTTCCTTCCTATGTTGACAATGTAAGATTTTTGAGCAAGCAATTAAATATCTTGAAAGCATAAATCTAAAATCATTTACTGAATAGACTCAAACCTTATTCATTCAGAATTATACAAATAAGTACATTCCAATTTATGAAAAGCTGAATTTATGAAATGTTATTGCAGAAAGGAGAGATTTATTTTTTTTGTGGACGGAGAACTTACAAACCAGATTTCCCTTAAATTGTGTCCTAATTTATTATTAGCCAAATTATTAAGGGAGGATATTTTCAAGATAAAAGTTTACAATATTATCCTCTAAATATATTTTAAGGTAAAACAAATTAAAACAAAAATTAAACATGAAGCAAAATTAAAACAACAAAATAAACCTCAATGTGCAGCTTGGGAAATCCAAATCCACCTGAATGATCTGAGGCAATACCAGAAACACCATGATTTCTACATTATTTTCCAGCTCTGAGACTACAGGTTCAGAGTAAAGAAGAAAAGGCCAACCTCTCCTCCTTTGATTTCTCTCAATACTTCATTCCTCTGTATTTTACGTATTCCCTGGTTCATTTATTTAGTAACTTTCTATTGAAAACACCTTATATGACAACACTGTGCTAAGCATCAGAGATATTAATATAATAATGTACAATGCACAATCCTTGCCATAAAGAAGCTTAGAGAAATTGAGGGACACAGAAAAGTGAAAACCCAATTTCAGCCTGCTGTGCTAAGTGCTACAACAGGAGCAAGTTTAGATTAAAAGGGCCTACAAGAAGCACAAAGCAGCACTGGAGAAGCATTTAGCTAAGTCTTAGATCAGTCACAGAAAACTTCTAAAGCAGGAACTTCTAAACTGAAGCTGAGCTCTGGGTGACTCGGAAATCCACCAAGGGGTAGAAGCATTGGTTGGTTGAAGGAGGTTGGTGTATTTCCTACAAAGGAATAGTGTGTTCACAATTCTATAAAAGAGAAAGTGGCCATTTTGGGGAATAGTGGGTTGTCTCAGTATGACTAGATCATTGAATATAGTGAAGTAGTGAAGAGAGACAGGATAGAGATGTATAATCTGTGTTCTTATTGTCACTATCTCACATCTGAGAAACTCGAAAGTTATTTGAATGAGAGAAGAGTTGAAAATGCCAAAATAAGAGTGTATTTCAAACTATAGGCCTTTTCAGTCGGTAAAGCTCTTACTGTCATTTTATTAGCACTAAATGCTTAAGTTTGACTTTGCAATAGATGTAGCAAACCAAAGTTTTAATATGTTGCTAAGCTAAATATTGAGTATGCATTTGAAGTAATGGACTAATAATAATTGTAATTAGTATATTAACTTTCTTTGTAAATATATGATTTTAACCCATTTATGCCAGAGGTTACAATTTTTTGTGTGTGAAAAATCAGACTTTGGCAATGACCTTGAGCAGTAGGATATAAATAACTCTGGCAGCTTAGCGTTCCAATAATGGAGGATTAAGCATAAATGGGTTAGAGTATTTGAAATTGCTTTAAAATAGTTTGTTCTTTTAAATATTTCAAAGATCCCCTCTATAAGACAAACACAAGCCTCAAGTGCATCATTTTTTTAGCTAAACAGAGAAAATGCTGCCTAACATTATAAAAATGGTTATATATTCTAGATTGGGGAGATCAAGATGATTAGGTTTTTATTGTATTTTTTTATTTTTTTGAATTTTATTTATTTATTTATTTAAAGACAGGGTCCCACTCCATCACCCAGGCAGGCTGTAGCCCAGTGGTGCAATCAAGGTTCACTGTAGCCTCAAACTCCTGGCCTCAAGTGATCCTTCTGTCTTGATTTTTCCAAAGTGCTGGGATTACAGGAATGAGCCACCATGCCTGGCCTGTATTTTTTAATTTTACACATTTCCATCTCTAAGGGATAATGAGTGGCAGTGCACACTAAAAGCAGATAACTTAAAGTTTGTAATTAAATTGCACTGGCCAAATTTGCCCAAGCTTTCCCACAATACATGACCAAAAGGTTCTGCATAAGAAACAAACTTGAAACAGAAATAACAATGCTAAGTGAAGAGCCTTCATAGATACACATAGAAACATATCTAGTACCCTTTCTTGAAATGCTTCCCTTATTTTTTTTTTTCCAAGAGGAAAAGCAAAAAGGAAACTGTATGAGTTTGCTATTGCTGGTATACCAAATTATCACAAACTTCATGGCTAATAACCACAGAAACGTATTATCTTGGTGGTCAGAAGTCCAAAATGGGTCTCACTGAGCTAAAATCATGATGTTGGCAGGGTTGTATTCTTTTCTGGAAGTTCTTGGGAAGAATTCATTTTCTTGCCTTTTCTAGCTTCTAGAATCTGCCCAAATTCTCAGCTCACGGTCCCCTTCAGTGTTTAAAGCCAGCAATGGTAAATCTAGTCTTTCTCAAGATAACAACTCTCTGCCTTCTTCTTTCCCATTTGAGGGGGCTTGTGATTACATTGGGCACATCAGGATAATCCAAGATAATCTGTTTATTTAAGGTCAACTGATTAGCAACCTTAATTTCATCTACAACTTTATTTCTCCCTTGTTATATAATATAACACATTTAAGGTTGCAGGGATTACAATGTGTATATCTTTTCAGAGGGGTATTTTGCCCACCAAAGACATTATCAGAGTAAGCAATAAATCTATCTTTAACTGGCATTGTAAACTGTAGCATATTTTTCCCAGTAAGATTTAATTGCAACATGATGCTAGGTTTTCATGGAATCTCAGGGAAGACATACGACAAAATCCCAGGCCTCATGAAGTTTGCAGGGAAACAAACAAACAAAAAAAAACTATCAAGACACATGTATAAAGTAGGTATCTTGTCAGAAAAGGACTTATTATCACTTTAGGTGCTCATTAAGTACAAATCACTGTTATTATCAATATCAAGTTAAGGTGATAATGTAGCAATAATAACAATTAGATTCATTACATGAGTCATAATGTACTGTTAAGAGAAATACAATGTCTTTCTTTCATCAGTTGGGTAATTTATCAGTCCATAGAGAAGTTTTAAAATGCAGTCAATCAACCAGTTGACCACATGGTACTAAATAACAGATTTGAATGATCCATTTTATCATGGACGTGAATGATTTTGTTTTCCTTGAAGTGACAGACAATGGTAATGTCAAGTAGGGGTTGTACCAGATTTTCAAAGTTCTAAGGATGCTTCCTTTCAATGTTCTAGGGTGGAAAAAATAAGTTAGGGAATCATAATCCCCATTTATGATCCTTTAGAGGTTTGTTTTATAGATTTTATCAAATTAGCCAATTTTTTTTAATACGTAATTCTTTTCTGGGAAAGAAAAAGCTTAAAATTCTACTTCAAATTGCTCCTCTTTTTGTGCTAAAGACTCATTTTAAAAATCACTTTCACTCTGTTAGAAAAAAAGAATATTTACTTTCTTCTCTCAAGTACAGAATGTAGTAGAGTTCAGTTCATTAACAGGTTTTACTTGCTATACATTTAAAAGACTGATTTCAACTGCTGATTTAACATATTTATTAAATGCCTACTAAGTGTTAGGCACTACTCTAGAAGATGTGACTATAACAGAAAATAAGACAGACAAGGAGAGACAAAACTACATAAATAAGCCAGAATAAATGATCACATGGTGACAACTGCTATGCTGAGAATTAAAATGAATGATGTCATCAACAGTGACTGGGTATCTAGATTGTGCGGTCAGAGATGGCCTCTCTAAAATGATGGCATTTAGGCTGGGATCTGACTAGCAAGGAGGAGCCAGCCATACACAGAGTGGTAGAAGTACACTCCAGTGTCCCAGTGGGGCCACTAATGGATGTAAGCATTAATGCAAACTTGATGTGTTGGAGATACAGAAGACTTGTGGAGCTGGAGCATAGTAGGGTAGCAGATAGACAGTACAAAGTGGTCTTAGAGAGGCAACCACAACTCCATCATGAAGAGCTGGGTGTGGTGGTTCACCCCTACAATCCTAGCACTTTGGGAAGCCAAGGTGGGCGGATAGCTTTAGTCTGGGAGTTCGAGAGCAGCCTGGGCAACATAGCAAAACCCCATCTCTACAAAAAGTACAAAAATTAGCCAGGCATGGTGCTGTGTGCCTATAGTCCCAGCTACGAGGGAGGCTTAGGCTTGAGGATCTCTAGAGCCAAGGATGTAGAGGTTGCAGCGAGCTGCGATCAGGCCACCATATTCCAGCCTGGGCGACAGAGCTAGACCCTGCCTTGAAAACAAAAACATCATGGAGGATTCTAAGACACATGGTAAAATAGATGATGGGAATTCATTGAAAGGTTAAAGACAAGAGAAAGATACAGTTTGATATACATTATGAAAAACATCATAGCTGCTAAGTGGAGGGATAATTGATTGTAAGAGGAAAAATGGAAGTAGAGAAACTTAAAATATTATAGTAATCCAAGTGAGAGATGATAGTAGTTTGTCTAAAGTAATATAATAGAAATAAAGAAAACTTAGCATTATCTTTTGGGGATAGTTCAAAGAATTTGGTGATTCAAAATGGAAGAATAAAAGATAAATCAATAATGACTCACAAATTTTTAACTTGAAAAAGTATTCAGGAGATCATGCTATTTACAGTAATGGAGGTGACAAACAGAGGAGCAAGCTTGTAGGAAAAAATGAAGAGTTCTATTTTGGCCATGTAATACTTAAGATGCATATCAGACATTTGGGTCACCTGGGACATCATTCAGTCACCTAGGACTAGTTAATCAGTAGAGAAGAGAGCCTGAAACATAGGCAAGGAGATCCCAACCTTTAGAGTGAGCAGACTAGTAAGAGTCAGCAAGGACTTGAAGAGCCCATGGGCCCTGGCAATAGTTTACAACATTATAGGGTTGGGATTTGAGGAAATTAATGTCTAATGCTTTCAGTATTTTGTATTCGCTTCTTTGGATCATAAGAGATATGTGCATCTAAGGTCAAGCAAAAGTATTTGAGAGTGATGTGGGAGAGAGGAATACGAAGGGGCCAATTAAGGTAGAAAACCATAAATAAGCAAGCACTAATTAATATGATTGTATTATTTCCATCGGAAGTGCTATAAGTTAGGTATAGAAACAAAGAAGGATGCTTAAACCAAAGTGAATGTAGTAGAAGAACAAAGTGAGACTTGTTAGTACTCATGAGAGAGTAGAAGAAGTGATACTCAAATGGGTTTGGATTCAAAAGGGAATTAAGTGAAGTTAGAGGGACTGATGGGTTGGCAGGCTAGGGAAGACTTAAGGGATTAAGTTTTCTAAGTCACCGAGGTACAAGTCTAGTTGGAGCAATACAGAGTCTCTTTTCCACCACTCCAGTGGGAGACATTCACATTAAGCTGAAGTGTTGTGCTAACATAGAATACAAGATGAATAGTGTTTTCTAGAGTTATATGATGTGCCAGCCTTAAAGGAATAGAAGATTGTAGTTAGAGTCTTGAGTAGGAAGTTGTTATTTCAGATGTAGAATATTTCTGAGTGATGATAAGGAAGGAAGTTTCGTCATGTGAATAAGTGGCTTAGGCCACGTGCGTTGGCTCATGTCTGTAATCCCAGCACTTTGGGAGGCCAAGGCAGGTAGATCACCTGAGCTCAGGAGTTGGACACCAGTCTGGCAACATGGCAAAACCCTGTCTCTGCCAAAAATACAAAAAAAAAAAAAAAAAAAAAAAATTAGCTAGGCGTGGTGTTGCGTGCCTCTGGTCCCTGCCACTCGGGGGGCTGAGGTGGGAAGATTTCTTAAGCCTGAGAGGCAGAGGTTGCAGTGAGCTGAGATTGTGCCACTGCAAAGTAACCTGGGTGACAAGAGTGAGACCTCATATCAATCAATCAATCAATCAATCAGTATCTTAATAGACTTTTAGTATGATTGACTGTAGGATATTGAATGGACAGTTTATAAACATTAAAGTCATCTAAAAAGGAACATGGAAAGTATCAACACTAGATGGCAAAAGTTATAAACTGAATGTCTGTATCCTCCCAAAATTCACAGGTTGAAACCCTCCAATGTGACATTAGGAGGTGTGACCTTTGAGAGGTACTTAGAATTAGATGAGGTCATGAAGGTGGAGCCCTCATGAATGAGATTTGTGCCCTTATAACTATAACTAAAGAGCTTGCTTCTTACACTTGTTCTCAACAGTGTAAGGATACAAGAAGCAGGCAGTCTGCAACACTTAAGAGGACCCTCACCAGAGTCCAACCATGGTGGCACCCTGATCTCAGAGTTCCAGCCTCTAGAACTGTAAGAAATAAATTTCTGTTGTTCAAACTACCCAGTTTCTGGGAGTTTGTTATAGTAGCTTGAACAGACTAAGACAGCATATTAAAATACAATCAGAAGTACCTCAACTTTAGAAAGAGAAAATATTCAGATACAAAGGAAAACATTTTATTTAAATGAACATTAATTAGATTTTCAAGCATATAAAGAGATAGTGCCATTATTAACCACAATATAATTCTAAATAAGAAGAAGAAAAGAAGGAGAGAGAAAAAAAGGGAAAGAGGGAGGGAGTGAAGATATAAAAAGGAAGGAAGGAAGATAGGTTTTGACAAATTAAGACCAAAAGACTGAGCTATAGATTATGGAATCTGTCCCCTCAGTTGCATTATTCTCTTACCTAGTCTCTGTCTTATTTTCATCTGGTCCATCTTCACAAGACTATGCAAGAGATCTTTTTAAGATGAAAAATGGATCACAGAATAATGGACTCTTCTCCATAAACCCTTCAACAGCTTCCCATTATCCACAGAATCATGTCTAAACTCCTTAGTGTGGCAATCAAGGACCTTGACGATCTAATCACTGCCTTTTCCTCTAGGCATGTTTCTCACCATATTTCCCATAACTCCCTCGCAATACAATTACTTGTCCTTCCCTACAAACACTAGGTCACTTCTGACATCTGTGTTATACGCAGGCTATTGCTTTTAACTACGATGTATTTTGAAAACTGCATCGCATTCTCTGTGAAACCTTCTCTAGTTTTCCACTCCTTCCCATTCTTCCTTCTCCTAATTGTTTCATGCCAAGAAAGAACCATCATCTCATCACTTCTAATTCTGTACTACACTTCTGTATCTTCTACATGTTTCTATTATTCCATGTATTCATGTGTATTATTTGTTAGCTAAGTCTCTAAGCTTCTTGAGGGAACAGACATTGTCTATTTCTTTAGGCATTTAAGCTCAACACTGTTAAGCACCTACCCATGCCTAGAACATCGTAGGTGCTTAACAGTGTTTGCTGAACAGATGTTATCTGATATAAAATAGAAAGCTTCACTAAGAATCAGTGAAAGATGCTACACAATAGAAAGTTTAAGTAACAATAAAACCAGACTAGAACATTTTTGACTTTTTTTTCTATGATACTGATAGACTTAAATTTAACTGTTAATATAGGTGAAGATCTATTTGGAAGATCCTTTATCCAAAATCCTAGAGGCCAAATGAGCTTCGTAATACTGAAAAAAAAATGTGCTATAGAAGTATAAGGCTGGGTATGGTGTCTCATGTCTATAATCCCAGCACTTTGGGAGGCTGAGGAGAGAGGGTCGCTTGAGCCCAGGAGTTCAAGACCAGCCTGGGCAACACAGTGAGATCCCGTCTCTGCAAAAAAAAAAAAAACTTTAAAAATTAGCCAGGCATGGTAGCATGCAAACATAGCCCCAGCTACTCAGGAGGCTGAGGCAGGAGGATCCCTAAAGCCAGGAGGTCAAGGCTGCAAGACCTTGTCTCTTTCTTAAAAAAAAAACAACAACAACAAAAAAAATATATATATATATACCACATATCATATAGTAGTACTAGTGAGTTCTGGGGTAATACTTCATAATCAAATATATTGATATTTCTGCAGTAAAATATATTATTTACACAAATAACCTCATGTCAGATTAGTTTAGATTTTCCAAAAATGAATTACCAAAAATTTTAAAATATTTTTCCGATTTTCCAGTTATAAAATAAATTACAAAAAATTCAAAACTACAAATAACGAATTATACATTTGCATTAAATGCTATTTTGTAGATACCAAGAAATTTATAGTCAAGATTTTCATAGGAGGTAGTAATTTTAACTACTTCAATTTCCTTCATTTGATAATAAAATAATGTATTAAAAGAACACAGTGAATCAAATACAGTAACCAGACAGACAAATACAGGAGGTTTTTTTTTTTTTTACTTTATACATAATTATGCAGTACGAGTACTGAAAAGAACACAAATTATATAGACCAAATTGTCACATGAAAAGAATACTTCCTAGCCAAATCTATAATTCTGATAACGACTTTAACCTGGTTTTAATACTATTTTTTGATAATTTCCAGGTATCTCTTGTTAGAATATCTTTAGCTCTGAAAAGAAAGAAGCAATATGAAATCTTATACTATGCAGCTTTCCAAAAATTGCATTTTCTGTACCCTCATACATCTTTCATCATCATCAGTAGCAAAAACAAAAATAAGAAATTGACAGCCCTCAGAAACCCAGATCAGTATTGGTTGGGGCTTATTAAAGAAAAGAAATGCCTTCCCTAATAAAATTCCTAAAAATCTACAGGTCAGTAGCTTCTAAATATGTTTTGAGGAGCTTTGGTCTGGCAACACCCTTAAAGGAAGTTGGTCTGGCAACACCCTTAATAGCATCTTTAGTTAACAATGATATATTTTTAAAAGCTAGATTTTTCTCCTTATTTTCCTCAGGTAGAAAATTACTTTAGTAAATCTGCACAGAAACTAATGTGCCACAAAAAAAGATTGCTTCCCTAATCAGTTTATCAACTTGATCATACTTACTTATATTATTTCAAAGTCAAATTATGTAAGTAAACAAACTATTAAAAAGACAAGGTTTCATACATAATTTGCAAAGTAGCCATTAATAACTCTCTTTTCTAATGTGAATTTCTAAAATAATAATGATCACCAGATGTTTAATCTTTTTTTATTCCATAAATGCATCATCTACTTTTCAGAAAACTTTTTTTCATGAGTTCTCGCTCTCTGTTCAATAATCGTTTTGTACATTGTCAAGAAATAATTGCTTCTAGCACTCTGAAGAATGCATGTATAGATGACCATTCAAATATATTTATTTTCTTCTTTGAGGTTCATTTTAATTTCTTCTTTGAGGTCCATTTTTTATAACACAGTAACTTTTAAACACCAAAAAAGAAAGGGAAACTTCTTTTAATAGTAATGAGCTTCCCAAAGCCAAAGTGAATTTTAAGTTCCACTGAAAATTTGGTGAGATGGCTCTATGTCATAGCCATAAAGCATGCATGACAAAAGACAAGACTCTATGCTGGCATTGCCTCTACTCAACCACTCTATAGTGGAATATGTGAAAGAAAAAAGAAGGATGACAAAATAATTATAGTATGTGACTTCTCCTTCTGGTCTTCTCTGTCCCCTTCTTATCAATGAGTATATTGACAATTAACTCTACTCAGAAGATTGAGACAGTTCCTCAAAAATTTACTTCATCCTTGTACCAGATAGAAGCAGTGACTGAGCGTTTAATACTCTTAATTTGTTAAAACCTACACTCTGGTCTATAGGCTACAGATCTCAGACAGTTGACACTGTTCAGAATAATAAACATATGAGATAGATAATCAATGAAACACACAATTTCAGCTTTAATAAGCTGACTTCACAGTGACATAAAGCCATATTCCAAATTACTTATTTTTAAATACAACAAATAAGCCATATTAAAGAACAGAACTTTGGTAAATCGGAGTATTAATATTAAAAGCAAAGAAAAAAACTAGACATTTTGGTATATACCTTTCATCTAGTTCGAGAATACACAAATGGATTTAGCCCCAAGAAGCAATGTTTATTTTTTCTGTTGGAGCAGCAAAGCAAGTCAATGCTGTAAAAGGAGATAGGACTCAAAACTGTCATCATGACTTCATCTCAGACTGTCAACATGCCACTATTTCTCCCAGATACCTCTGTGGTCCAGATTCAGTAACCTTTCCCTTACCATCCCCAACATACTCCTCCATTGTGCCAAAGTCACATGGGATCCAAAATGAGAAAGACTTTTTCAGGAATCTTTTGAAAAAAACATTATTTTAAGATATTACATAAAGAAAAGTGTAGTGACAGAAAATTTGAGAAGACATAGATATGAAAAAATGTTTCTGGCTGGCTGGAGTGTCTCACACCTGTAATCCCAGCATTTTGGGAGGCCAAGGCAGGAGGATCACTTGAGTCCAGGAATACTGAGACCAGCCTAGGCAACATAAAGAAACTCCCTCCCTATGAAATGTATGTATGTATGTATGTATGTATGTATGTATGTATGTATGTATGTATGCATGTATGCATGTATGTGTGTATGTTTGTATGTATACATAAATAAATAAATAGCTGGGTGTGGTGGCGTGTGTCTGTAGTCCCAGCTACTTTGGAGGCTGAGATGGGAGAATCATTTGAGCTCAGGAGGTCGAGGCTGCAATGAGCCATGATCACACCACTGGCACCACTGCACTCCAGCCTGGGCAACAGAGCAAGACCTTGTCTCCAAAAACAAAATAAAACAAAAACAAAAACAAGAAAAAGGAATGTTTCTATAAAGGTGTATCATGAGAGGGAAATCTGATGTGAATGAGTGAAGACACATAGAAATACTAAAATAAGTATGATAGTAAAGGAAAGAAATAGAGCAAAAATGAAGAACAGATAGTAAAATGAAATTAAAGGAATTACTACTTGAATTTTACTTACTTAAAAAAATTTTAAGTAACGTTCAAATTTTAAAGAAGAGTAATAAATTAGCCCTTTTGTTATATAAATTTGACTGAATAATCTTATTTCCTCCAACATGTGTATGAATATGTATAGATAGGTATATATAGATACAGATATCTACATCAATATATGTGCCTGTTATCTGTATCGGTTAAATACATGGATTCTTTTTGCTCAACATTATTATGGTATTCAAGGATTATATAACCAATACTATTTTCTCCGTAATTTTGCCCTAACTTCTTATTGTCTGTATATTCATTTTTCCAGGAGAGAAAACTCACACATGAGCATGGTGGGGGCCAGAGTGGGGCGTGGGAGGTGTGTGGGCAGGAGGAGAGAGGAGAGCTCTAAATTAAGAAAATAATAAAACTATTTTTCCTGATAGGCTAATATATCCACCATTATGGTCACTAGATGAGGTTTACCAGCAAATTTCCCAAACCTTCACAGAAAAAAATGGAAAAGTTGGAATGAGCTTTTTTGTGCTATTGGTCTAACGTGAGAAATCAAGCTGTTACTGTATTCCTCTCTGTAGATGGCCATAATTTGATAGACAAAATGTCTAGAACAATTGGATCACAAAGCGACATAAATTCTGACAGTATAAAAATATGGCTATTACCTACAGTATGTCCAGAATCAATCTGTGCAAGGGATGATTCTGGTTGACCCAAGATCTGCCAACTATATTTTCTTCCAAGAAGTCCCTGGTGCTTCTAAGCACAGTCCCTGCTGGGGATACATTATATGCTCCAAAATGAACAGAATGTTAAAAACTAACAAGATTTGTGAGAGTCTTTTCTTGGCAAATTTGACAACAATTAGTGTCTATTAAGTTTTTATTAGTCACATAGTAAATGAAACGGAGGATGTGATATTTAAATATATACGTCTGACATTTAGCAAGATAGATTATGACTCTAAATACTGATGGGAAAAAGTGCTTTTTGTTTAGTAGTTTGTAAGTAAACAAATTAATAAAAAGATAACATTTCATAAATAATTTGCAAAGCAGCCATTAATATCTCCTTTCTAACATGAATTATTAAGATAGTAATAGGGATGAGCACAGTGACTCACGACTATAATCCCAGCACTCTGGGAGGCCAAGGCAGAAGGATCACTTGAGGCCCAGGAGCTTGAGACCAGCCTGGACAACATAGTGAGACTCTGTGTCTACAAAAAAACTTTTAAAAATCAATGGGCATGGTGGCACATGTGTGTAGTCCTAGCTACTTGAAAGGCTAAGGAGGGAGAATTGCTTGAGACCATGAGTTGGAGGTCATAGTGAGCTACGATCATGCCACTGCATCCCAGCCTGGGCAACAGAGCAAGACTCTCTCAATTACAAAAATTTTTTTGAGTCCTAAAAGGGATCCAACTTTATTTTAGAATTCACACTAACAAGGATAGTGATAATATTAAAAGCTAATACTCTGCTCATCGTAGTTACATATTATTTACCTACAAAAAATTTTCAGGTCTGGATACCAAAGTGGACATTTTCAGTAGCAGGTTAAACCTCTAATGGAATAAAGACCAATGTGAACTTTTCAACCATAAAAGCTCCTTTAATCTGTCTTACCTTGGGATATATGTCAGCTCACATTATGGAATATAAGCCTATGATATATAGACAAAATCATTTTCTCAATTCATTTTAGTTGTTAGAATGACTCATTTAATAAGGATAGGACTGCATTATCAGCTGTGTGGGTATAATTAATGAACACAAGGAAAATTTAGGAAATCAAATTATATCATATAACATGTGGTAGAAGATACTGTTGTACTGATGAAGGGCTACTAAACTTAAATTCCAGAGACCTGAAATCTAATCCTTGGATTGTTACATGATTCTAGCTTAAAATGTGAAGAAAGAAAAGATGTTCAATGTTATTAGTCATTAGGGAAATATAAACCAAAACCACAATGAGATACTGCTTCACACCTGGTAGGATGACTATAATAATAAAAATATGGAAATTTCATGTTGGTGAGCATGTGAAGAAATTGAAACACTTATACATTGCCGGTGGGAATGTAAAATGATAAATCTACCACGGAAAACAGTTTGGTGAGTCCTCAGAAAGTTAAACATAGAGTTACTCAGCAATCCTGCTGAAAAGAAGTACTCAAAAATACTTGGACATTAAGTGTTCAAAGCAGCACTATTCATAATAGACAAAAGATGAAAATAACCCCAATATCCATCAGCAGATATGTGGATAAATGAAATGTGGTATATATGCACAATGGAATATTACTTTGCCATGAAAAGAAATGAATTACTAATACATATTACAATGTACATGAGCCTCCAAAGCACTATGCTAAGTGAAAGAAACATGTGATGCAAAGATGTCCTATGAATTTACCTGTTCTGTATGATTCTATTTATATGAAATACAAAGAACAGGTACATGCACAGGGCAAAAAGCAGGTTTGTGTTGCCAGGGTCTAATGGGAAGGGAAAATAGGGAATGGCTGCTTACTGAGTATGGAATTTTCTTTTGAGGTGATGAAACTATTTCGGAACTACACAGAAGTGATTGTACAACACTGTGAATGACTATGCCTCTGAATTGTACACTTTAAAATGGCTAATTTTTTGTCATACAAATTTCACCTTAAGAAAATGTTGAAGGAGAGTCTTTTTGAATGGCCACATGAAGCACTCAGCATATTTTCTCACAAAGCAAAGACAAAGCTGCAAAAACTGTCAAAAACAACCATTTCAGATCTGAAAATTGATTAAAGACATAGAAAAAAATAGTGAAATATTTATTCATGTAAATCTGTTAAGCCTCAGAAAAACAATAAGAGTCTGTGGCATTGCATCCTTGAGCAGTTTCCACCCACCTTATTCACCAGCCCTAAGCTCTTTACTGCTCTATTTCTACCAGACATGGCAAACTGTAAGGGACATCAGCTTTCCTACCAAACAGAGAAGAAATAATTTGGAGCTAAGTTTGGAAAGGTCCATGTCCTGAGGTGCTGTCAAAAACAATAGCGATCTTGGATGGCCAACAGTCAGAGAAGGCCAATATCACAGCTTGCCTGAGATTACAATACTGGAGATAAGAAATAGACCTGCCTACAGTCAGAAATTTTATAGGGAGAGCTGAAGAAAGCACCAGACATAGTGGGCCTTGATAAACTTGCACATATCTTGGGGGTTGGGAAGGCTGTAAACATCAGCATAAGATCGTGGAGAGATTCCTAGCCATCTACTCCTGTTTGTCTGAATGTGATGCCTTATACATGAAGAAAGTAAAAGATGGGGCGGATTCATAAACTATCTGAACTTTCAATGTGTTTCTCAATGAAACGCTGATCCATCAGCAAACAATAGAACTCTTCTTGGCTCAAAGTGTTTAAGCAAAACCTCTGACACATAATTGTCTGACCACTAAAACGATTTAGAGGAAACCCTAGGAAGACAGATTTTAAAAGGAAAAGGTTAAACAAAATTTTTCTATAAAAAGAAACATTAGGCAGAGACATCAGTTATACCCATTAGAGACAACATAGAATTTCCAAAATTAGTCCAGGCAAATCATTAATCAAATTAAAAACAGAAACAACAACAACTACTACTATGGTGGGGGGGTGCAAGGTGAAGAGGTCAGAACCCAGCATTGCTGTATTATCAAATTGTACAGTTTTCAATGAAAAATCACAAAACATGTAAAGAAATAGGAAACTGTGACCCAAACACAGGGGAAAAATAAGCTAATAGAAACTTTATGAGGGACCCCAGGTGTCAGACTTGCCTAACAAAAACTTCAAAATAGCTATGACAATTATGTACAAGAAATTAAACCATGTTTTAAGAATGACAGAAAATGTGATGGCAATGATTGATCAAACATACATCAATACAAAGATAAAATTACTGAAAAAAATAAAATTCTAAAGTTGAAAAAATACAGTAACTGAAATGAAAATTTTACTGGAGGGGCTCAACAGTAGATTTGCCTGGCCTGTAGAAATAATTAGCAATTTTGAAGATAGATCAATTGAATTTATCTTAAGAAGGTTAGAAGAAAAAAGAATGATAAGTTGAGAACAAAGCCTTCTCAAAGACCTATGAGAATACTTCAAGTATACCAACATATGAATAATGGGAGTCTCAGAAAAAAGAGAGGAGGAAAAAAAGGGGCTAAAGGCCAGGAATGGTGGCTCATGCCTGTAATCCCAGCACTTTGGGAGGCTGAGGCTGGTGGATCACGAGGTCAGGAGTTCAAGACCAGCCTGGTCAATATGATGAAACCCCATCTCTACTAAAATACAAAAATTAGCCGGGCATGGTGGCTGGGGCTTGTAATCCCAGCTCCTTGGGAGGCTGAGGCAGAAAATTCCTTGAACCTCGGAGGCGGAGGTTGCAATGAGCCGAGATCACGCCATTGCACTCCAGCCTGGGTAACAAGGTGGTGAGACTCAGTCTCAAAAAAAAAAAAAAAAAAAAAAGGGGGGGCGAAAAATTATTTGAAGTGTAATAATGGCCACAAACTTCACAAATTTAATGAACAACATTAAATATATAATCAAGAAGCTCAACAAACCACAAGTATGATAAACAAAAGAAATCCACATCCAGAAACATAATCATCAAGTTATTAAAAGCTAAAGACCAAGAGATAATTTTAAAAGCACCAAGAGGAAAATAACTCAAATAAAACACAACCACATTAAGTTTAACAGCAGAATCCTCATCAGAAATAAAAAGGCCAGAAGCAGCAGGATAGGACAATGGACATTTATGAAAGTAAATAAAAAAGACTCTGTGTGTGTGTGTGTGTGTGTGTGTGTGTGTGTGTGTACCATTGCTTCTCTTAAGTGATTTAAAAGACAACTGCCTGCTACGTGATCTCACTTATATGTAGTATCTTTAAAAAAATGAATGCTTAGAAGCAGGGAGTAAAACTGTGGTTACCAATGGTGAAGGGGGTTGAAAGAATTGAGGAGATTTTGACCAAAGAGTATAACTTTGCAGTTACAAGATAAATAAGTTCTAGATACCTAGTATACAACATGGTCACTATAGTTAATAATAATGTACAATATACTTAAATTTTCCTAAGAGAGTGGATATTAAGTATTCTTACCACAAGAAGGGTAATAATCTGAGGTGATAGATATGTTAACTAGCTGGATTGTGGTAATCATTTCATAATGTATACATATATCAAAAATCACACTGTACACCTAGAATATATTCAATTTTTATTTGTCAGTTATACCTCAGTAAAGCTTAACAACAATTAATAAAAGAGTCTTTTACTTTAAAAAAGTCTTTTACTTTAAAAAATTGTCTTTAAAAAAGACAATTACATAAAGCAATAATTATAATACTATACAATAATCAAAGTGCTACAGAAAAAAACTCAACTGTTAATCAAGAATTTTACATATAGCAAAGCTATCCTTCAAAAAATGAAGGAGAAACAAAGGTGTTTCCAGGTGAACAAATAATGAGAGAGTACTGTTATATTGCTATACCTTCCTTATAATAAATACTAAAGAAAGTCCTTTGGTCTAAAAGAAAATGATACCAGCTGGCAACTTGATTCCACTTAAAGAAATAAAGAATGCTATAAAGATAATATAAACACATTTATTTTCTAATATCATCTCTTAAAGGGTTTATAAAAGATAATTACATAAAATAATTATAAACCTGTATTTTTGGGCTCATAGCATATGAAGATGTCTTATACATGCATGTTGTGTATTATATATCTATTAGCATAATACATATGTATATTATATAATACATAAATATCATATATATACTAGCAAAAAGGAGGTGGAGAGAATGGAGCTATAATGGAGCAAGAAAATTAGAACAGATAAGAAGTTGGTAACTTCGATCCGCAGAAAGAAATGAAGAGTGAAAGAAAAGGTAAATATGTGGGTTAATATTTTAAAAACTAAATATATTTTCATCCTTTTCTCTCCAAACTGTTTTAACAGGTATAAGATTGTACACAAAGCAATAATTATAACATTGTATTTCTTAGTATATATGTAAATATATACTGTAATAATAGCACAAGTGGGGGAAAGATTGAACTATATTGAAGAAAAGTCTCTATATTTTAAAAAAATTAGGTTAGTATCCAACTGATCTACATTGTGATAATTAGAAATGCATTTGTAATCTCTACAACACCACTAATAATTAACTGTGTTTGTGTATTTCAGTGTTTGTGTATAGTAAGTAAAGGAATTAAAATAAGACTAGACAATATTCATTACAAAGAAAGCAATAAAGGAGGACTTGAAGAACAGGCATAAGATACATAGAAAACAAATGGAAATGGCAGGTGTATATCCAACCCTATAATAACTGCATTAAATACAGATGCATGAAATACTGTAATCAAAAGGGAGAGACTGTAATGCAAGATTTTTTTAAAAAAAGATTTAATTATATGCTGACTGTAAGAAATACGCTTTGAAGACACAAATAGGTTGAAAGCAAAATGATGGAAAAGATATATCGTGCATACAGAAATCCTAAAAGAGTTAGGAATTAGACAGGATATACAAGAATTGAACAATATTATCAAACATTTGACCTAACTAAAATCTATAGAATGCTTCTTCCAGCAGAATACATACTATTTTCAAGAATACATGGAGCATTCTCCATGATACATCATATGGTAAGCCATAAAAAAAGTTTTCATGATGGCACAAGATTTGAAATCATAGAGAGTATGATTTAAACTAGATTTTAAAAAAATTGAGACAGGGTCTTGCTCTGTCACCCAGATTAGAGTGCAGTAATACAATCATGGCTCACTACAGCCTCAACCTCCTGGGCTCCAGTGATCCACCTGCCTCAGCCTCCCAGGTATCTGGGACCACAGGTGCACATCACCAGGTCAACTAATTTTTTGGTTTTTTAAACAGAAATGAGGTCTCACTATGTTGGCCAGGCGAGCCCCAAACTTCTGAACCCAACTGATCCTCCTACCTTGGCCTCCCAAAGTGCTGGGATTACAAGCATGAGCCACCAAAACCAGCCTAAATTAGATTAAATCTAAATGGATTTAAATTATCAATAAATAACAAAAGAAAGTTTAAAAAAATCAGTAAATATTTGGAAATTAAAAACACATTTCTAAATAACCCATAGGTCAAAGAAAATAATCACAGAGAAAATTAGAAAACAGTGTGAGCTAGGCTGGGTGCAATGGCTCATACTTGTAATCCGAGTACTTTGAGAGGCAAAAGCAAGGTCAGGAGTTCAAGACTAGTCTAGGCAACACAGTGAGACCCCATCTCTACAAAAAAATTTTAAAAATGCATTTGTAATCTGTACACCACTAATAATTAACTGTATTTGTGTATTTGTGTGTTTGTGTGAAGTAAATAAAGGAATTAAAATAAGAATAGACAATATTTATCACAAAGAAAGCAATACAGGAGGACTTGAAGAACAGACATAAGATGCAGGTATGGGGGTGCACACCTGTAGTCACAGTTACTTGGGAGGCTGAGGTGGGATGACCACTGGAGCCCATGAGTTCAAAGTTGCAGTAAGCTATGATCACATCATTGTACCCTAGCCTGGGAGACAAAGTGAAGCCCTGTCTCTAAATAAGTTAAATAAATAAATAAAAAGAAAGAAAATAGTGTGAGCTAAATGAAAATAACAAAAAATGAAATTCATTGGATACAGCTAAAGTAGTGCTTTGGGAAAATATATAGCTTTAAGCACTATAGTAGAAAATAAAAAAAGTTCTCAAATCAATGACTTCAGTTTGCATGTTTAGAAAGAAAAGAAGAAAATCAAATTAACTCAAAGCAAGAAGAAGGCAGGAAATAAGAAAGATCAGATTAGAGTGGAAATCAGCAAAATAGAGAATAGTAAAACAAGAGAGAAAAAATCAATGAAACGTCAGTTGGTTCTTTAAAAAGATCAATAAAATTGACAAACCTTTAGCTAGACTGACCAAAAAACAAAAAAAGTGAAAAAAACCTATATTACCAAATGAAGGATGAAAGGAGAAACATCACTACTGACCTTATAGAAATACAAAGATGTATAAAGGCATTCATTGAAAAACGTGATGCTAACAAATTAGACAATTTAGATGATGAAAGCGAAAAATTCTGAAAAAGACACAAATGATCAAAAAGTGGATCAAGAAGAAACAGAAAATCTAAATCTACCCAGAATTATTTTAAAAATTGAATTAGTAATTTTCTTACACATTATAAAATCAACTTGTAAGTTTCTTCCAAAAAAAAACCTGCTGGCATTTTTATAGGGAGTATGTTTAATATTTCCACAAAAATACTTTATAGGGAGTATGTTTAATATTTCCACAATGCAAAGCCCAGCACCAGATAGCTTCACTGGTAAGTTTTATCATTTAGAGAGGAAACAGTACCAGTTCTTCATAAACTCTTACAAAAAATAGAAGACTAAGGATCAATTAACAATTTATTTTATGAAGTCAGTATTACCTGGGTACCAAAGTCAGATAAAAACATCATAAGAAAAGAAAACTACATTACAAATATTCATCATGTATATAGACACAAAAATTTGAGCAATATATTAACAAACTGATCCAGCAACACATAGAAAGAGTTATAAGTGGAATTTATCCCAGAATAAAGGGTTGGTTTAATATCTCTTCATCAGTTACTGTAATACACCATATTAATAGAACAATCAATGAAAATTGACTATCACAATGAAGGCAGAAAAATTTTTGACTAAACCCAACACCTATTCATGGTAGAAATTCTCAACTAACAAGGATCAGAAGAAAACTGTCTTAACACTATAAAGAACATCTGTAAAATGAAACAGCTAATATCATACTTAACAGTAAAAGACAGAATGTTTTTCCCCTAAGATCAGGAACAAGGTAAGGCTGTTTGCTCGCATGATTTCCATTTAACATTGTACTGGAGGTTCTAGCCAGTATAATGAGTTAAGAAAAATAAATAAAAGTCATCCATCTTACTGGAAAGTAAGATGTAAAACTGTCTTTCTTCTCGGGGTGTTTGATCCTATATGAAGAAAATCTGCAGAAACCCACAAAAACTGCAAAGCTGATGAATGAGTTCAGCAAGATTGCCAAATACAAGATCAATAAACAAAAATCAATTATACTTCTATATACTAGCAATGAATAATATAAAAATGAAATAAGAAAATAATTTCATTAACAATTGCATCAAAAAGAATAAAACATTAAGAACTTTAACAAAAGTCGTACAAGACTTGTATGCTGAAAACTACCAAATCACTGAGAGAAATTAAAGAACCAAATAAAGGAAATGATATTCCATGTTCATAGACTGTAAAACTCAGTATGTTAAGATGGAAATTATCCCTAGATATGCCTACATATTAAACATACTCCCTATAAAAATGCCAGCAGGTTTTTTTTTTGGAAAAAACTTACAAGTTGATTTTATAATTTACAATAAGAAAAGGAGAGAGAATGGCAAAATAACTTTGAAAAGGAAGAATGAAATTGGAGGTCATACACTTTTTTATTTCAAAGAACAATATAAAGCTACAGTGATCAAGACAGTTTGGAACTGTCATAAGATGAGATATGTAAGTCGCTAGAACAGAACTGAGAATCCTACCATCAACCCTTACATTTACAGTCAATTGATTTATTTTTGCACTAAGGTGCCAAAGCAATTTAAATGAGAAAGGACAGTCTTTTTAACAAGTTGTGCTGCAACAATTAGATATCCATGAGCCAAAAGATAAATTCAGATGCTGACCTCTCACCATAAACAAAAGATGCTCAAAATTGATCACAGACCTGAATGTAAAAACTACATCTAGAAATGTTTAGAAGAAAACAGAAAAAAAAAAAATCTTCCTGGTCTTAAAGCATGACACACACGCACATAAAAACAACTGATAAACTGAATTATATCAAAATTAAAAACTTTTGTTTCTCAAAAAAAAAAACACAAGCATATGAAAATGTAAGCCATTGACAAAGAAAATATTTTAAAATAATATTTAAGAGAAAGTACTTGAATCCCAGATGAAGAACTCTTAAAACTCAATAAAAGAAACAGCTCAATTAAAAATTCACTAGAGATATGAACAGACATTTCATCAAAGAAGATGCACAAGGAATAGCTATATACATATAAAAAGATGATCAGAAACATTACTCTTTAGGGAAATGCAAATTAAAACCATGATGAGATATCACTACACACTCACAATGGTGGCCATATTTTAAGAAGACAGACAATAACAAACCTTGGCTAGAATGTGGGGAAACCAGCGCCTGCATATATATTGCTGCTGGGTATGTCAAATCACGCAGCCACATTGAACAGTTTAGCAGTTTCATAAACAGTTAAAAATAAATTTACCACAAAATCTAGCAATTCCACTCTTGGATATCCAAAGAAATTAAACATACGTCCACACAAATATTTGAATGTGAATGTCATAGCAGCATTAGTCACAATAGACCAAAAAAAATTGAAAAATAATCCAGATTTTCATCAATGGGTGAAAGAATAAACAAAATGTTTATCCATTAATAAAATATTATTCAGCAATAGAAAGTAAAAAATAGCCGATGCATGCTAAAACTTGGAGTGAACTCAAAAATATTACCCTAAGCGAAAGAAGGCAAAGCCAGAAGACTACATATTGTATGATTCCAATTATATTAAATGTCCAAAAAGGCAAATCCAGAAACCTGGAACAGAGATTAATTGCAAATGGGCATGAGGTATCTTTTTGAGGATGATGGAAATGTTCTAAATTTGTATTGTGGTGATGGTAGGTAGCACAGCTCTATAAACTTACTAAAAAAAAAAAAATCACTGAATTGTATACATAAAATTGGTGAATTCTGAAGTACGTAAATGACATTTCAATAAAGCTATTTCAAATTATTGAAGAGAAACATGACTGATCTTTAAGTACATGATTATTAGAAAGGAAGCATCTATAATATAGAGCATATTTTTTAGTAAAATAGTCTGATATTTTTCTCGTTACTAAATATCAAATTCATGGTAAAAATGCAGTCCTTTTGTTACATTTGCCCACATTCTAATGCAAGTTGTATGCTATCATGTTTCTGCCTCAGAGCCTTTGCATCTACAATTCTCTCTGTCTGGCATACAGTTCCAGAATTAGTCTGACATCTCCATGACTTATTTCTTCACTAAATATGCTAACCATTTGCAACTTCATTGAAGAGGACTTCTCTGCCTAAAACAGGTCTTCTATTCTGTCTCGTCCCCTTTAGTTTATATGTTTTCCTCATGATATTTCTTTAAAATCCATTACTAAATAACAGAAGTGCTCTAGAATATTTGGCACATACTAGGAACTCGATGTAACTACTCATTGAGTGAATGAATGATGTCACAGATACAGCTGTCACCATGCATGACAGAACTTGAAACTATATTTTAAAAACCTTTTTATTAAAATACAGAGAAGCTAAATATAGCAAAATGTGCATTTGTTCCACTAGCTATACCATATATTTTCCGGGCTAGGAAATATTTACTGTATATTTATTGCAGAAGCTTTTCTTATGGAATAAAATATGGAGAAGAAAAATCCTGAAAGTAGTGCTTGAACCTTCAATCTGCACGTAGAATAGTTTTTGCATTGATACCCAATCTTATTCATTCGTTCAGCTAGGTTTATCACTGGCTAATTTAAATAGGCTATTGATGTCAAAGGCTTTTGTAATAATCTACAATGGGAAAAAATTATTACTCAGACCCAGTCAGTAAATATGAAAGTTTTTGTTAGAGCATCCAGTGGTCACTCTTATGCACATAAAGAAGGTCCTCATCTTTTCATCAGGATAGTAGAACAGAAAGAATATTAAAATACAAAGTTGTCTGGAAAAGGAAAGAGAATCTTTTAATGTACTATCTCATTAATGGTTAAATGATTAATCCTAAGATGTTACAATAACAAAAAGCTGGGGAATATTAGTGGCAAAATGCATTTCTTCTTGTTGTCCTTACTTGTGGGGTTCCATTATCCTGAAATTCTGTTTATCATGGTCCCCTTATTTACTGCTTTCTAAGGGAGGTACAGAACTTTTTTCTGCTTCTGGTGGGTTTAGAAGCAGAAATTGAGCATAAGTCACTCAGTCCCTTTCTCTTTTTGTGTCTCGGGAGCTGGATGTTTACAGAGATCACAAGTTGTCCCTGTGTTCTGTGCCTGGACCTGTGCCACTCCTTCCAGGATTGTCTTCATCCACTCCTTCCAGGATTGGGTAGACAAATCTGCCTGATCCTGTAACTCAGTGTTAGGAAGATTCCTTGTCCATATTCTCCGATATTACCTTTATCAGTAATAAAGGTAATCTTTTAGTCCTCACCTGTCTTATTTATTTGTATAATGGCTGTTTTAAAAAAAAATCAGACAGAAAAGATCTATTGATTCATCCTCCTCAAATAGCCCCAAATAGGTCTTAGCTGATTGGCATTAATATCTTAACTGAAGTGGGTGCGGTGCCTCACGCCTATAATCCCAGCACTTTGGGAGGCCAAGGCGGGAGGATCACCTGAGGTCAGGAATTCGAGACCAGCCTGGCCAACATGGTGAAACCCCGTGTCTACAAAAACACAAAAATTGGCCGGGCATGATGACGCATGTCTGTAATCCCAGCTACTCGGGAGGCTGAGGCAGGAGAACCACTTGAACCCAGGAGGTGGAGGTTGCAGTGAGCTGAGCTCCCGCCATTGCACTCCAGCCTAGGTGACAGAGCGAGACTCCATCTCAAAAAAAAATATATATATATATATATATACATTTATATATGTATTTATATATATAAATGTATATAAATGTATTTATATATATAAATGTATATAAATGTATTTATATATATAAATGTATATAAATGTATTTATATATATAAATGTATATAAATGTATTTATATATATAAATGTATATAAATGTATTTATATATATAAATGTATATAAATGTATTTATATATATAAATGTATATAAATGTATTTATATATATAAATGTATATAAATGTATTTATATATATAAATGTATATAAATGTATTTATATATATAAATGTATATAAATGTATTTATATATATAAATGTATATAAATGTATTTATATATATAAATGTATATAAATGTATTTATATATATAAATGTATATAAATGTATTTATATATATAAATGTATATAAATGTATTTATATATATAAATGTATATAAATGTATTTATATATATAAATGTATATAAATGTATTTATATATATAAATGTATATAAATGTATTTATATATATAAATGTATATAAATGTATTTATATATAAATGTATATAAATGTATTTATATATATAAATGTATATAAATGTATATAAATATATTTATGTATATAAATGTATATAAATGTATTTATATATACACATACGCACGCACACACACACACACACACACACACACACATATATATATATATCTTAAATGAAGAAACAGAGGCAGTAAGATTTAGGGGTTACTTAAGTCCTTAATATTCCATTATTTCTGAATTATTTTATGCTATGTCCATTTCCTTAGTTCCTAAATAGTCTCACAAAGCCTTCCTAATTAAATTTAAGAAATGAGCTGACAGAAAAAGTATATCTTCTTTGGTATTTTAAAGTATAGCTGCCACTCAATAAACCAGAAACGTCTATAGAGAGAAATAACTATAGAGACCAGGAATATCTGAAACAAGAGACTAAGATTGCTATTTTTCTAGTCTACTAATTTAGGGACAGTTTGATCCAAAACATTCGAGATAACGAGTGAAAAATGGATGAAGCTACTTTTACCAAAACACTTTTTAAGGATTTTCAGTGTACATTTTGCAGAATATTATGCCAAATAAACAACTACTCTAATATAAAGGACACATAGTATCAATTATTATCACTGTCAATCAGAGAATAAAAGCATTCTACAATGGGCCTTGACAGAACCGACTATTATGATTGTTTCTGCAACGCTGGAAATATGTAAATGAAGACACTCAAGAAGACTTTGACACAACAGGTTTAACAGATAGGGCCTAATTATGTCAGTCAGTGGAATTCAATTACCAGGAGGCATAGATGGACATCCTAGTACAGAGCTTGGATTAAATCCACCTATATATTTTTGAGGTCTAGTTCAAAATATAAAAGAAAAAAAAATCCAAGCTCTTAATTCCCTGAGCTTATTTCTTTAAGGTATTATGACCTCTATTTTAATATTAAGTAAAAGAAATTATGGACTCTTTTGGAAAATATATCATTTTCAGTATTACAATTTAAATATTCATATTTTGAATAACTTGCAGGTAAATTCCTATGTTATTAAAGAAGTTCTCTCCCAAAAGACAGATATGGCCAACACTTAACAGGGTAGGTGGTAGCTAGCCTCTAAAGATGGCTCCCTAATGAACCATGCTTTCCAGTATTTATACCCCTGTGGACTCACCTCCTCTTAAGATTGTGTGTTGGCCCTGTGACTACTTTTAGTCCCATAAAATGCAGCAGAAATGATGCTGCATGACTTCCAAGGCTAGGTCATAATACATCTTGCAGCTTTTACCAATGTCTTCTGAAATGTTCACTTTGGAAGAAGTCACTTGCCCTGTAAGAGACTGCCATGCTTTGTAAGAGCTTACCATGTGAAGAGGCTGCAGGGAAAAGAAAAATACCAAGCTTACAGCTATTACAGCCATCCCAGCAGACATGTCAGCCATATAAGCGAAGAAGCTATCTTGGATATCCAGCCCAGCCATGCCTTCAGATGATTTCAGCCCTGCTGTGATCTGACTACAACTACATAAGAGATTCCACGTGAGACCCATCCAGTTAAACCCAATCAAACATCGGGAGCAGAAAAGAATAATAAATTGTTTGTTTAAGCCTCTGAGTGTTGGGTTGGTTTTTAATGTAGCTATAGATAAACAGAATTGGGTATTGTGTGGAAAGAATTCAGACTAGGTAGGAATTAGACTTTTTGATTCTTAGGCTCCCATTCACTGCTTGTGTGGTCTTATATAATCAAAACTTATTTGCATCCTATATTTTCAGGTGTAAAATGAACAGAGTAGACTACACTTAGATCAGATCTGAGAGCCACTGAAGAGATTCATGGGTTCTACAAATTACCTCAAATTTAGAGCAGAATCTTATGTATATATATATTAAATTTTGGAGTGACAGGCTCTATTTCAGCAGATTTTCAAGGGTTTATCAAATTACAAGAAGAGGTTAAAAAGATCAGAGTATTTCTAATGCCTTTGGCTTGAAACATTCATTATTTTATGAAAGCCAAAAAGAAAATGGAAGCTTACAGATGGCCTGTGGTATTTAGTCAAGAATATTTTTATGATTAAATTTTACAAACAGAGATATCAGGTCACATTATTTAAGAATATGTTTAAATCTGTGCTTGGTCAAAATGGTATTGGGTTCCCACCCATCCCTAATACCCTCCCCCAGAAATTGAAACTATAAAAACCTACTAAGATACAAATTTTGAAAAATTTAAGGAGGGACAATGAACAAAGTAGAGATTTCTTGCTGGAATTATATTGTCAGTCTTGGCCTCTTGCAAAGAAGATATCTTCCAGTACCTAGCGTGTTCCCATTAGCTGGTATTTTCTTATCTTCATTCAATCACCCAAATCTAGTCCAAGCTTTGGATTCAGTTTCCATCAGTAGAAATATAACAATTTTCATGTGTTTCTTAGCAATAAAACAATTTCTCAAAACAAGAAAATGTACTGAATAACTACAATGTGCCAGAAACTTTTCCATTTATCAATAGATTTGTCAACGTTTTCAGAGTCAAGATAAGCTTATTAATTTTTGACCTTTCTTGCTACTAGAATATAGTTCCACAGGGGCAAGGATCTGTGTTGGTTTTGTTTCCTCACATACCCCAAGGTGCATCTCTAGGATTATGTCTGGCATACAAAGATAATAAATATGTGTAAGATGAATGAATATGTGTGTATGGAGGAAAGAAATTTGAAAAGGAAGTAACTAGCAATAACACATTGGATTGCATCCTGAGAAATCTGATCCCCGTAAGAAAAATGTTATATAGGTAGAAACAGAAATAGGAGGTAGCAGTTGCTTTGCCTAAATTGCACATACAAGAGGCTAAACCAAAGGAACACAATCATAATCCAGGGCCAAGGAAGAAAGATAATTTACACCTTATTAAAAAATTGCCATTGCTACCAAGTGCTGTGCATTTCTTGGAGAATCTTTCTTTAAAAATTTGAATAATATTCTAGGCCGGGTGCTGTGGCTCATGCCTGTAATCCCAGCACTTTGGAAGGCCAAGGCAGGTGAATCACTTGCGGTCAGGGGCTCATGACCAGCTTGGCCAACATGGCAAAACCCCATCTCTACTAAAAATACAAAAAAAAATTAGCCCGGTGTAGTGGCACATGCCTGTAGTCCCAGCTATTCAAGAGGCTGAGGCCCAAGAATTGCTTGAACCTGGGAGGCAGACGCTGCAGTGAGCCGAGATCATGCCACTGCTCTCCAGCCTGGGTGACAGAGCCATGCTCCATTTCCAAAAAAAAAAAAAGAATAATATTCTGAAATATTAATAGGGTTTAGATGCCAAAGAGACCAGTGGACTAAATCCCAAATGACAACATAATTGCTAAACACTATTTTTGTTTTAAGAAGTACATATTGGAAATATTTATTTTCTAATAAAGGGGAAATCATGACAATGATACAGCAATAAACTGAAGTAGCCTATTTAGAAAATTGCTTGTAATACAGCAGGGCTACTTACATATAGGCAGAATTGCTTATTTGCAGATTATCTACAATTAATCAAATTAAAAAAAATAGAAAACAATGTTCCTTGTCTTACAAATAATTCACATGCGCACATGCATACACACTCATACACACACACTCAAATTTACTTTACCTAAATAGAAGTGGCCACCATGGTGATTCATATCAATGACTTGATAATCATCTCCTATTTTTTCAGGATTGGGAAATACGTTTTATTTTACCAAAATTGTAGATGAGCCCATTGTGACTAAAATTTTCCTTATATATTTTCTTTCCTAATTCTCTCCCTTCTTTGCATCTATTCTTTCTTTTTACTTTCCCAAAAGAAGAAGATTCCATATTTTTTGTTAACAACTTTTATTTTGTAGAGTAGGAAGAGATATTAGCAGTTCTGGCCCATTTCTCAAGTTATTCCTTTGTGGTAAAAACCTCTTGTTGCTCATTCTTCTTGCTGTGCCTACAACCTGATTCAGGCTTGAGTTGACTGGAGTTAAAATCACCTTAACACTGGAGACACAGGTTAACGGCGACCATTCTAAAGTAACAATTAAGGATAGTAAAGTAATGTATCTGAAGTGAAACTTATCCCCTATTGCAGTTTATTTATTATCTTGGTCAACTTTTAAAATGACACTTATACTAGGAGTCTTCCTAAACGAATGAGTATTAACATGGAACATTTCCTCTGCCAATTGACTAACAAGAGAAAATATTATTTTCTCCTATTAATCTTTGATACAAGTGTAGAAAAAAAAGAAAAGGTTAAACTGAGATATCTGATGTTAGAATCACACTCAGGTGAACATTTTTCCCAGGACTTCAAATTTTATTCAACAGTTAGAGGTCCATGCGTTCTTTAGCCACAGATCACTTTTGCTAACTTTTTGTAATTGCATACTAATAATTCTTCAAAAACTTACAAAATTTCATCAAATTGCTGACTTCAGCAGAAAAAAAACAGAAATGGTAAATGTCTAGAATCTTAATTTGCAAATGGGTTATTTAGCGGACAAGTGGTTGTTTATTTTTACTTTAAGCAACTTCTTTCCATAGTAACACAGGCAACTAGAATGAAGTATGTTCCCTTGGCAAGACAGAATGAAGAAAAGTCTTGTTCATGAGGGCAGTTTCCAAGTCAACATCACAAAGGTAACTTACATCAGACATATTTTTCCACACTGGAAAGAGTCCAGAAGACATTCAGGACATGGAAATTTCATATGACACGGAAGTCCTACTGTCTACAATTTTCAATGAGATGTAAAAAGCTGATGAAATGATGGATTTGAATTTTTTTTCAAACCCATAATTCACAGTAGATAATTTTAAAGTGAAGGAAAACATTTTGTGATCAATCTTTGAATATCTCTGACTCATCCTCATAACTCCATGATTACAAAACTGTAGCCTACAAATCTAGGCTTTGTACTTGTCACCTATGGCTTAATAAATACTACCAGGTACTGCTAGATCTTGTCTGACAAACCTCCAAGGAAATCAGAATTGCTTTAGGATGAGAAATCAGCAGGTGGCACTCTTTCCTCTACATCCATTTTTAACCACTGTTTTAGGGCAGAATATTAGAGGTTACATCCTAAGAGGTTGATACCTAAGGTCTTGGGTGAACAGGGGTAAATCAGTGTTGAAGACAAGAGACATCACTAGCGCAATGGAGAACTACCAAACACTTCCTAAATCTATTCAGTAGAAGCACCCTAAATCTATTCAGTAGAAGCAATAGGAACTATTGATAAATCATATTGATAAGTAGCTATTGCCATCTCATTTGGTGATCACTTCATTCCCATGAAAGATTAATACATTTGTGGTTCAAAAATTGTGTCTTATCCAACATGAACAAAAAAAGTTTCTGCACATACGAAATCATCTTCACATTTTATTTCCCTACCTTCACAGCATATTATCATTCAAAGCCTTTATAAAGAGATGAGTTTCTGTATGTGTCTCTAGTCAAGCTTAGAGCAGGAATTGTATGGACTGACTCTGCAGACAGATGAGAAAAAATACAATGGTGCCCTCTTAATAAGTGCACATTAGAGCTCCAATACTTTCTGTAAAGAAGGCTAGTCTGAACAGTGTTGACTTAACTGCTATAACTACTTCCCTGTATATTTACGAAACTTACTTTCTTCATAATAAAAAAGAGGTATTGAGAACATGTCCCCTCAAAACCTAAGACAGCTTAATAATTTTAATGAAAAATGTTCATTCAGAGATAAGAAGAGACCATTTCATTTGTTTATTTAAAAAGAGAATTTCTAAAACGTATCTGCATATTTAATCTGTGCCATTGCCAAGAGTAACCTGGTTTCCCAAGCTTCAAAAAGAAGCTCTAGTTTTTAATAACAATGTGAAATTTGGTGATTTGTCCTTTACACAGTAAAAAGATACTTGGAGAAGACCCTTGCGGAGGGTCTGCTATAGTGAACTAATTTGTATCTGGTCTTATTTGAGGGACTCATGGGAAAATTGCAAAACTAATCTGATTTCCTTCAGAGCTTAACAAATAGAAGACCATTTTTAAGGCTGAAGTTTGAGATATAAAGTAAGGCTTATTATTTTTATCCATAAAATATAGTAAATATTAGAACAAATTAGAATGCTGTAGTTTAAATGGTTTTCATAGATTTCTAAGACCATTTATACATCCTATTTCACATGAGATGCCCCATTTGGAGCTGCCCAAAGGGTATTGTGGAAATAAGACAAAGTACAGCTGTTCTAGATGGCTAGATGAGTGATAAACACAGAATCAACTTGAGCTGGTATCTTCTTCCCATTTGCAAATAAGAAGAGAGAGATGGGTAATACCATTTGAAGAGAAGTGTCTATTAGTCTATTAGTGTACAGGAACCTGAGAACCCTTCGTGACTTGTAGTTTTTATGAAAAGATTTACTTTCCTTTTATTAGCAATGGATTTCGGAAACAGAACTGATGAGGAGATGAAGCATGGATTCCACAGGGCATTTTAAAATAAGCTAGTTGCTCTTGTTTAATCAATGCACTCTATGACTGGAAAGCTCAGATAAGCCAACATTCCTCTCTTAGCGCCTCCTTTAACCGTATGTCATCACATATAACCTTCCTGGATAACTACTCATTATGCATGACGGCATACCAACCTGTGAGAATATGAGGGAGAAAGCATTATGCTCATCAGAGGCTGTGGGTTTAGCCAACCTGCCTAAAGAAGCCCTGAGATTTCTGAGCCTTTTAGCCTCTTTCAGTTCCTGCTCCATCCTCAGCCCTTTCTCTGGTGACTATGTATAAGGCAGCAAACAGCCTGGCAGCACCACACATGTCTGAACGAAATGGCCACTCTTCTAAAGACTTAAAAGTTTGATGTACAACAAATGCAACTTGAATTGAGTAGTTAATAAGCCTTGATCTTGAGTGGATTCAATAGGTTTGTTTCATCCACTGAAAAGTCAACTCATACCTTAAACATTGTGTGTTACAATAAAATGGTAGGTTTTGGGAAAGTCACTTGGAAAAAAGAGTAGAAAAGTCTAAGTTGCAGAGACAAAAACTGGACCCATAAGTAGCTTCTTATAATCACTGATTATTTAGTATGAAATTTTAAATGACTCCTTAAATTCACAATCTGGGGGCCTTGTTCCTAATATAGACTACAGACTACAGGGTGTTGAGAAGCACAGTATATTATTTCATTAAGTGCTTTTTGGGAGAAGGGGATTTAGAGGTAAAACTGCTGGCTTTGTGTGGCAAGGTCATGACCTTTGACAACTTTGGAGCTTATCTCTTTCATCTTCTCACTCCCCAGAGACCTCTAACTTGCAGAGGAATCAAGCACATAAGCCTGGGCTAGGCAGAATTCATCATTGTTGTGGAGCTAGGTTCTCTCTTTCCCTCTCTCTCTCTTTCTCTTTCTGTCTCTCTCTCTCTCTTTCTCTCTCTCCCTTTTTTCCCCCTCTAAACAAAACAGATCTGAACTGAGCCAAGGAAACAAAAATGTATTGTTCCTCGCAGATGGAAGCGAGTGTCGCCTAGGTAACCAGATTAATCTCCTTTTTCTCTCCCTTCCTCTCTTGTAGTGCGGTAATCGGTGGGCTCTTTTCACAAAAAAGCCAGCCTCAAAGCTGGGGCTCTAACTAGGTTCCTAATTAGCTGCAATTTACAATGAAGACAACATGATGAGATAATAGAAATTTGCAAAATAATGACATACCTCAGCAAAATATTCCTCCTCCTAAGAACCATTTTTATACAAAAACAATAAAGAGGGCCCTTCTAAAGCAAAGCTGGAAAATGGTGGTGTATTATGTGACACAGAACATTATTGTTCGCCTCTTGTTCCCCCAATCAACAGCTTATTGTTTGGCATCTTAAATAAAAATGACTCAAATACAGGCCACATAATGATCTCCATTGCGCTAATACACTGTATATACTGAGTAGTCAAAAATGTACGGGAGCCAATGCCAGTGGGGCTGATAAAGTAGCAGGGCCCAGGAAGGTAATTTACAATACAATGCAATAAGCATTATTACTGTTCTTAATCACACGTATCTTTCTGATTCCTGTCAGGATGCAACTCTGACATCAAAAAAGGGCGCCCAAAAGGAGGACAGCTAGTTAATGAAATATGATGGATCACATTTGTTTTCATGTGGTGGTTAGCTCAAATGAAGCAGCCTCCAGACTGTTAGCCAACAGTATTCTCTTGTGTGACATCAAAGACTACTATTCAATGGGGGCAGAAAAAAAAAAAAAATCACAGTAAGACAGCACAGAGGGAGGAGCTCCTAGGAACTGAAAGAACCATTAATAGTAATCTCTACCTTATGTCCAAAAGAACAGAGCATGAGGAAGAAAGGCCAAGGCCAACCAGTCAGTGATTTCACAATGAGGATCATCAGCACCTATGCTGATTTCGGGAGAATGGTGCAGCTAACATGCGGTGGGCAAGATTTCACATTTTGCTACACAGGAGCAATTTGTCACTAGTGACAGGAGGTACCTACCCTCGTGCCTTGTCTGAATCAAGATTACAGCACCCTATGAAACATGGAATCCAAATAATAAAACAGAATCCAATGCCATGTTTTGCATCAACAAGAATCATTCATAAATGACAACAGATTGTCTAACCAATCGGGAAAAAAAACAACCATACACAAAAAGTAAGTCCACATTTGCTTATGGACGAGTAATTGTGAAGAGTACAGCTGCACATACTTGAGAACTAATGGTCCCAGGACTTAACCATAAATAACTACTGACTAAAAACCAATTGGCCAGGGACAGAAAAAGCATTAACCCCTTGGTCATTTGGCCCTCAACAACAACAAGACAACTAGATCCCCTCACAGAGTAATTAAAAGGTAACAAGTAGGACAGATTAGAGAAGGTGCCAAATGGGCTCTAATGACTTTGGAGGAAAAATTGTTGTATTTGCTAATAACATTTGCAGAAACGCAAAAAAATGGGAGACCATCTGGGTATATCACAACCCCAAAGAGTTTGGCGTCCGCCTTTTGGAAATGTGGCCACAATATATTGACTTGCATAGGACTACCAACCTTTTCCAAAGATTTTTTTTTTTAATTGAATCTCAGCCAACAGAGAAAGAGAGCAAAAGGCTGTGACACCGTGCTGAAAACCAAGGATTAGTGTGGTCATAGTTATCTGTGTCTCTGCTTCTAGATTTTCCGTAGATTTGATGTTTACTGTAAAATGATATCTACTCACCAAAACCACTTTACTTTTCAGTTTTATGTAAACCTTACAAGAAATATTCTCATCCAAAGAATTCACTGAGTGACTCAATGTAATATAGTCGGTGGAAATAATAAAAAGGAATGTGTTAAAACTATTAACTGACTGTATACAGTGTTGGGACAAGAATGTTTGTGAGGCAGTGTCGAGCCACTGGTGGCCCCATTTAACATCTCTTTAAACCGTCAATAATTGTATTTGTCTTTTAAAATTGTTTGAGGAATTATTAAGGCAAAGGCACCAACGCATATAAGGTCCTCTTTATCCCTGTGCATTTCTTTCTCAGAAGCTCCCATCCTGACTTAACCCGACAACCTGCCTCTTCTGCACATCTAACCTGGGGTAGCTGAACTAAGCTGGAGAAAATCACGCAACAGGTTATGTGTGGTGGTTCATGCCTGTAATCTCAGCACTTTGGGAGGCTGAAGTAGGCGGATCACTTGAGGCCAGTTCAAGACCAGCCTGGCCAACATGGTGAAACCCCCATCTCTACTAAAAATGCAAAAAAAATTAGCAGAGCGTGGTGGTGCACGCCTGTAATCCCAGCTACTTGGGAGGCTGAGGCAGGAGAATCACTTTAACACAGGAGGTGGAGGTTGCAGTGAGCCAAGATCGCGCCCCTGCACTCCAGCCTGGGTGACAGAGTGAGACTCTATCTCAAAAAATAAAATAAAATAAAATAACATAAAATAAAATGAAATTAAAAAAGAAAAGAAAAGAATGCAACACCACAGACCAGGGCCACTACCCCAGGCAGACCTGTGCTCTTAACCCTATGCAAGAATCTTCTCAGTTGTCCTTTCACTCATTTTCATAGCTGTCTCCAACCTTCACCATTTTCTTTACTTCCCTATCACCGTCACTTTCAGATGACCTCACTTCCCACAGAGATGTACTACCTGCCTCGTCCACACACACATCACTTTCTGCAACCCTCCTTAAAACATCTCTGCAGGAAAGATGCGTTGTCAGGGGACTAGGCATCTTCCCCCGTTTGAGGTTAACCCCCACTAATGATTAGGATCCACTCTGCTCCCGTTAACTCAGGATCTTGCTCCATCAGTTTTTCCCAAACCTTCTTATATCTTCTACCAGCTCATTCTCCTTAACCTATATACACATGCTCAAATCACTTTCATCCTATTAAATCCTTCCTTCACACCTCCATCTTCCTTTATCTGCCCCTACATCACCGGCTTTCCCAGAGATTCTTCTTTTCAGCCCAGCTTCCCTGACCACGTCCATTTCACAGCCTCTTCTAAAACATTCTAAAAGTGAAAATTAGAATTTAAAATATGGACTAAAATATCTTCTCCCTTGCAGTTTGTTGCTGTTTTATCATTTGCTTAGATTTTTTTTACCTGCAATTTTCTACGTATTTATCCATAAACAGCTGAATATATTTTAGGAAAGAAAAACACAATATTCAACGTATCTGATGCATTGGTTTCAAAGTCCTAATTGTGATGAAATTATTAGAATTACAGAAAATCAGGCTTTGAAGGAATCTAAATTTTGCATAAGTTGGAAATGAGACTTCAACACTTTAGGTCATATTTATAAGAGCAGAGCTGGCTGGGCGTGGTGGCTCATACCTGTAATCCCAGTACTTTGGGAGGCCAAGGCAGGTGGATCACCTGAGGTCAGGAGTTCAAGATCACCCTGACCAACATGGCAAAACCCTACCAAAAATACAAAATACAAAAACTAGCTGGGCATGGTGGCATGTGCCAATAATCCCAGTTACTCAGGAGACTGAGGCAGGAGAATCGCTTGAACCTGGGAGGCGGAGGTTGCAGTGAGCTGAGATCACACCCATTGCACTCCAGCCTGGGCAACAGAGTAAGACTCTGTCTGGAAAAAAAATAAATAAATAAAAAATAAAAGCAGAGCTATAACCTGGCATGAGGTTCCCTGACTCCCAGTTCAGTGTCCTTTCCTTTAGAAATTGAATTATATTCTCTAAAATACTGCCCTTCACACAAAATTCTTATTTAAAAATTAGCAAACACAATATAACATTGATCAATTTAAAATATAATCATGCATTTTTTTGAGGGTCTCACTCTGTCACCCAAGCTGAAGTGCAGTGGCACCATCATGGCTCACTACAGCCTCAACCTTCTGAGCACAAGCAACCCTTCCCCTCCACCACCTGGTAGCTGAGACTACAGCTGCATGCCACATGCCCGTCCAACTTTTAGAAAAAAAATGTTGTACAGATGAGGTCTCACTATGTTGCCCAGGCTGGGCTCGAACTCCTGAACTCAAGTGATCCTCCTTTGGCTTCCAAAAATGCTAGGGTTACAGGCATAAGCCACCATGCCCAAATATAATGCATTGAAATGAAAATGCTTTCCAGCCTTTAATTCTTTAGATAACATATAGACATCTCTACTCAAGGGTGGCCTACTAATTTTCATAGATTCAAAACAGAACTAGAAAAATAAATTGCCAAATCTGGGATTGGAAATGAATTACAGATATATAGAATTATAAAGTTTTAAAGATGGAAGGAACCATAGGGATCCACTGGCCCATCTTCCTGTTATTTGTTTGTTGTTTGTTTATTCTAAGGCCTGATTCTCAGAAAGGAAATGGTCATAGAGCAAGCAAACAGCTATGTTTATTTCACACTGCATCTTGGTATAAAGCTTAAAATATATGTTGATGAAGAGTCAATTTCTCCTAGGTTAGTCAGACACTTGGAGGTAGGAGTAAGTTACCTGTGGAGTTGCACAAAGATCCTCACAAGTTCACTGCAACTGTGGTTAATTAAATGTGCCCAGTGTCTCAGAGTTGATTTACTACTATAAGAAGCCATTCTCTTCCAGGGAAAGGCTTAGTAACTTGGTGAACTGAAGCTCCATTTTACTTAACATCATTTGATCTAGATCTGTAAATTATATTTCCCTCTTAAACTACGAGAAGCAGTTGAGGGAATGGAGGCAATTAATTACTTTTACCAAAGGGAAAAAAGTTATTACTAAAACCTCACGTGGATGTATCCTGGTTCCACACTGTGTGCCAAAGCAAGTTTGGTGGAGCTAAACTATAATTAGGCCCTTTTAGTAATTAAATCCCTTTGAACAAAGTAAAAGAACCATGTGATATTGAATTCTGGAAAATTTAAGTCACATTAGAGTAATTTTTAAACTGATTTACTCCTACAAAATTTTGACTAATCAATGTTGAGCAGTCCTTAAGGATATCAAAGGCACCAAACTCTATACAATATGTAGGTAACTAAAGGTCAAAGTTCTTTGACTTGGGCCCCAACATTAACCAACCCCTGATGCCCCATGATGATGTAGTTCAAATCAATAACTGAAATTGTGACTCGAGTAATCCCTTTGATCGTTACACCTGAGGTTACTAACACAAACCTGGGTTTCTCTCCACCCTATTCCAAAGTCAAGACAAGTAAAAACAGACAAAAGAAACTCTCCCAGCTCAGAATTAACAATGTTCAGGCAGTGCTCTTTACTTAAAGGAAGAAAACAATTAAGAGAAACCTTGAAGTAATCTCATTCTGCCTGTTTAGCCTCTTCATCCCTCAATGTGTGGTTAGCAAGTGTGGCAATCAGGGCTAAGGTCTGCTATCATTCGGCCTTAATTAAAAAAGACACAAGCTGCGGAGCTGTGAATTAGAAATGTAGCTATGCACTACCCCTGATTAATTCGAGGCTCATGTTGGATTAATAACTCCAAACAAAGAACAAAAGGAAATTGTTATGCGAATTGCAGCCCTCCCAGGCCAGACAAAGGTCAAATCACAGGATTTCAATTTCATCCGGAGTCGCTTAATCAACTCCCTCGGAAGGAAGACCATATGTAGTTCTGAAAGCTACCCATTGTAGTCCTCTTGTCACTGGACCTGAGAGACGGCACAGTCATCCTCTCAAACTATTCTCAATCGCTTCTCTTCTTTCCCCTTTAATATGACAAAAACATCATTATTACCAGTGATTAAAGAAATAAGAGGTCTGCCCTGCAGAAAACATCCCAACAACTGCTGGTTTATGGAGTAAGTTGGACACTGTTGGCAAAAAGCCTGCAGACTTTGCTCCTTTTCCTGAGAAAGGTCTTCACCAGCAGCGACAGAGTCACAACCACCACAGGAGCGAGTGACATCATTGGCAGGGCATTGGGAAGGTTTTCTTACTCCAGTACATCTACTGAGAGATGACAATAATAACTTCTGTCTATTAAACACAAAGGAAGTGCATGGAAGGTACAGTCCAGGAGATTTCAGAAGGTATCAGAAGGCAAGGTTCTCTCCTATGGCTGAGTAGAAGCCCTGCATGAGATGGGGACAGAGGTCTAAGTGGCTCAGGAGACCTGAAGGGCAATGACAACCACCCACCCCTACCCCAGCAGTTCTAGTTTCACCCACATTTGGGGTTTTCTTCTCTTGGAGACTGCACTAAGGTCTAATGTAGGCTGAGAATGGCCGACTCTGATTAGCAAGAAGGGATTAAGTGGTTTGAAGATGTGACGACTTACATACACCACAGCATTAACGCTTTTCACCTTGTCCACACCAACGAGCTATTAATGGTAAACTCTCAGGACCATCACAACATCGTCTTGTATAATCAAGACCCAGTGTTCCTCAAATGAAATTGTAGCAAACTAGATAGTTCTTTCAAATGACAAAATAATAATCTTCAGAGATTTTAATATAAGAATTCCAAGATAGCCCTTTGGCCTAATGGAATCAGCACGGTATCTTACGATAATGATGCCGAATGTAATCCTTCTATGAGATGATTCACTGGAGTGCTTAACGAAGTACGCTTTGTCAGAGAGATGCTCATCATCGTGGATTATCAGAATTCGTATCATCCAATGTGATGTGGCAAAATTTTCAGCCTCTGCCTTCTTCAAGGAATGCAATAATAGTTGTCACCTTCATGTACTCTACGTTTAGTCATTTGGGGAATTCATTTATTCCTCTGAACTCCCCTAGTGCTTTGGTGGGACTTCTCTTATCGAACATATTATTTTCTCATGTATATTATGTATTTGTTCACTTCTTTATCTCTTATTCATTGAACAAATATTTATTGAGTGCCTACTATGTGTCGGGCACTATGCTAGGCACTGGAGATAAAATGCTATCTAATAGCAGACAACATTCTTGCTGACATGGTCTTTACAGTTCAGTCAGTGAGACAGATCATAAACAAACGCAGAATCATAACATCTCACGTGTTATTTAGGAGAATACATGATAGCATGAGGTTTTATCCTATTAAGGCTGTGAGAAATTTCCCTGAGGAAGTGATACTTTTTTCTCAGATATAAAGTAAGAATACAAGTTGAACTTGATGAAAAGAGAGACAAAAGAGGCAGAGCCTCTTGTCTGAGAGAGCATGACAAGTGGATTAGTCTGAAAGGGACATGAGTCTAGAACTTAGGTGGCAAGGCAGAGAGCAGCACAAGATCAGTCTAAAGAGGTAGGACCCTAGAACAAAAAAGCAGCCTTGTAGGCCATGTTAAGAATGCTGGTGTCATCCTAAATACAGGAGGAAACATCTAAAATCCTGTAAGTGGAAGTAGTCAAGATACAATCAGAATTGTGTAGCCATTGTAATTTGCCTACCATTCTACAAAATCTCTAGTACTTGAAAACAGTTCACTGGTGTCCCTTCCCAGTGCCAAGCACAATGTTTTCCACACTAGAGTGGCACCTTGCTCCCAAGGATTGGCAGGGCTGATTCAGTTTTATATTACTGCTCCATACACATGCCCATGCCTAAGCCATAAGCATGGCTGAAGAGGACGGTCCTCTTAGCAAGAGGAGAGCCATTCCTTAATTTAATTTTCCACTAAATTAAACTGAAAAGCATTTAAGTATATTGTTTGAATGGTGAATACACCAATGAACGAATAAATGGCTTTAATAACACACTGGAAAATGGCAGTTGCAATCACTGAGGACATTAGCGCCCCCAACAAAACTTCTGACCATGGGTAAAAAAAAAAAACTGGCATGCTTTCCTCCTTAAAATTTTATTGCTATTGTTTGGGTTGGGTGACTTCTCAAGGGAAAACAATAATTTCTACCTCCCGAGATATTCAAAGGTGTAATGGCAGTGCTTTTTCCAAATCAACCCCATATCTGAAACATAAAGTCTGCTATTTCAATTTAATGGCTACCAAAAAAGTTACAAATTTATCTGTGAATCATAATTCCCAGGGAGTATTTATGCAAGCCATGTTCTTTATGTGACATACAACTATCAAATAATGAGCACATTCATGAAGCACATTCAGATGTTTGTTACACATGATAGAACAGCTGCATCAACAGAGCTTTCTGAGGATTATTCTTCAAGTTTCTTCTTAAAGCCACTTCATTTCCTTTCCCAAAACCAGTATTACTTGATCTGCATATTTAAGACAAACCTCAGAAACTGGATGAATGTTAAATTTTTCATATTAGTTTGAAACCCAGAGAAGCTGTCCAAATCCCAGTAATAAAATGTATAATTATCTTGCAGACAGTTTAAGTCTTACAGTGTCTGATTGGAGAAGGAAAATTTATCTCAATACAGAACTTGTTGACTCTTTTAGATAGTTTGTAAACATTACTTCAAATTACACTCAACAAAATAAGTGACCAACTTAATTGCTAAATTTCATTGTTCCTTTTACTGAGTTTTGACATTGGCACAGGTAGTGGTAAATTTGGGGTTATCTATGCATTTATTTTTAGAGTTGACATGGAGGAATGATAAAAGTGATTCCCCATTAATTGATCAATTAAATGTCATATGCTCAGCTACATATACATTTATTTGTCTATTTTATTTATCTTTTAAAAACTGAGCCATGTGCTGCAGGTATCTGTTTATTAATTAATTCATTATTTATTGCATGATTGCCAGGCACTGTGAATATAGCAGTGAGTAAAATAAACATAATCCCCACCCTCAGGATGCTTTCATTATCTCTTTGACAAGTGAGGAAAATGTGGGAAACAATGGGAATAAAAGTCAATTATCTTTACGTGTCCTGTTATCATATGTAAAGTGGTAGAACCATGCTTTTGAAATCCAGAGTCTCAGATTTTAATTATGCTGTTATTTTTTTCTGAATATACTGTAACTGCAATAAGCATTTAGCCAGGCAGTCTCATGTTAGAAACTAATTTAGCCTAAGATAGGTTATTTTGAGGAGATTATTTAATAAGTTATTAAAATACAAAGAAGTAAATTATTGCCTCAGTATTTTGGAATATAATGAAAAATGGAATACAATGGTCAAAAGCAGTTTATTTTACTTTCCAGGACAAACTTCTATTTTACACATTGTAAAGGTCTACTGTGTTTTAACTACAAAATAATTTCTTTTGATTTCTTGTAAAGTGTATTTCATTCACCCAATCAAAACATCAAGTGAATTTTATATTAAGACAATGAAAGCATACAGTCTGTTATTTCCATCTACATTGCACTGTATCACATTAACTGAAAACAATTTTTATAGCAATACAAATCAACTCAGATTTAACCTCCCAAATAACTGCTATGTGACAGCTATAAAAAGTAAGTAGTATAGCTTAAAAATAACTACCAGAATTCAGAGAATACGGGAATTCTTAGGCATTTGCTCAAGATGAATATTTTGCTTCAAAACAAGTTGAGCTGACTAAAACTGACTACATTTCAGACATTTCTAAATATGTGTAATAATTTTCAAACACTAATTCCAAATTATTGCACTCACAAATGCTGTCAAGGTAACAAGTAGGAATCTATACTGTGTTAGCATTGGACAGAATATATTAAAAGGGACTACAACCTTTAATCTCCATAACATGACCAATCTGTAACTCTGAGTACTCAGAATTTTATTTCTGATTATGAAAAGATTATAAAGCTTGAGTATAAGCACTTAGATTTTCACTGAGCCAAGTAGAGTAAGACTGATAATTCACATCAAACTTCTCTACCCTATAGGAATTCCAGAGGTGATTTCTCTGAACAAGATAACCTATATGCATATAAAAAGTGACTACTAAAATAAGTGATGACCTGAGTTCTATAATTAAACATTTACTAAAATCCTATCTTTTACTAAATTTTAAACTTGCAATGACTTGAGAAAAAACTAATAATGATGTAAAGAAACCTGTAGAAAATACTTCAAAACTGACGATGCTATTTTTAATGTATAAAATATAAAAGAGAAAAGACAAGAGAAAACAGAAAGCTCCCAAATGGTGGGATGAGAGCAAAGTTGAGGAGGATGGGCCTTTGTGTTGAAGGCTAACATGAGAGTGAGAAATGGAAAGATGGAAATACACAGATTGTAATCCAAAGCGGAGGCCACCAGAAATCTGAGATCCTGGTAAACATGACTTGTGTCTAAGGAAAAAGAAACGTATTTCTCTAAACTCATGCAAAAGGTTTGAAGGTTATGTAAACAATGAAAAGAATCCAGTCTAGAGAGAAAGAATTGAAAGTTACTAGCTCAACTCTAGTTCTCTTGCTTAAACATCTCCATTTCTACTTTTTAACATAAGAAATTTGCTAGCAGTTTTCCCAAAGAAAATATTATTTTAGATACAGAGAACAGTGACTCTCTGTCTGGCCTTTTAATATTCACAGAAGAATGGATCCTTCTTAGGCTGCAAAGACTCTCTACCCCTATCTAGTGGTACCTAATGCTTATTACAGGGAAGAGTAAAACATTTACCTCAAATTCCAAAATTAGTTGACAGCTGATAAACAAGCGGGCAATGTCAAAATGCCAATAAAACTTTCAAAGTAATTCACAAATAAAATAGCACACCTAAAAAATACCAATGACTGCAATTACTGAAAAAATTCCATAGAATAAAAATACTCATTTGTGACCATCCAATGTTCCTCTGATATGAATCAGAAGAGTGAACTGGATCTCACTCAGGTGAATATTAAGATTAGTTGGAAAAGAATAATAAACACAGGAACTCTGTAAGCTTCACAATTAGCTCCTGATTACAAGATGTGCTTTCTAATCCACACCCCTACAATAGGTTAGATCACTGGATTTAAAAAATATTCTTAGACTCTGAACAACCTAATATGGCTCAGCATCTATTTAAATGACCAGACTTAACATAGCTCCACTCTTAAAAGATAGTAAGAAGAAAACAAAATACCTCATGATGCTTAAAGTAAACACAATGAAGAAGGAAGCACAGGAAAACTAAATTTGGCAGTTTGGCTCTTTTGCTTCCTAAAGGAAATGATTTTGACGGGGTAACCACGGGAGTGAAGGTTCCAGTGATCTTTACTTCCTGGACTACAGAAGATGACAAAATCTTAACATGGATATTTCTCCAACTCTGCATTAGATATTCCGAGTATAAAAGATTTATTATCTCAAAAGAGATATCCAAGAACTTTTTAAAAAAATTCACTGATTGTAATTTAATAGTGGCTGAGAAAATCCCACTGGTACTGTGGATAGAACTGGTGAGGCCTTGACCATAGAGAAGATGTTAACCCTGGCTATGAATGTTAAATTGTGGTCAGGTGTGGTGGCTCACATCTGTAATCCTAGTACTTTGGGAGGCCAAGGCAGGTGGATCACTTGAGTTCTGGAGTTTGAGACCAGCCTGGGCGACAAGGCAAAACCCTGTCTCTATGGGAAAAAAAAGCAAAAAAAAAAAAAACAAAAAAAATTTCACCAGGCGTGGTGGCACACACCTGACCCTGTCTATTAGATAAAAAAAAAAAAGGAATGTTAAATTGTATGCATAGAGTTCTTTAAAGTTCTCCATAGCAAATCTGCAACTGTGTTAATGTAAACTCATTCACTCAGGAAAAGCGGAAGCCACTGAGGGAATTGTGCACTGCCATCGAAGACTCACACCAGGCTCTGAGGACTTTGCCATGATCGTGAATATAAAATCTGAGGCCACAGTAGTAATGAAGCATTTAAGAAAGATTTATAAACAGCTGAGCCTTTAAAGGTTAATTTTAAAGCCAGGAGGACCCAGAAAGCTTTGTATCATATTGTTGTAGTTATAGTCCCTTTGCCTAACATGGATTCTTGTCAAAATTGTTTCTGATTTAATACTCAGCCAATTCCAATCCACTAAAACTGATCATGTTGATAAAACAAATAGACACTATTTACATATTTCTTTCTTTTACTTAATTCCACAGCCTATCTGCAACTACAAAATACTCCTACTTCTTCAAAACACCCTCCACCTTAGCTTCTGAGATTCTAGGCTCCTTAGCCAGATCTTTAAATTTTGAACTCCTCATGACTCACCCTAGGCCCTCTCCTTTATTTCTGTGTTAATTACTCCAATGACTTCTGGCACCATCTGTATTAAAAACAACACTCAGATCTGCTCTCCTGACTCTAGACTACCATATTCTACTGCCTTTCACATCTTCATTTGGATGGTTTGCAGGCACCTAATAATCATTCTGTCTCTCAACTTCCTCAATGTTTTCCAAGTGACATTGCCATTCACTGAAACCCCAAAGCTAGAAACACAAGAATTATCCCCAACATGCAGTAAATGACTAGGTACTACTTATGCATCATCCTAAATGTCTCTTAACTCTGATGCCATGCCCACATCACTCCACTTGGGGCAGAGGCATAGCAAGAGGCAGAGTAGTGGGATGGTAACTCCCCCTCTACTTGCTGCCCCAAAGCTGTGTTCTTTCGTTGAAGGTTTATTCAAGTGGTCGTCTGAATAACCTTTCAACTTACCATGTAAGATGGTAAGTTTGAAGACCAGATGAAAAGTCACAAGGAGGGGGATGGGAAAGCAAAACTTGGACACTACGGAGGAGGCCCTCATATGCAAAATCCTTTGTCATGAATCCACTCCTTCACCAATCCAAGTCACCATCCTCAATCCATTCTCCACCCCGCATTCAGAGTCATCTTTTGAAAATGCGAAACCAGTCACAACAGACTTTTCCCCTCACACCACAAGTCCACGAAAAACATCTTTAACAAGTTAGCAGGGCCTTCTCCAATCGGGTTCCTCCTAACTGCGTTGATCATTGTGCTCCCTGTTACTCTGTATTCCTCATCTTGCAATTCCTAGATTTCATCATGCTTTCTCTCACTTCCAAGATTTAGAAAATAGTATTCTATGACTTCTGTGGTTTAGGGTGCAGGGAGCAGGCAGGGAGGTTTCCCTGGCCACCTAGATTATGACACTTCCCTCTTATGCCTCTGTACAGTCAAAATGTCTGTAGCAGTCACCAACACTTTTGTAATTACACCATGTACTTATAAGGTGACCATACTGTCTTCTAGTCTCAATGTCCCTGAGGGCAGGAGATCATAACTGTCTCATTTGGTGCAAAACTCCCAGCACAGCACAGTGCCTGTCACACAGCAATGCCTTCTCAATATTGTTGGATGAATGAATTTGCTTGTTTCTTAATAATTTGGATTAATAGGAGCACGGATCAGAGTTTTAAAGTAGTAATATATCAAATATCTAAAACAGAGGTTCCTTTAAACTAAAATTTGGACAACAGAAAACCATATATTGATTGTCCCATAAGGAGATGTCGCACCTTCCTTCTAGCTGCTTGAATTTGCATGCTACTAGGCTGGTATGATAAACAGACTGATTTAAAAATCAAATAACAGACTCTAAGAAGTTATAAGAATCCCTGGATTAGTACGGGATGATAACTAAAGGATCTGCTATATTAAATCATGACAATAAAAGTAAAATCCCCCCATCTTTTCCTGGATTACATTTAGAGCTCAAATCAGAGAGCCTTAAATGAATAATAATGAATGTATGCCTCTGTGAATGATTGAAGACTGAATCACATTTTAACTAGACAATATTTATAAGTCCCTTTGGATGACATAATTACAATTCAAACCATACACTAATTAGTAGCAAACATCTATTTAATATTATTTAGTGGGTTTAAAATATGGTTTTGTTTCTGAAAACAGTAAGAGAAAGGACATTTTATGCAGAATACAAGAATGTTGAGGATTTAAGTCAACAAATAAGTTGGCGCTGCTTAGAAGCAAAACCAATTACATTTCAAAAATACATAACCAAACCAATTACATTTCAAAAATAACCATATTTTATTTTTCTGATTAATAATAAGGACTAAATATACTCATATACAGGAGACACAGCAAAATTATTTTAAATGTAGACTTTTCCAATGATAATAGTAGTCTTAACAGCAAATACACATTATTTTCTATTGACTGTAGTTCCTTTTAAATCCGTGTATTTCCTCATCAGTTTTACACTGCAGTTAAATGTACCTTAATAGAATATTTACCAAGAGCCAAAACTTCTCCAACATTTTATTTATTTATTACTTATTTATTAGAGATAGGGTCTCATTCTGTCACTAAAGCCAGAGTACACTGGCATGATCCTAGTTTACTGAAGCCCTGGACTCCTAAGGTCAAGCTGTTCTCCCACCTCAGCCTCCCAAGTAGCTAGGACTACAGATATGTAACACCACACCTGGCTGTTTTTTTAGTTTTTTGTACAGATGAGACCTCCCTATGTTACCCAGGATGGTTTCAAACATCTGGACTCAAGCGATCCCCCCACTTCAGCCTCCCAAAGCACTAGGATTACAGGCATAAACCACTGAGCCCAGCCCATTTTAATCTTTAGATAGAACTCAGTTTTGCTCCAGTTTTGCCTGACAAGTGAATACTTGTTTAACTGCGTTGAGCTCCTAATTGCATTTATTTTTATTTTTCAAAAATGTTGATCATTGCCTTCTTATTTTACTTTTAAGTCCTTATGCTCTTTTAAGTTCATGAAAGAAGAAGGAATTAGGAAAGAAGCCCTAACAAATTTCAAAATATACTAGTTTGAAAATGAAATTATGTTTTTAATAGGAGGACAACCAACATTTAACATTTTGTTCGGTATGGTATCTTTGGATAGTTATGTGTAATGCAAGAGTAAAGAAATGTTAATATTGTAAACTAACCACATCTATGTAGCACTTCATATGTGCCAGGCTCAGTTCTCACTGCTTCATGTGTATTAATACCTTTCATTCTCATTGCAACCTTATGAGGTACGTGTTGTTTTCACCTTCGTTTTACCGAAGAGAAATTGAAGCACAGAGGGTTAAGTCACAAGCTCAATTACATAGTAAATAATGAAGGGGCTTGGGTTTGAACTGAGCCCATCTGGCTCTAGAAAGTATGCTCTTTGTGGCTATATTATGCCAACTTTGTAAAACACAAATAATACTATTTTTTTGATAGTTCACTAATAAAAATACTCTCCTCTAACCTCAAATAGCCAAATAAATCTACAGCAAAAAGAACATACTGAAAGCATCATACTACCTAACTTTAAAATATACTACAAAGTTATAGTAATCAAAATAGCATGATACTGGCATAAAAACAGACACGTAGACCAATGGGGCATCATAGATCCCAGAAATGAATCCAGGCATTTGCAGCCAACTGACTTTTGACAGAAGTGCCAAAAATATATAATGAGGAACAGATAGTCTCTTCAATGAATAGCACTGGGGGTAACTGCATATCCATATGCAAAAGAAGGAAATTAGATCCTTATCTCACACCATATAGAAAATCAACTCAAAATAGAATAAAGACTTAAATGTAAGATGCAAAACTGCAAACCTACAAGAAGAAAACACACAGGAAAAGCTCCATCACATTGATCTGGGCAATCCTTCTTCAGATATGACCAGAAGCACAGGCAACAAAAGCAAAAATAGACAAATGGGATTATATCAAACTAAAAAGCTTCTGCATAGCAAAGGAAACAACCAACAGAGTAAAGAGACAACCTATGGAATGAGAGACAATATTTGCAAATCCTATATCTGATAAGTGGTTAATATTTAAAATATATCAGGAATTAAAATAGCTCATAGCAACAAGACAAATCATCAAGTTTAAAAAATAGGCAAAGAACCTGAATAAACATTTCTTAAAAGAACACATGCAAATGGCCAATGGGTATATGAACAAGTACTCAACATCACTAATCATCAGGGAAATGCAAATTAAAACTACAATGAGGTATCACCTCACACCTGTTAGAATGCTATTATGAAAAAGACGAAAGGTAACAAGTGTTGGCAAGGATGTGGAGAAAACGAAACCCTTGCATACTGTTGGTGGGAATGTATATTGGAACAGCCATTATGGAAAACAGTATGGAGGTTTTCAAAAAATTTAAAAATTAAAAATAGAACTACCATATGATCCAGCAATCCTGCTACTAGTTATATATATATATATACACAAAGGAAATCAGTATATCAAAAAGATATCTACACTCTCATGTTTACTGTAGCATTATTCACAATAGCCAAGATACAGAGTCAACCTGTGTCCAGTGGTAGATGAATGGATAAAGAAAATGTGATACATCTATACAGTGGAATATTATTTGACCATTAAAAAAAGAAAATCCTATCATTTTGCAACATAAATGGACCTGGAGGAGCTAGGCCCAGAAAGACAAATACTGTATGTTCTAATTTACATGTGAAATCTCAAAAACTTGATCTGACAGAAGTAGAAAGTAGAATGGTGGTTACCAGGAGCTGCAGAGGTGGATGAAGGAGGCTGGGGAGTTGCTGGTCAAAAAATATATTTTAAAAATTTTCCTGATTCGAATCCTATGTACACTAGTTTCTAACTTACAAGTCAGTAGTCATCTTAAGTCATTTATAAATTTTAATTTAGCACTCTGTGTTAACCCATAAAAATATTATATAATGCCCTGTTTTTACACATCCTAAAGAATGAGAATCATTGGCATGCAGCATGAAAAAAAAAATAAAAGACTCAGAGTAACTTAGCAATTGAGTATGGCTGGAGATAACAATGTGCGGAGAATGGCAAGAACTAAGGCAGGAGTGACATTATAAAGTTCTATGGTCCCAAATGCAATTTTGTAATTTTATCCATAAGAGAATGGAAATAGAAAAAAAATTATCTTATGCATAGGCATGAGATAGCCAAATAGATGTTTTACAAGGATTATAGCAGAGAAAATATTGAATATAAACCGGAAGCCAGGTAGTTATTTAAAATGCTGTTACTATTAGTAAGCAACGATGAAACCTAAGTTTAATTAGAATGGGGAAGAGGAGAACTAAACAAAAACTCAACATTTAAATAGTAAGTAGACTGGATTTGGTAACTGGTAACACTGAAACTGTTGGGGAGGAAATAAACTATGGGCAAATTATAGTAATACCTAATATATACACATCAATGCTTTAACATTGTTTTGATTTTTAAACAGAAAACCCATAGGCAGCACAAGAATAACATAAGCCATGGTGAAAAAAAAAGGTATCATTACAAATATGAGGTTTTATCATACACCATTCTTATCTTAAAATTTCATAAAATCTTCATTTTAAAATACCATCTAACTGAATTTAGTTCCTGAAAACATCAGTACCTTTTATAATTTCACCTATAATATAATCAGTCAACATTGATTAATAATATAATTGCTATACTAAGGTTTGGATAGAAAATAAAAATTTATCATCAAATATATTTCACTTGTTCAATGATTAAAATCTATAATTATAGGTAACATTTTCATAGCAAATTTTGTATGAAGAATTAATCTGGTGTGCTAGCATTTCCTGCTGTTAACTGTAGTAACTACTTGTAAATGACATTTAAAATCAACTTATGCATTCATTCATTCAACCAGGCCATGCCAGGTAAGTACCAGGTAGGTAAAACTACTAAACTCGGTGGGAAATATAAGTGAAAGAGAAGTTATAGTTACTATCCGAAAGAAATTTAAAACTTAACTAAGGAAATTAAATGTAGGGGCATCTCATTCTAACAGTAGCAACTAAATCTGTTAATGAATAGCATTTTATTTTCAATTAAATTACTTTCAAACTACACTCTCTTCTGCTGCTTATTAGGATGAAATATAGCAGGTTATATATTTCACACTTTGTAACACTTGGACTTTTTGTTCTTTCTTTCTTTTAATATTAGAAGGCCCTAACTGGGATTCTCAAACTGGAAGTTGGATTTTGAATCTTGAATTACATTAAAAGTTTGTGTATAAGCACGTTTGTGAGGAGGTCTACAGATTTAATCAAAATTTAAAATGGTTTCATGACCCCAAAAGGTTGAAATACCATGAGGTCATTTAGGGAAGTAGAAAATGAATCTAAATCATGTTTCTCCAAAGCCAGTAACTTATCTTAATTTGTTGTTATACATCTTTTCCAAGTGACTTTACAATTCTGCAGAAAGAGGAATGAAAATAATAAAACCTCAGCCCAAAAGTCACTGTCCTAAAATTGTAAGTTAAATACCTAGCCAGTCTTGAAATTTTCAGTTATAGAATTTAAGATTTTAATGAAATATTTATTTGTCAAAATAAGTTTTCAAGATTTTTTATGTCTAACTTTAAAAAGTGCTCTGAAACTCACAGGACCATTACAAAGTGATTTAAAAAAAGAGTATCAATCCCAGCTTAAAAAAATAAAGTTTCTAGGCTTTTTATGAAAATTCAGTTCCACAATGCTATTTTTTAAAGTTACAATTTTCTGCAGCATCAAAAAGTTCCATTTTGAGGACCAGAAGTTTAATTCAGACAGGATGGTTCTCACAAGCCTTCTAAAGCAATCTACATCTACTGACGTAGACTTACAGGTAAGTAAGAAGATGGTGATTAACACCTTCAGAAACAGTAGAAATCTTTGTGATTTTATTTAATCTCTGTTGAGCACAATGAGTATGAATGAATTCAAATTTCCAGAAAATCCGTCTGTAGGTAGAACAAATAAAATATTTAATCACAAGGGTCTGGAATCAGTACTCATTACTGCTAATAGCACAGTTGTATAAAAGAAGACACAATGCTACCTTACGCTAGCCTGAGTCAGATAGGATTAGGAATAGCCAAAACCACAATATAGTTCCCTTTTTTTGCTTGTTTTCAATGATGCTTAGTTGGGATTTGTCATCTGAAGACAGCGTTTTTTATAGGTCATAATAAGACCAGTCTATAATCAAAGTCTGTAAGTCCAGTCTATATTTTATAAGTCCAGTCTATAATCAAAGACACCAAATTTAGGACTATCAGTCTCAGACTTTAGAGAAACATAACTGTTTTGATAATCCAGGTAATTTTAATTTTCTCCAGTGGAGAAAGTGAAACATCTCCAACAGATTGATTGTCACCAAGAGTTTTAATTTTTTGAAGAGGACAAAGAATTCCATTCAGCTTCCAGAGAATGAGTGAATGAGAAGGCATTTCATTTTCCAAAGCTCCCTTCTCTCTCATTTCTCTAACACAATACACTTGGAAACAAAAGGCAGATTATTAACTTTTAAAATGAAGCTACTTGTTTCTCTCCCCTCTCTGGATGCCTCGCCCCTCCTCTCTCCTGCCTCTCAGCACATCTGGTAACCATGTGTGGTAGTGCTAATGAAGACTTTCCTGAGTGAGTTACAATTAGTTCCGACTGCCGTGCAGCTTTCCTGGGCTGTACCAAAGTAAAACATAGGAATGGGGGCAAAGGAGAACCAATAACTATTTCACTTCTCAAAACTGAATTCTCTTCTGCCCCTGGGACTCTCATCACCAATGCTCGGGAGGATTTTTTTTTTTTTTTTTAAGGTGTAAGCAAATACTTTCATAGTTTCCTCCAAATCAGTATTTTATCCAACTTGATTGAATGCAACAGGCAGGCAACAGTACTTCTATGATCCTCTGAATAATAAAGAATTGTTAAATAGATGCTATTCCCCCTTCATGGCCTACGTATTATACTTACCTAACAATTTTATCTACTTTAATAGAATAAATTTGTGTGTTTGTGTGTTTTACTATTTGATGGATTAGAAGGAACTGCGGAAGCAAATGTACTGTATACAATTAGGCTGTCTTGAAACCGTACATTTTTGTTTACTCTAGGCCTCTTCCCCCTTCTCAATCAAGCTACTAATAGAGCTGTTTTAAGTTTCAACAAGGACCATATTAACTGTGGGTCTCCACATGAAACAGAATGCTAAACCCCAGAGTCTCCTGACAATGTGAGCTCAAAGTCTCCCAAATCCTGTTTCACATTTTTGTCTGAAATCATGGTTACTTCTTTGCAATGCTTTTTTCTGTACCTAGCAAATTATTAGTGCTCAATAGACAATATACGATGGCAGTGACGCCCTTTGTGAGCATGTTTTAAGTGACACTGAGGGTAGAAAACTTGATATAGTTATTTTTGACAACTTGTATTTATGCCTTACGATTTTAATGGCATCTACTTTTTAATTTTACCAACTCTGGTCCTTTTATATGGATTTACTTGGTAAAAGCTAACCAATGATAACAACCACAGTTTGCATTTCAGCCTGCCAAGCATATTCTCTATATACACACAGTAGGCACATGAACTCCTGTAACAATTAAGAGTCACAAATAAACATTTATAAACAAGAATTCAAAATCAGAAATAAAAACTGGATTTCCTAACATGCCACTTGAAGCTGTAACAATGTATAAATCAAATCATCCCCAAAACAAAGAAATACAGCAATCAAGAAACAACATAGAAGAAAGCTGTGGGAATGTTACTTCTTCTTTTAACAGAAACCAAAATGAAATGATATAACATCCAGGAATAGTGATCATAAAGAAAATGCAATAAGCATATTAGGTTAAAAAATAAATCACACTCCTTCAACTCCTCTGGAACTTAAATGTAAATAGTTTCTTAATAAAATAAAGAAAAACATCTCCCTCACTATGTATAGTTGAAAAATATTTCAAATTCATACAACTAAAATTTCTACAACTGTTTTCCCTGCTGCCGTCCCCTTCTCTCATTAAAAATGTGAATGATTTAACTGTACAGTACCAAAATCTCAGGCTAGAGAAAGTTTTACCCTGAGCTGGCCAGGGTAAAACTTTGCATCCATGTCTGGGTGATTATCCTTCCGAGTTGATCTCTGTTCCTTTCAGAAATGATCAAATTTAAAATAAAAACAAAAATCCTCTGCAGATCTTTTGTAAGGTGTGTGGGTGTTTTTTTCATACCAGGAGAACCCTAGAGAATGGGAAAATTATACAACACACGCAGAAAATTCTTATAAAAGGCTTTAACTTAAGTGATAAAAATACTGAGATTCATCTACATTTCAAAATGCCAATATAATTGGCACCACTAACAATAAGTTAGTTAGCAACACAAATACTGTAATATAGAATGATGTGACTTTCAGTACTAATTTTTTCTTTATATTTATGAATAGGATGCTGACTTTAGTAGCAATAACGACAGTTAATGACAACCCAGTGAGCCATTGCCCAGTGCCTCCTGGGCCTTAGGAAGGGGGTAGTCCCATGTGTAAATGATAATTAATGCCATTAAACATTCCAACACTATACTTACTTAACAGCTTTTGGCATTCAAATGCTCAAATGTTTCTACAGTACCTTACAAAATAATTAGATACTGCGAAGGTATACAGGGTTGATTTTCAAGGTAACTGATATTTCTCTTGAGAACCGAATTGGTCTGTAATTTTTATGTTCACAAATCAGTTTTATATGTGGGCATTATATTTTTATGGAACTAAGTAATAAGCTGTGTACGAATTCAATACACTGTAAGCCGTGCCCCTCACACAGTTGACATCAATTCTCAGTCCCTGTGTCACTAAGGTTTGCTCTGCACCTGATGCTGCTATGACAAATCAGACTGCTTCTAGATGTGATTCAAATGCATTTCTACAAACTGTGGACTCAGTGATGTATATAATGATCATAGCCCTACTCTCAATATTTCAGGAAGGCAGTGGGAGGTAAAACTAAATAATACAATATTCACATATTGGATAACAACTTTAAAAGTTATCTAATGTTGGTAAACATATATAATAGGATCTGATTTCCTGACAATAAAGAATCCTTTTATTGTATGTACAGATGTTTAAATTAACACACACATTCCATTCTTATCTCTCTTAAATTCAGCAGGATAACTGTAAGTCTTTGCAAGGCATGTTATCAATGTAAAGGCAATAAAAAAGTCACTCTCTTGTGAATTACTATTTACAGTATTTCACAAGAATGGCATTCACACCCTCCAAATGAACAAGGTTGTCTCTTTAAATTGAAGGACACCACAGGCACTCTTCATCAGTTAGCATTAGTGATAGGGGGAGGGGGAGGGAGAAAATAAACCATTTTTCCATCATTTGAACTCTCCCTGACCTTTGCAAGCTATTCAAGTAGGCTCTTAAGATAATTCAAATGAATAACATATACACACATACATAGAACAGATATACAGACAGCAAAAGAGTGAATCCTATTAACTAGATAGGTTGATATGTAGACAGACATTCACCCCCTTGGAGCCTATTTCTTGGTATTGTCATTGAGAGCACAAGAGTAACTCCCATTAAAAGACAGTAAAAACATTCCATGATTTTAATCAATCATTATGTGAACCAAGGTATAGACTTGCTGTGAACCATGTATAGATAAAACAAACAGATAAAAAATAATAAGAAAAAAGCCACCTGCCCATATGGTGACTTCAAATTTTTCCACATATGATCATGGTTGTACTAGTTGGAGAAAGTGGGTAAGGAGACTGGCAAATATCAAATGCACTAAGAAGTATACAGTGAAATAGATCATTCAAGTAATATTTAGCTTAAAAAATTCAAAATATCCCAGTCTTAAACTTATTTCTATTCCAAAAGTTAAATATAAAATTTTAGGAAAAGATGTTACATGTCATGAATGTGCACTCATACACATCTACAAATACAAAATTATTTATTCATTTTTACTAAAATATTTGCTCAAAATAGAGACTAACTGATGTCTGTCTAGCAACTTACAACACCACTTCCCCACTTAACTTGCACTACATGCTGGAGTCCTAATGGTACTATTACCGGGCCAGTTGCAATTTTTTACACAGAACACTGATGAAGATAGTAACCGAAACTTGACACTTGAACGCATTAAAAAATCATGCATGAATCATGCATGTAAATATTTTTAGGTTGCTTTCTGAAGCCACTCAGTTACCTATTTCCCCAGAAAGACATACAAAAGGGGAAAAGAGTAGAAACCAAGATTTAAAATATGACAAAATTATCCTCTATAAATCGTACAGTTTCTAGACTCAAAAGCAAAATCCTACCAAAATTAACACAGGAAGATAGAGATAAAAGAGTCCCAAATAAACCTTTCTTCCAGCCAGAAACCATGTGAATGTGGAAGTTTCTTCAGAGTAAAACGTGTATCTTGGGTTCCCAGGAAGCTCTGTCAGTGGCAGGGATGTGGAATTCACTGGCCCTGCAAACTCATCCCTCCCAGGCTTTCCTGCTACCTTCTGGAGCAGTGACAATACCAATTCTAGAAACCAGGAGTAAAGAGGGAATTGCTCTATTGTGATTCCCAGTGACCCATAGAACAGGATTTCACTAGTCCTATGACATGTGACTGGGCTTGGGAAGTTCCCGTGTCAGTTCCAAAAATCCTAAGGTGGGATCTTCGCTTTGTGAAGCAAATTAATTACACAACCAAATATTGCCACATTCTTGAGGTCTATTGACACAATGGGAACTTCAACCCCTACTTAGCTTAGCATTTTTTTTTTCAAGAGTGAAAAGTGGTCCACGTAGAGCACAATATAATTTAAGTAAAGGAAGATTAAAACATATTTTTATCCATTTCTTATGGTGGGAAATTACATGTTTTAGATTTGAGGTCCCCCTCTCAGGAAACCCTTTCAACTTCGTATTATTCACTCCTGAGTAGTATGTGGTAGAAAATGAGTGGAAATCAGTTTGTCCACTATTTCCGAGTCTTCTGCACTGCAATACTTTCATCAATATTTACAATATCTCAGTCCTGTTTACAGATGTGTATCACATCAGGCTCAACCAAGTTACAGAATTCTCTGTGGTTTTTATCTGGACATCTAATTAAAAACTAAAAGTTATTATTCTCACAATTATCACTGCTTTTTAAAACCAGTATATTCACTACATGTTCTTCTTAGTTTCGAAATGAGAAAATAACCAGTATTTTATGTATAGGATATCCAATAATAATTTTATTAAGAAAGAGACTTAAGAAACTCTCCCCCTTTCCCATATCCCTGGCAGGATAAAATAGCATTTCTAATGGTAAATACTAAAGTAAAAAAATGTGAACAGTCATGGAAACTGTGAGTTTTCCCAACACATGTGAGTCACTTAATATCCCCAGAAGTAATGTAGCCACCCGAAAAAACACACAGATTCAAAAGGAGATGATGATTTGATGGTTTTTCCTGTGTCTAAGTAAGATTGGCTATGACTAAATAATTTCTCAATTGCTGGACTAAAACAAGCCAAAACAAACAGTGTTTAAAACTTTAAAGTATATTGTGTGGTGGTGACTGTCCAAGGTCTTGCTAAAGTCAACATTGATAGATAATACTGAGATGAGTTAGATGCAAAGGGCTGTTCTTCAATTCATTGATTATAAAAACAAAAAACTCTGCAGCATTGTTGCAACCAGAAAAAAATAAAAATAAAACATTCTCACCTATATATTAACAAATCCAACATGATTCACATTTAATAATAAGAGGGGAAACATATATACCTGAGGTAGTTAAAGTTCAAATGGTTGCAAAATGGTAAAATATTTTTCTTAGTATAACAATGGTAGAATAATTCTCAGCATTTTCAAATCAATAAAAATTTTGTCCATATCCTACAGTATATACATATTCATTTTCCCTAGCCCTTTTGTAATCATTCACATTTCTTTAAATGAAAAAAGTACCAGGAGTATAGTTTAAAATATTAAATGGAAACACTGAAACCTAATCAAGGAAAAGTCATTCATTTAATCAAGAAACTTTTATCAAATGCCTATTGTGTCCTACCGGAAGTGTCTCAGTTCTGTCGGAAGGTAAACTATGCAGATACAATAGAAGTGAACACTTGTTTCCCAGCCTTGCTAATTTTAATCTTATTATGGAAACCAGGTATACATATTTTTCTAAGTTGCTTAAAATTTAATTACTTAAAATTACTTAAAATTCTAAATTACTTAAAAATTTAATTCATGTCAATGTGATCAAACAGATCAATTTCTTTCATTGTCCTGGTTCAATTATGTTAACATTATTTTCCCAGGAAGATAATGTTCCTAGGAACATATAGATTTAAAAAACCAGCAAATAGGAAAAAATGTAGGTTGTAGACTTCTTTTCCAGGTAGTCTTTGAAAAATGAACAGAATTCAGTATTGAAAATATCTATGGTTCTAACTTTGTCACTGTGTAACCTTAAATAAATTACTTAGCATCTCTGAGTCTTTACTTTCTAAACTATTAAATGGTTTGTGATGAAACTGCTCCAAGTAAAAAGATCACAAATTTACCACTTATAAATTCTAGTAAATATTTGGAAGATGGTAGAAACAAAGTAATTGTAACCATACTGTTATTATATTGTCATAAGACAAAATGCCCTTGTGGTTGTTCAAAAACTACATGAATCTTCTCTGACAATTGAAAAATAGAAATGTTTCAATGTTTCATTACAAATATGAAATATTTACTTAAGCTATATGCCTACAATGCTTATTAAAAATTCATTTAGGCCGGGTGCAGTGGCTCACGCCTGTAATCCCAGCACTTTGGGAGGCCAAGGCAGGTGGATCACGAGGTCAGGAGATGGAGACCATCCTGGCTAACACGGTGAAACCCCATCTCTACTGAAAAATACAAAAAGTTAGCCGGGCGTGGTGGCGGGCGCCTGTAGTCCCAGTTCCTCGGGAGGCTGAGGCAGGAGAATGGCGTACACCTGGGAGGCGGAGCGTGCAGTGAGCCGAGATTGCACCACTGCACTCCAGCCTGGGCGACAGAGCAAGACGCTGTCTCAAGGAAAAAACAAAAAAAAAATTCATTTAATGGTAGAATACTTGCTTGTGATTGGGGGAAATACTAGTGATTGGGAAAATGGTAGAATGCTTAGAATACTTCGTGACTGGGGGGAAACACTTTATAAATAACAAGCACTTAATAAGTTAAATACAACTCTAAATTTAAAAATATTTTCTCTTTACCAATAATCAAAAATACTATTATTTCTTAAACTACAGAATTTGGACATGTAGGAAAACTGATGTAGCTGCAAATGGATAAGAGATATCAAAGCTGAAGAATCCCAAATACCAGTTTTGATTGTCCCAGTGGGATGGGTAAATGGGGCTTTCTCTATCTTTTGAGTCCTGAGTTTTGCATATCATAAGGCTCACTGAATACTTCTTAATTGAGTGATACTAATCTTAGATATTCATATAGTTTCAGTGTCTCTATCCCTTAAAAAATTGTCATGATGAGGATACTGAAATTATAAGCTTCATATTACTTACTAGCAATACCATATGCCAGAAAAATGACAAATTACTGGGTTCAGGAGACAGACAGAGGGATCAATTTGGTGCTTAAGAAATACTGACAATTAAGAATTTCATGAAGAAAAAAGCATTTGGATTCTTATGATTAAAGGCTACAAATTTACAATATAATACCATAACTACATTGCTTAAAGTCCTTAAACCGCTTACTTTATTATTTCTTTCTCAAAACTCAACTCCTCTTGAGAATTGATAACTGCAAACAATAAGTAACTTTCCAAACTGTTTCCATGATCGAACTCTACTGGTGAACAAAATATTCAAAGATCCTTATGTAAATTAAAACACAGGGGAAATATAAAATTGCTATACATGCTCAGAAAACATCATAAGGAAGTCTAGATAAAAAGTAGATAATAACATTAGATAACATTTTTTGTCCCTGGCTACAAAAACTACCATCTCTAAATTTCAGAATGTTCCTGTGACAGATGACAAACTAATAAATTTGGTAAGACTTGCTTTATTTGATGTATTGATTAATAATAATTTGTAACTTATTTTAAACTGAACTTTAAAAATAAACATTATGTGCTCATTAAATAATGTGAAGGCCTCTTGTAAAGCCCCAAATTAATCATTAAGGTTGTTTGTTTAACATCTACCATGCATAAGACACACTACTGGGTACTCTAACTGTATTTTAAAGTTAATAAATAGACCAAAGATTAATCAATACCTAATTTAATCATTTGAGTATATTTCTTCAAGTATTGTGAAGAAAAGTTAGTGCAGACCTGAATACATATAACATTTTTATTATAAAAATAAAGGACTAAAGAAATATGCAAGGCATATAAACAAACAATACAAGTTTTAGGTAGCCTTGGTACTGTTGGTTCTAATAAATACGCATTAACTTTAGCATAATATCAATATGTACCTTTATAGTATTATATAAACAAAGCAGTAATAAAGAAGTTACAATTGATAAAACAGGTTGCACCATATTTATCCTGGCCTGGAATCCCTCTTGAAATCATGCCTAATATTCACAGTAGAATCTAGAGTTCAATAATGTATCAAGCGTGTTACACTAACAACATTTTAAAATATTTCTTCCTGACCAAGTTTTTCAGCTATTCTGAAGTGTGACTGACTGGAATATTTGAAAGTTTCTCTAGATAATGCAATTATAGTGTCATCCATATCCATCATATATATTTAGCCTTTTTTAAAAAGTATATTTAGTGTATCATTTGCTTTAGTGATAGCCAGCAGCAATGAATTCCACAGTTTAGCTGTATGTGGCACAAAAAATTACTTCCTTTTAACTGTTTTGGTCAAGATATTTTATTTCACTGGGTGTGTACTTGCACTGAGAATATAAAGGATGCTAAAGAAATCCACCAATGGATATATATTTTTCATTACTATATTCAGTCAATACAGATAATAGCCTTCATTTGAGTCTCATATTTTACTCATGACTAAAATACAGTGCTGGCATTTGCAATTCCTTATTTCTCAATGATTTCATTTTCTGCTTTTGTGAAGCACACAGAACCTTCAGCAAACATTTCTCAAAGAATGTATTGTTTAATATTTACCAAAGTTTGTTACATTCTGACTATGAGTATTAGTAGAGGAGAGACTGGAACAGATAACCTAATGTTGGGGCATATAAAAATAATTGATAATGCTTCCCATCAAAGCCTGAGCCAATTTTGAGGTTCATATTGTGTTGCAAACTACCTAAAGAAGAGATGAATTGTCTCCATAGACTTTCTGGTTCATAAATTTCCTGTAGAAAGGAAGTAATTGTTTTTGTTTAAAGGAAACATCCTGGGTTAAATTAAGCAAAAGTCTCATTTTCTGTCAACAGAAGACAAAGCAGAGAGGTAAAAAGGTCAATAAATATCGGAAAGCAAGAGACTAACTGGTATTTATTTGGTACCTTGCACGCGTAAGCATTGAGAACACCAGAAAAAACAAAATATCTGAATTCCTGAATTAATTTCCCTTTTGTGTTCAACTATTTTGTATTTTGCAAAGGTGTGATATAAAAACACATTGCCCACCATACAATAAATATATATGCTAATGTTTTAAAGTTTAAACGCTTTCTAATTCAAAATAAAGCATGGCAGAACTGGGACAATCATCTGTTCTACCCGCATGTGTCCAACTGGTCCAACAGAACTTTCTTACTGAATTTCCCCAGAAATTAAGGTAAGGGTCCCCCAAGTTCATCATGGGATGGCGGCATTTCTGTGTTTTTAGTATCCTAACAAGACACAAGTTTCCTTAATCATATGTTGCACATATAAAACCTTTCCTGATCTACATGAGTTTTCTTTTTTGTGGATATTTAAAATGTTATGGAATTACTCATAAAATTGTAAATATAAGATATAGCTACCTCTTGAATTTGGACTACTGCATTATTTCTTAGAAAGGAGAAGAACAATATATAATTTTTACTTTCTTGGGCATTTTCCATTAGTAATGTAACAACAATTTTAATTATAAAATACTGAAACCTCCATCACGTATCATAATTTTCAATTTAACCTTACAACAAAGCATGTACCCACTTCAGAGATTTGGGGTAAGGATTATATTGAATAAGTCATGCTAAACACATACAGGAAGACCTAATATATAGTAAATATTCAAATAAATTGTCATCATTGTTGTTTTATAAAAGGAATGATCAATGTCTTTAAAGACTCAATTTGCCTTGGGGCATCCACAATTTGAATAATACTACACAACATAAAGGTGTCTGTGCATGCCTTTGATTTATATGTATACGCAAAATGTATTTATCAATGTATTCAACAATTTTATACTAAGAACCTCCTATATGTGTATGACAACACAAAGATGAAGGACATAATGCCTCAGCGGAGAAGCTTAGTGTAGCAGGTAAGTATAACACTGTTGCATTTAATAGGTAAGTGTGAAATAATACATTATGTGCCACAATAGAACTATGCACAGGGTATAGTAAGTGCCAAAATATTGCTGCCTTTTCTAGTCCGGGAGGGGCAAGGATTACCAGAGAAGACAGTGAATTAAGACTTTTATGCTTCTTAGAAACATTCTCACGATAAGGCAGGATCTTCCTCTAAGTATGTTTATCTATTGTCATTATGGCATTATGTTGGCAGAGTCTTTGGGTATGCAACCTTAAAGAATGTTTCCATCTCCACATGATACTCCTAAATATTAGATTCAAAATGTTAAGTCGTATTTTATCCTATTGAGTTAAAAAATTCCTGGCTATCTCCAAATATAAATTAGTGTTTGTCTTTGAGAATGTCACTGTCTTCATAAGGATTTCTACAATGCATATTCCATATCGAACTGAACCTAAAATGCATCCCTGATTGGCCTTGTCAGCCAGAAGGCTATTCTATTATCCATCATAGTGCCTGACATGTAGCAAGCACTCAAGAATACATATTTGTTAAAGCAACAAATGAGTGAATGAAGGAATTAACTCTCAGTCCCTTACCATCTTAGAAGAGCCTTGGACAAAAGCAAAATAATCAGCATTACAATAAATGTAGCATGTTCTAACTGTTTTTAAAATATTTCTTTTGGATCTGAGGTGAACATTCAGAAGTCTGGATATGCTTCTGAAACAAAGAGTGGGTTCCAAAAAAATCTGAGCAGGGTTTGCAAACAACTAAGATCAGTCAAATCTCCCACTAGGAGGTTATGGCCATGCATAGCCTCAAAATATCCAGCAAAAGCATAGTAAGTAAGTAAGATAGTGGACTCTGGACTCCACTGCTTGGGTTCAGATCAAGTCTCCACCCCTGACTAGCCATGTGACCTCTGGTAAGTTACTTCACCTCCCAGTGCTTTAGGTTATTCATTTATAAAATAAGAACACAATAATGCTTCCCTCATAGGATTGTTTCAAGGACCAAAGGGATTAAATATTTGAAGTAACTTTAAATAGCATCTGTACGTATTAGGTACTCTATTGGTGTTTAATAAATCAGTAGTCACTTAAAAGACCTCCCAGGCTCAAGAAACCCTCCCACTCAGCCTCCCGAGTAGCTGGGACTACAGGTGTGTGCCACTACGCCCAGCTAATTTTTAAATTTTTTTGTAGAGGTGGGGGTCTTACTATGTTGCCCAGGCTGGTCTCAGACACCTGGGCTCAAGCAGTCCTCTTGCCTCAGCCTCCCAAACTGCTGGGATTACAAGTGTGAGCCATCTTGCCGGCCAGAAGACAACCTTCTTAAAGACAGGGCCAATGAGAAACTGCTATGTACTTCCGTTGAATTGTCATGGAGTTCCTTCCCATGGCTATTTGTAAATTTCAATGTGTAGCCCACCATTATGCAGAAACCAGTATGTATGGTGGCAGCTACACAGGTGTGTTTCTTTATAAAATTATCCCTCTGTACAGGGGAATCCTTTACACATTTCAGTGTAGGATTCCCTCCTTGAACAATTCAAACATGTTGTTTCTATGGCCAGGGAGCTGCATGGTTCTCCTCTGTCTCACATGTTTTGGTTTATTCCATAGCTCTTATGTGTCTCCTGTCACTCTGGCTGTTTTTGGTTTTGTTGTCTGTATTCAACGGAGGCTTGTGGTCATGTCTATCCCAAGCGTCTGTGTTGCCAGTTGCGCGGTTTGCCCCCTCTGTCTCTCATCATTGCTTTTGGCTCAGTCCCTTGACAGGAAATGAGAGATTTATTTTATCTGGCTTGAACTACATTGTTCCTTCCTGACTACTGGTGTTACTTCACTCTAAATAACGTGACTTTGTGCTCACAGTCTGCCCAAGGTCAAAGCCTGAGGGTAATAGACACATTTAAGAGAGGGGAGGAGACTATAACCACAGTGGGGTGGGCAAGAAGAGAATTTCTAAAAGGTAGTGATGTAAAAGCGAAACTTGGGGCGGGTCTAAATTTTCTGGTGAACTCGAAATGGAATCTGTTCTGAAGAGCTGAAAGGAGAGCCTTTTTTTTCCCTTTCCAGATGTTATAAATTTAAAATGACACTGCGAAGTAATTTAGGCTTGAAATTTAAATTTAGCTTTAAAAAGAAAGCATGAGTTATCTGGCAGAAGAATTTACAAAGCTTATTAATATCTGTGATATCCTAATTGTATGATATTAAATTGACATCATTATCAGAATTCAAATATTCCTCTTTGGTTTGACATAAAAATATAAGAGAATTATAAGAGTGCATAAATCAGTAAAGACAACTTAATTATGAAAAAGTAAAACAAAAGACATGCTACCTAGCCTCAGAACTTGTAGCTATAGAAAAGGTTTTAAAATGTGTCTTTTTTTTTTTTTTTTTTGAGACAGAGTCTTGCTCTTGCTTTTGTTGCCCAGGCTGGAGTGCAATGGTGCGATCTCGGCTCACTGCAACCGCTGCCTCCTGAGTTCAAGCCATTCTCTTACCTCAGCCTCCTGAGTAGCTGGGATTACAGTCGCCCACCACCATGCCCGGCTAACTTTTTTGTATTTTTTTTTTAATAGAGATAGGGTATCACCATGTTGGCAAGGCTGGTCTCAAACTCCTGACCTCACGTGATCCACCTGCCTCAGCCTCCCAAAGTGCTGGGATCACAGGCGTGAGCCACCGCTCCCGGCCCTGAATTTTTAAATATAAACAAAAATACAACATCTCCAACCTATTCAAAATATTTCCTTTCCTTCTTATTTTTTCCCCCTTTGGAGGTACGAATAACACTTTCTTGGTTTTTCAGATACCTCTAGAATTTCAAAGAGACAGTAGGGTGACAATCAAAAGACATGGTGAAAGAAAACATTTCAGTGTCACTGATCACACCATTTATGCTGGGCTGACCTTTTCTGGAATAGTTTTAAGAATTGAGAGGCAGGGAGAAAACTGGCTAATCTAGAAATATATTTTCCTGTTCTTTTAACAGATAGTCATGTTATTTAATAATACTTCTGCCTCAGAAAAATAGATTTAATGGAAATGGACTTTAAATGAAGCAAAAAGGATTGAGGTTACACACAATTTTGCACACAGAAAATTATTTCATATGGACACTCCATTCTTGGGGAACATGATGAAATGATGAAATTCCCTTTACTAATGATCTTTCAACACTCATTCTGTGTACTGTAAGCACAGTTTATGCTGAAGTCAGAAGGAAATTCCTAATGATATCTTAAAGACTGTAGGCGTTTATGACTTACGACATCTCCTTTATGAAGCCCTACGCAAATTTATGGCACTAGTGGGCATTACCACATGGGATCAGCCAGGACCTAGTGTCTGCAAATCATAAATGGTTTATTTCTTTATGCAAATACCTCGGCTTTACACATTCTCTAACTAGAAATTATTCAACAAGATCATACTGCCTTTACCTGTCAATTTCTTATGAGGTGGTCTGCATGTGGAATGAACCCTCAAACCCTAAAATTTGGTTGACACAATTGCATAACAATTCCAAGAAAGTCTCACTTTTTAACATTAATTTACTAAAAGTCACAGCAAACAGTGTTTTGTAAACATTGTTTTAAATGTTTTCTGGTTGTTAAATTCTAAATAAATTCTTGAAGAGTAAACGTTAACAAGTGATCCTTTTCTTCAGTTAGGAGCTTCTAAATCAGCCAAGAAGGTTCTCAGGTGAATACCTAAATCATCCCAAGAATCTTCTCCTTGTCAGTCCCTACACCTGAAGTACTCAGGAGTAAAAAGTTAAGAAACAAAGGAAAATAACATTCATTAGAAAGTTACTATATGATCAGCACTGCATGAACAGCTTTCTGATACATCATCACATTCCGTGCACACAAACTCCAGGCAAAATCAGTGTTATTACCCTCATTTTATAGATGGCAGAATGAAATTTCAGAGATATTAAGTAACAGGCCCAAGATCATGAAGTTCATACGTGGTGAAGTTGGGATTCAAATTTAGATGTATTATAAAACTCATGCCTATTTACTATTCTGGAGTAGGAATTAAAATGATGAATTTCAGAATTCCGCATGTCTCAAGTCCAACTGTGTTCCTTATCTGTACAAAATAAAGAGTTATAAACAGGAGCAGTTCCTGTGTTCTTCAAAATATTAAACATAGAGCTACTAAATGACCCAGTAATTCCATTCCTAGGCATATACCCAAGAAAAATGTAAATATATGTCGACACAAAAACTTGTACATAAATGTTCATAACCACATTATTTATAATGTGAATTCATACTCATTGGTTCCAAAAGGTGGAAGCAACCCAGATATCCATCAACTGATAAATGGATAAATAAAATGTGGTATATCCATTCAATGGAATATTATTTGGCAAGAAAAATACCTGAACTATTAACATATACCACAGGACGAACGAAGCTTGAAAACATTACGCTAAGTGAAAGAAATCAGTCACAAAATATCACATACAATATGATTCCACTTATTTGAAATATCCCAAATAGACAAGTTTATAAAGACAGAAAGTAGATTAGTGATTGCCTATGGCTGTTAGTGTTTCTAGGAAAAATAAGGAGTGACTGTTAATAAGCATGGGATTTCTTTTTGTGGTGATGAAAATGTTTTAGCTTTGATTGTGGTGATGTTTGCACCACTCCATGAATAATACTAAAAAAACCCACTGAATTCTTCAGTTTATATTTTGTACAACTACATCTCAATGTAAATGATGTCCTAATAAAGTTATTGCCAAAAAAAAATGCAGTTACATAAAATCTTAGCATACACGTCCTGAGGAACAAATAGGTAGCACATTCCCTGTGGAGATGAGAAACAACTGAACAAATCTAGCTATAGCAGCAGGGAAAGGAAGTTGGTTTTCTTCTATCATTTTCCCTCAGCATCAGTAAAGCTTTAGTGTGTTAGGTCAAGGTAGACTTCTAATAACTGAAAGGGTTGAAAAGATATCACTCCTTGGCCAAATACGCCTTGAGACCAAGGCGTGATGAAAAAGTGAAAACCACAAACTGGCAGTTTATTTACCCACGCTAAACCACTTGTTTGACATTTCCTATCTAAACTGACCAGTGATTTGAGAGTTGTGTAGACAGCCACAAAGAACAACTGAAACAGTGAGAAAGCATTATTTTAAAACAATTAAGAGAATTCCCTGCACATTCAGTTCTTCAATATTCCAATGAACATGGCAAATTTGTCAATATGATTTTTAGTCCTGCAGCTAATCATTAGATGACAGAAAAACATCATGTTGTGGCAAAGAATCAGTAGGTAATAATCAGATATCTCATAATGTTGATATTTTCCAATCCTTCATAGTTTTTTTTTTTTTTTTTTTTTTTTTTTTTTTTTTGGAGGTAGGGGGAGAATCCCAGAAATACCAGAGCACAGAATAGCAGATTTATGAAGGACCAGTTCTCTGGAGATAATGTCACATTTATCCCAATAATCTTTAGATGTTTATACCTTAAAAGTTACTCAGCTGAAGTTGCTTTCAAATTAAACACCATTGCTGCAGTGTTTCTGTTGTGATTGTCGGAGGGAAGTGGAGCCAGTGCAATTTGTCCATGTTTTACAAATCACCATCTGGCAGGGATATGGCAACATGTGAAATCTTCACAGGACTCTTGTTTTTCTACTATCTGCTGGATAACTAAGGAGATCACCAGACTGCTGGGACGCCTGCCAGATAGTAAGCAGGTATGTTTATGAGTTTAAGATTCTTATTTTCTTTCAATGCTTTCACATGCTGTGGGCGCAGAGGCAAAAAAAAAAAAAAAAAAAAAAGTGAAAGGGAAAAGAAAAGGGGAGTGGATAAGTGACTGTATATGATCATTACAAACGTCTTTGAGGTTTCTTAAAATGTGGATTTTATAAGGTCCAGATTAAATTATTTTCTCTCAAGGTAGAAAAATCACCAGTCATATGGTTTCAAGATTTTTAAAAAATGCTAGGTTTTTCATTTTTTTGTACACATAAACAGGTGTATAATTTCTTCAATCCTGTTGACTAGACATACATTACTCAGAGGATCATAAGCTTCGTCAGCAAACACGGTGAGTGTATACCTGTTCATGGTGACTGGGCTAGCCATTTCAGTGAAATAAATGTGAGGGTCTGTTTATATTTTACTTTGATTACTTAAAAAAACTACGATAGGCAAAGAATACTTAGAGTAATAACAAAACCTCTGTAACAACAAAAGATCCACAAAATTGAATCTGAGAAGTAGTAATAATTAGATTATTTTCTATGAAAAGGTCATCCTTTTAAACAATTTTGACAGAAAATAGGTAACTATCCCAAAAGAGGTAATGTCTAGTATACAGAGAGGTACAGTTCTTTAAAGTTATGTATGCATGCCTGCTCAGCAACATACCAGAAATTCACTGAGCTTCAGTAAGCTCATCTATATGGTGACAACAGTGCTACCTTTTATGATTGTTATGAGGTAAGAAATATAAGAAATATAAACTGTCTAGCAAGTATATAGTTGTTCAATAAATGAAGCCATTCTTCTTCTTCTTATTATTATTATTATTTGGAGAGGTCTCCTTCTAGGCTAAATCCCTAGATGTAAAATTTACTCATGTGAATATTCAAATATACATCTAATCTTTCTACCAGAATAATTTTTCTCCTTAATTACATGATCCTCTCTCTTTTTTTGTCATAAATTCCATCTCATCCACTAGGTATTCTCCATAGCCAAAAACATACTAATTTTCTCCACCCAAACTATAATGTTCTTTAGGATAAGTTACCAAACTTGACAGAGAGATGGAAAGCCTGAAGAGGCCAATGAGCATAGAAGACATTGAAAAGATTATTAAAGATTCACCCTCAACCAAATTCAAGGCACAGGTTGATTTTTTCTTTCACCCAGGTAGTTTTATATTAGGTACTAATAAAACTGACTAGAAAAGAATGTTTTTTTTCTTGTTGAAACAGTTCCAAAATTTTACAATGATGGGAAGACTCAAATTTTTAATAAGACTAACATAATTCTGTTACCAAGAAACAATCGAGATAGTCTAGTACACACACATAAACATAAGCACACACCCATACATGCAAACGTTATATATCAAGTGCACTTAAAAATAAGGAAAGAAAATCATAGCAAGTCAAATATTAGCAAATAGACCTCAGAAGTAAAAATTAAAGAATAATACACCATAATCATATGGAATTCATTCCAAGAACGAAGAGCTAGTTCAATATAAAGATATCTGTTTAAGTAATTTTTTACATTTAAGATTGTAGACTAACAGAAAAAATCCACAAGAAAATTGTTAAAAGTCTTTGAAAAAAGTGCCAAGTGTTCCAGGTTTGTTTAGTATAAGTTAGGAGGAGAAGAAAACTGCCTTCTAAGGGAGATTATTTGTCATAATAGCAGTCAAAACACGTAGTTAGTAGTAAAATAGCCAAATTCTCTTTTGTTAATCCAACTTCCCGTATTTCTAGCTTCATTCTCCCTTTTACCAACAACCACATTACTTGCAAACTAGGACATGTTTACTGTCTCTTCTTAGTAATCTGTTATACACTGTTCAACTCATTGCAAATTGCTTCAGCTCCTACCTTTTTACAGAAGCTCTTTTCTCAAAGATTATCAATATCCATTTAATTTCCAAGTCCAGTGGCCTGTTCTCCGGCCTCATCTTATTTAACCTCTCCTTAGCATTTAAAACTGTCACATACAATCCTCTTAGCTCTTCTCTCTAGGCTATCTTCAATAGAGCCTTACTTGACGTTCCTTCCGCATCTTTGCTTGGCCATTTTCAGTCCCTTTACTGGCTCTTCTTCATTTACCTGCTCCTTAAACACAGGAGATCCCAGAAATCTACCATTTGGCCCCTTGTTTCATGCCCTACCCAGAGAATAGGAATCAAACTTAAACAGGAATGAGAGAATCAAGACACTATTAATGAAACAGAGTAAATGAAATACTGCATTAAATGCAAAATTTTCACCTGACTTCTAACTTCTCAGGTCACAGAATAAGTGAAATAAATTTTTAAGAAATATTGCAACATGAATGAGCTCTGCCTATATTACCTTTAAAATATTTAATACTCTCTTGTTAATTTTAATAATAGTTTTTAATATTAAACTTAGTGAATGTCTTTCTTGCTATTGCTGTTACTCAATATTCTTAAATATGTTATTGACATTGATAGTTAAATTACCAATTTAAACTCAAAATATGAGTTTTCTAATTTTGCATTACTTGATTTTTAACCCTTTCACAACCTAATTAATTTGAAAGCAGTTAGTGTTGTCAGAATTATTAGGATTTATCTGTACATAATGTACCTGAATTGAGTGTAATAGAATTCAGCACTCATTTATTGAATTCCAGTGACATGTGAAATGTTTTTTATGGTCATCTTTTAATACATAAACTTCAACCAGATGCTACATAAATGAAACTGGCTAACTGGCTTCAAGTAACAATTTTAAGGAAGTGCTGATGTTTTAATGATTTTAACCCTGAAATCCCATTCTTTCACTAATTTGTAACCAATAATACATTCAAACAAAAATCTGAGAAAGAGAATTACAGAGTTGTTTTCAAATTCCTTATTACAAGTTCAGCCATCAATCTCCCAATAAAATCTCCTCAGTCAACTTAGATCATCTTTCCCCATTGTCCCATCTTATAACTATTGTTAGATCATTTTCTGCTGCTATGTTCTCCTTGTCTGCCTTTGTAAAACTTAGAGATGACTTTTCCACATTATTTGCAAATAAAAACTTTTTCCACCCTTTGCTTCTTTTTTTCTTTACTTTGATATGTGGTATCCTGTAATGTTACACCTTTCCAGTAACTTTTGAAGCCAATGCTACTGCACGCCCCCCCCCTTTTTTTTTTTTGAGATGGAGTCTCACTCTGTTGCCCAGGCTGGATTCTTCTGCCTCAGCCTCCCGAGTAGCTGGGATTACAGGGGCCCACCACCACACTTGGCCAATTTTTTTATACTGTTAGTAGAGACGGGGTTTCACCATGTTGGCCAGCCTGGTCTCGAACTCCCGACCTCAGGTGATCTGCCCGCCTCGGGCTCCCAAAGTGCTGTGATTATAGGCATGAGCTACCGCGCCTGGCCCCGTACTCTCTCTTATATCATACACATATCTCTCTTAAAGAAAATGTAAAATTCAAAAACTCAAACCTAGACAATATAAAATGGGCACTGTTTACTCTATAAAGAAGAGATCCTTAACTTTGCCCAAAAAAATTTCCTACCAAATCCCTATAAATAGTGATTTTATCTACTGCATGAAAAGAGTAAGTGAATTAAATAACATACATTTATACTCAATTTTCCCAAAGTCATTTCATTGTTTGCAAAGTGGGCTGCAACTTACTCTCTTCAAATTGCTGCACCTCATGTCTTTCTCTTTATTGACTTGACATTGAGTTTCCTTAAAGAATTTCCATAAATTCTATATTTCATATTTAATAGCTTTCATTGAGTGTTATTAGATGGCAAACTTTGTACTAGGTACTTTATGTATCTTATCTCCAATCTTTATAGCAACCTAACATAGCAGGTATGATTACTGCTTTTGTAAGAATAAGGAAACTGATATGCAGGGAGGATAAGTGACTTGCGCAAAGCCTTAGAGCAGTGAAGTAATGAAACAGAGATTCTCCCCCAAGCTCTATGGCTCTGAGGCCTGTGTTCTTTCCATGGCACTACAAAATCACTGTCATTGTGCGTCAAGAAAAATCGAAAGATGCAACTCTTTACTGTATTTGAAAACAAGACATTAAAGAACACAGACTTCTTGACTCCAGCTAGGGAATTTGTTCTTCTAGAGCAGCGGATATCAAACTTCTTTAAAGCTGTCAAAATATTTCTTCCATAGAAATCTTAACGAGGACACAATATATAAGAGCGATTAAAGTAAAAGAGTTATGTCCCTTCTCCTCCCTCCCCTTCACTAACTGGCCCCAGGGTTACTGCCAAAGAACCTACATCTTCCTCAGAGAACAGTTTGAAAACAATTGTGCTGGACTATTTTCTACTTATCACTAAAGATCTAGCTACTAAAAATCATAATCTTACCATAGATAGAGTCTCAACACGCCCACTTGGGAGTTCCTTGGGCACTACACATGGGCATGGCTTTCTTCTTTGTTTAGAATGCTACCCAGGACATGGGTCACACACACAACAAATGGTCAATGATGGTAACAACAATAATTTTTAAAATAATGAATAGATAAATCTCCCTGACACAGGCATGGTTTCCTTTTCCTGTGCCAATTGCTCTGTCTGTGCCAACTCTAACACACACCCCTTCCAGGAATGGCACCCAGCCATCCTGGCAACCAGAATTAGAGCAAAGAAAATATGAAATTTCTCTTCAAAACATAAGTGGAAAGATGAATGCAAAGCCAAGCAAAAAGTACCCAGATTCAACATGCACATTATTAAATGTCACTTCGTCTTAAGACGTTCTATGAAAGTCAAGTGAACACGGGCATGTATAAATTGGGGGAGAAGAGGTATAACCTTGTTTAAAAGTATCAGCAAATAATGTAAATCTAGAATAAAACAGAAGTCACCAGTTACAACTGTTATTTGTGGGGAGTGAGGCGCGTGGAAACTGAGCAAATGAGGAATGGGAATGGGGGAGAGATTTTTTCCTGTACACATTTTTTATACTTTTGAAATTCTGAACCTTGTGAGTCTATTCAAAAAAGCAACTTAACCAAAATTTTCAAAAAAAAATGAGGATAAAAAGATAGCTTTTATTTTCAATAAAATGGTTCTGGACATCTTAACATAAAAATGTACTCTTTTAGTTTGGGAAAAAAGCCATCAGCAGGAGAACGTTTCATCCCAAGGATCATTTAGACTTAGGCCAAGCAGGCCCATCAGTCAGGAATGCTGCTGCTTCTACTTCCAAAAACTCCTTCAAGGAAGAGGGACCTACTGATTCATGCCAGTGACTCATGCCCTGATTATCAAAGAGGGATACAATATGGCAGGGGTCCCTCACAGTCCTTATAACTGATAGAAGTCTGTAATAATAAGCTACCGGTCAACAGTCTATAGGACATGGCAAAAAAGAAGTCAATGTCATACCTCAAATTAAAAATCAGAAAGGAAAGTTCACAGCTCCCTCTTTGTCACAACGAAGTTTCAAACATCAATCTCTGCCACCCTGAGTGGTATAGACCCTCTTTTCTGCATCGTGTTTTCCCCCTATGAACCAGGAACAACATGTTGGTTGACCAATAGGTCTTGCTCTGTACATTTAAACACCAAAAGGGTTCTTAGAATCATCAAAGACTGATAAAAATGAAAAGACATAAGATTCTTTCAAAATAAATGGGTGATTCAGCCAAATCATTATTTCCCTTCATCTTGTCTAACAATTAGTTGCAAAGAATATTTTAAACAATGAAAAGAAAAAAAAGTACAATGACATTTTAAACAATGAAAAGAAAAACTAGTACAATGACACCTAGGAGTTACCATGGTTTATTTAACAGAGTGAAAGGTAAAACCATCTTAGTAAATGTCATGTTCCTGTTAGTGTTCAAAGGTGGCTGACCCTCCATGAAGCCTACATTACTTATCAATTAACAAACAGCTCAGACTGGCCTCTGGGAAATAGAGCCCACAGCACTGTGACTTGGGAAAAGGGGATAGCATTGAACACTCTCAATCTTTAACCATGTCTAGGGTCACATGTGCCACACCTTTTTTAAACATCGTTGTGCCATGACCTCCTTTACCTAGGAGGGTTAAACACTGAATTCAAGTACTAGTGTATGAGCCATCACCAAAACTATTTGTCATTAAAAAAATACACACCAGTTAGGTGCCTAATTGTGCATACTGTTGAAAGAAGTGCTTTTAAATGATCAGTGACTTGTTCCCCACCTTTGAAAAGTCCAAGACCGAGAGACCCACCATGTAGATCCACACTTACACAACACACAGGAAGCCAAAGAGATGAATGATGTTTTGACATGAAATGCTAACTCCTGATGGATATAAACCCATCACAAAATAATTTCAACTCTATTTAATCCTGTAGTTGAAATTTGAGGTTACTTGAAGTTTTTAAAAAGTCAGACTATAGTTTTCAAACATATTAATGCTTAAAATTACAAAATTAATATTGGATTTTTAAAAGACAGATGGATATCCATGGTTGCTCTATTTCTCCATCATGCCACCTCCTTAATCTTTCCAAAGTAATATTCAGAAACTTCGATTCAATTCAATCCCATGGCTTTGGGGAGGTGAGGTGCGTATTAAAATGACTCATCATTCTGTTGCTTGCACAAACTTCTATGGGCCTCTTATACTTTACAGAAGGGGGTCAGATATTATATCAAAAATTCAGGCCGGGCGCGGTGGCTCACGCCTGTAATCCCAGCACTTTGGGAGGCCGAGGCGGGCGGATCACGAGGTCAGGAGATCGAGACCATCCCGGCTAAAACGGTGAAACCCCGTCTCTACTAAAAATACAAAAAATTAGCCGGGCGTAGTGGCGGGCGCCTGTAGTCCCAGCTACTTGGAAGGCTGAGGCAGGAGAATGGCGTGAACCCGGGAGGCGGAGCTTGCAGTGAGCCGAGATCCCGCCACTGCACTCCAGCCTGGGCGACAGAGCGAGACTCCGTCTCAAAAAAAAAAAAAAAAAAATTCAACAAAAAAAAAGAAAGTAAGTAAGTAAATGGCCTCTCTGTTCATGTTACAAATCTTCTATAGTTAGATAACTTAAGGCCTTATTCAGAGGGAGATGTACTCCAAAAAGAGGTGCATTTTAATCTGCGTATCCTAGTTTCAAATAGATAAAAGAAGGAAAAAACCTAGCTACATGGACATGAGGATGGTCTGAAGACAAAGAAAATTAAGGGAGAGAAGACACAAAGACTCATATAAAGAAGGAATTGATAAAAAACCTATACTCAAAGCAAATGTAAACTAAAACTATTAAGAAAAAAGAAGGAGCAAAATAATTTTAAGGGTAATTACATTGTGAACAACATAACTGAAGCACAGCAAACATTGTTTTGGATTTATATTTTTCCTATGAAGAAACTCAGGCATTTCTCCCCCTCTTTACATGCTAGCAAGTTAATATTATCAACACTTTTGTGTTATATAAAAATTTTAAACTATTTTAAATGAAAGGTGCATGACTTAGTCTTTTTAAGATTTCTACATGATGTAATCGTTTTGTTTTAAATTTCATCGCAAATGCAAATTGACTCAGGTATGTTTTTATTAGTAGTAACCGATAATATCAAGTAACAAAAATAAGTGGCATCCAAATGACTGTCAAACTTTCTTAATTTTCTTCAATAATACTGTCAACAAAATTAACTTTAAAAAAATTATAACTCCACAACACAGGCAATAATATGTTACCACGTGTAACTATAAATACATTTTTTTTCTTAATTTCATGTTTTCCACCTTTTTGGAAAAAGCATGTCAATAGTTCATTTGTGATTTGAGGAACTGTAAGATGACACTCACTGGAATGGCATAATGTAGCCAATAGCAGAAATAAGTCTGCTGGTGTAAAATCTTGAAATTAACAGCAACGTTAATTTCTCCACAGTCTTTAAATTTTTTGCGAAGAGAAAAATACACAAAATAATCCTTGTATTTTCTTCTGTGTTTCAAAATGTGCCATAAAGTAAATCCTTTGATCAGAATCTGCATATTATGACTGCCATCCTTTTGCAGCTCTGCAAAGCAAGGTAAGATAGCTCAGCATAGCTTTTATCTGCAAGGATCCCCTGAGGCAGTTTCTGTAAAAGGGTTAATGACAGATGTTTCCATTAAATCTGACCTACCTCTTAATTTTGCCATTGCCTGATAATATCCTGGCTTTGTGCTTATTTGCATGGGCAAATGGAGTCACTCCATAACAAGTAACACATCGTCCTCACTGAAACAAAAGGTCAATTCATTTTAAACCGATGTGCACAATATTTTTTGTAGTTGTAGTTTAAAAAAAAAATTCTCTTTCACACAATGCTACTATTTACAATGAATTAAAAGCTCTGTTTTCTGAAACCCTGGACACAATGTACATCTGCAGGCAGAGACCAGTACTACCAATAGAAATCAATACATCCCCTCGTAGGTAACCCACTAGAAAAATCACTTCTGTCTCTAGGATGCCCCACTTGTTTTTATACTAAATACAACAGGACACAGTAAATTTTCTTTGCTGGTAAGTTAGCTGAGAACTTCAAAATGCTAGCAGCACTTTCTTGTTTATTGAGTGTTATTACTTTTGCAAAGAAAAAAATTCTGTAAGTATAGAGGAAATAGTTATTGTCTCAGGTTGGTTAAAAGATACAGGCTTTTTAGCCTTTAGGATACCAGTCTAAAAGCTACAGTTTAGAAGTAGTCTTTTTACTCTAGGTAAAAAGAGTAAATGATCCTGAACCTTCATCAGGTTGCTGTAATAAGCCTGTTAGTAAGTATATAAATAAATAAATAAATATAGTTCATGCACAAGGTCCCATTGTACATATGTAGTTACATACAAGGTTCCATTCCAGCTGCTGCTTCTGGTGGCAGGACCAAATAAGGTGAAAACTGATGTCAAGGGGCCTTTCCATGATTCCTATGAAAAGATATCTCAAATATGTGCTTCCTGGAATTGTGAATAGTCTATAGCCAAGACTAAAGAAACACTGCATTAATCTAGCTATGCTATTTCATTTTATTATAACATTTCAGGGGTTTAAAATTATCACTTGCTAGAGAAATACTCTCTACATAATTATATACAGTGCTTTACACATAGATACACATATACTGTATGCATATTACATTTTATGTTCATCATTAGAGTCTGATCTCTAAGAGATTTCAATATTGAAATTCTGGCATTAAATTTCACCTTACTCTGAAAACGGCACTCCTGTGTTTTTGATAGAAAATCCATATTCACAGCACTCTCATCGCACCAAAATCTTTATCTGAAAAGGAAATAGGCTAGATTCATGCTTAGAAGAGTGGTACCTGCTAAATAGCCAATTTCTTCATTTGAGATAAATAAACCCCACACTTGGCGCTTGAGTATTTCAAGCCATTGAAACAATTTGGAAAACTCTACTTGCCTAGTCCAAGGTTTGGTTTTTTTAATGAATTTGCAAAGAAAATTCTATTCTCACCATGCTGCCTCAACTTTGTCTGAAAATGAGGTAGATGAGGAAGGAACAGTAAGTGACTCCCTGCAACAAGCCCAGGAAGGACTCTTCTCAGCAGGTGTGTGTGTGTGATGGGGAATGGCATGTTGCCCCCTCCCATAGGAAGCCCATATCTGACCCCCTGCCCCAACCTCAAACCTGGATTCACTCCAAGTTTGAGAGTCTACAAGTCTCCAGGGAAGGGAATCACATCTCCTCTGCCAGTTCCTGGTGGATAGTCATTTAAAGTGCAACCCACAATCAAGAGTATAAAAAACAAATGAAACCCAAACATATTTACTGAATACATCGTTAATGGAAGATTCCAGGTACTGTGAAGGATACTGTGGGAGAAAGACATGGTTCCCTTTCTTCACAAATTTATAGCTTCCTTATTATAAGGAGTTAAACAGTAGTATCAGACAATAAAAATGATATAAAAATGTAAACAATAATAAATTACATGAATGGAATTGTCTATGCTGAGCAGTGAAAGACATTAGGGATTTTAATCAGGTGATGCATAGATACATAAGTCCAGTTTTGTGCCTAGAGTAAATCAGCAACTAAAGTGAAATCTCAACAGTGGGTGATTTGTATCATACTTTTATAGTAAGTTGAAATAGTTATAATAAATGACAGCATTTATTGAGCATCTATTGTGTGCCAGAAACTATACACAGCAGTCTATATATTTGTGTCATGTAACCTTCACAATAGCACTATGAAGTAGATACAATTATTATCCCATTTTATGGATAACAAAACTGAGGCTTGAAAAGATTACATACTTCCCCAAGGCCACAGAGCTAGGAAGTGGTGGAGCCAGGAATTGCACCTATGCGCTTGTACTGCACTCTTATACTCTCAACCATGACAACTCTCCTGCAGGTGCATGGGCTTTGGAATCAGACAGAATGGGATAACAGTCCATATTCTTATATACACTCCATATATTTGCTATGTGAGCTTAGGCAAAGTTCTTACATTTTTTAAGTAGAAAAATAATACTATTCTGTTATCAGGGAGATCAGTTGTTTTGTCCTGACTGGCATGTCTCCTGGTAAAAGACCCATCTTTTCCTACGGGAAACAACTAGACCTCCATTCTCAAACAAGAGTTAGGCATAGGACCATACCCTAGCCAAAGAGCACGTCATCTTCTCAGCCTCGAGGATGGGTTCAGGTATGGACCCACTCAAGCCAAACTAATGGGTTCTCTATGCGGGACTTCGATAAAGCTATAAAGAAAGAAACTCTAGCTTTTTAATTTTAGGATATGGATTGGAGCTGCTTGGGCAGAAACCACATGGACAAAGGTTGCTTAAAAATGAAGCTAACACAGAGAAAGGCAAAGAAAGACGAGAGACGATGACAGCAACTGAGCCCTGTGATCTGGTCATGCTTAAAGCTAGGAAGTTCCTGAAATTGCCATTTATTTGAAACAAAAACACCCCCTTCCTTTTTATGATCAAACATATTCAGATTGTGTTTCTGTCACTTATAACCAAAAGAGCCCAGTATCACCTCACAGAAACAATGTGTGGGAAGAGCTCAAGGTAATACCTGCAATTAGTAAGGACCCAGTGAATGTTGGCTGCTTTCCTCCTCCTTTTTTTTTTGTAATTGCTATTGTCAAGTTTCCACACAAAAATTGGGGATCTTTGGATAAAAAAGGACGAAGAGAAGAAATTACCATGTGACAGTTTCCCCATACAAGGCACAAGCAGAGAACAAGGGGACAAATTTTAAGGATCCATAAGTATCCCGTAAGTATTAAGTATTAAGGGACACCAAAAGTCAGCCTCCCTTTCTTCCAAGCTAATCTTAGCAGTCCCAATTAGCTTCTCTGGGCCTTCAGAGGAGCCAGCACACCAAACCATCCATTATTGCCATGTATCCACTTTGTAGTCACAATGTTTGGTCATATCCAATGATTATGGATATGGAGGTCATATCCATAATCCAAATGATTATCCAGGCAGAAATAACATTTAATGAAAACCAAGGCCCTACTTTACTTACCTACTGCTAAAATACCAATGACAACGTTTGCACAAAGTACCAATGATAACGTTTGCACAAAACATAGGGCATCACACAAAAGCTAAGCAATTTGGTTCTGAGAACTTTCTTCCATGTTACCCAAAAGTCTAAAGTCAGTAATTAAGTCCCTAGTCATAACTGAATCACTTAAGGTTTACATGATCACCATATACCTATTGCTTCAATATGACAGAAAAAAAAAAAAAAAAAAACCTTTCTCTTTTCTGTTTCCTCCTTTCAACAGGCCCTATAATGTAAGAAGCAAGAATGGTTCCAGAGGAACTGTTGTGAGCCACTGCATCAATCATAGGAACATTAAAACACTGCTTGCTAGTCATTACTATATGAAGTATTCTCTTGCTCTGTGGAAAATGGTTTCAAATAATTGTGTCTGAATGAGAGTTTTGTTCTTGTTTCATATAGCCATTTGAGAGAGGAAAAAATGTAGAAAAGAAGATAGATTAAAAAAACAATATTAACAAAGTTGCATCAACTAATTGCCATCAAATGGTATCATCATCTTTGTACAGGGTGTACATATTGTAGGCTCATAGGCTTAAGAGGCAGACTGACATCCCAATAAGATAGTTGCCAAAATGATGTACAATAGTAACAAGAAAGGCACAAGAATCTGGCCCACCTAAGCAAAGAAAAGTCTCCTCTCACTTCAAAAATCTATTATTTTTGCCAGGCTGCTCCATTGCAGAGCTAATAAGCATGACTAGAATAAAGCTTAAAATGATTTCTACCTTTATTTCTAACTTCTCTTTCTGGTTTCAGCAAAGTTGATCTTTACCATTGATAGTTTATGGTTTGTGTTAGAGAATGCTATGTGATATAAGGACAATGTAGTTGTTTGCCGAAAAGAAATTCACTGGACTACTGGTCAAATATCAGTAGCTCTAAATGTTTCTGTGTGACAGGGACTGATGAAGGAATATATTACAGTGTCTTAAGCTCAAGCCAACTGAGACTCAGACCATTACTATAGACCGGAGTTCTTCAACTATGCTTCCTCTGTAGGAAAAAGAGCTAGGCAGAAGGGTGGGGCCTCCTGACAGCTTTGTAAAGACGTGGTCCTGAAGTGTTAGAGCTTGCCAGTGGGCCACCCACAGAAAATTCTGCTTATATGTAGCATCATACTAAGTTATAAGAAAATAAGTGAAGGAAGTATCCAGGCTAGCAACTCCTTCAGAGAAGTTCTCAGGCTTAGAAACTGAACAGGGAATTATGAGATGGGATGCTGCCAATCTTTTATGGAGTGGCCCTGGGCAAGTTATTTTGTGTCTCATATTCTTCGGCTACAGACTGTGGTTAACACTGCTACTATTGATAACAAAAACATCCTAACAACAACTCCTGGGAACAATATTGTGAGGATTTGTGTTTGTACAGTGATTTAAGAATGAGGGAAGAAAGGCACAATGTTATACTATTACCAAGTGCTTTATCAACCAGTATATTGCATAATGTGTTATAATGTACCATGTGCCCATGGAAACATGAAATCATTCATAATTCTTAAGTACTGCCAGATGTGCAGCTATAACAAATTTCAGCCCTTTCTGAAGAATTCACCCACACACTCACTTCTCCCACCAATATTTCCACTGGTAACTGTCAGAGTTGAGAAATCATAGAATAGACCCTTATTCACATCTCTGTGGTAATTACATATAGTTTGCTTCATATTTGGGTTGGGAATATGTCTTAATCATAATTTTATAACTAGTGGCTTTCCCTGTTCTGGTACATAATGAGTGCTCAACAAATGTTTATTGAATGAATGAACAGATAGACAACAATCAGACATAGTGATCAAAGAATAAATACACTTCAGTAATGGCACTACATAGATTCAGCAGAGTCTCTAATGCAAATAATATTTAGAGTGGAGGTGTCCAAAGACTGGCTCCTTCCCAGTAAGTCTATATGTTATTTCCTAGTATTAATTCATTTGCCACTTGTCATAAGTTTCTGGAATGTGCAAGTAATCCTATTACAAGAGATGCTTGCCACTTTCAATGAAGGCATCTGGCTTTACTTAAGGATGGCGAATGATTTCATATTTCAATGGTTAGGAACATGGCATATTACAACCTTTACACAGATTGAGGAATCTCTGAATATTATAATATACCTGTCACAGGTGAAGAAATACTCTAAATTTTCAACTAATACACATAAGGCACACGAATATAATGAAATGGGAAAAAACTCTGGACTTGGAATCAGAAGACCTAGCTCTGCCACATACTTGCTCTGTACGTTTAGCCTACTTAATCATTAATATCTCTGGGCCTCTGTTTTCATCTGTAATGACATATATGTCTAATAAAAAATTCATATAACCTAGGTCAATGAGGTAATAAGTCAAATAATGTATACAAAAGTACTTTATAAATAGAAAATGCCACACAGTTTAGAATGACAGCAGGGAATAAAATGGTAGGGAGAGGTCTATGTTGTAAGTAAACTGTAAGATCCTTAAGCTCAGCATCCAGAACTACCATCTTGTAGTTCTTATGCTTAACACGGGACCTAAAAGAATACCAAATGAACCACCAATGCTAGCCTTTGAATTGGAGACACCAACAAGACATATGCATTCAATTCTCTTAGCGGCTCTTCTAAGCTCCCTTGTGAGAAACTCTCCAACACTGGTGCTCTTCAAAGAGTGGCCCTTCCCTAGCTAGCACCATATTTGGCTAGATTCATTTAAAATGCAGGCTCTCAAAACTCATCCAAGGACACTGTAATGCAATACGGCAAATATCCAAGATGACTCTTATGTACACTGGTACAGTAGGTTCTAAATTGACTTTTGAACATCTGGTAACCACGGCACCCGATCAGTTCCATCAGAAAAGGTATGTGCTCATCTATTAAGTTACATATATGTAACTCATATATCAAGGTTTTTACAGTTAACAAACTGTTTTCAAATATATGAAATATAATATGCAGAACAATCAGAAATGATTTAAAAGCTTTAAAGTAGTACAGAAATAAAATACAATATAATTTTTAAATAAAATTGAATCCATAATCAATTTATGTTTGTTTTTTCAAAATGTTATTTTGGTTATTATCTGTTCTCCTTATGAGACTGTGTTCAATATGGTGCTGGAACTTGGTTTTGTTCCCAGCTGTATCCTGATCATAGAAAGGTCCTGTCATGCAGCAGAAGCTCAAAAAATATTTCTTGAACAGAATAATGATCATCTATAAGTGAATATACATGTCTCAGAAGAGGTGTCAGTTCAAAATCTTCCTGCTAATACATAAGGATGGGTTCATGTGACAGAGGTTATAGTTCGGATTATCTTTATCAGAAGCAGGGACACAGGGTACAAACACAGGCTATCAGCCAAAGAAAGTTTATATACATATATTCCCCTTAGATACTAATTTTTAAACCGAGGTTGAAAATGGAAACTGGAAGGCAATATCCTTAATCACCAGATGCTTTTATTCCAAAATAAAATTCAGTTGCATAAAAAGGCTTCCTACTGAAGAATGGCACTGTGCTCCACATTAAGGGGGTGAAAGGGCAGTTTAGGGATGTGCGGATGTGTAAGGTTCAGTAGATATCAGAAGAATGACAATGGGCTGGTAGAGACATTAAGTTCCTGAGTGTGATCTTGGCTATCTCCCATCCCTTGTCCTCCAGTTCTTACCTAATCACTCTGTGCCCTCCTACTCCTCAAAGATGAGGGAAAATTGCAGGAGAGAGGCACATGGAGCTGGATTCCAGAATATGGAACAGAGTAAAGGTTGTGGATACAAATACCTCCAAATGAAATAATCACTAGGGCCGGGTGTGGTGGCTCATGCCATTAATCCCAGCACTTTGGGAGGCCAAGGTGGGTGGATCACGAGGTCAAGACATCGAGAACATCCTGACTAACATGGTGAAACCCTGTCTCTACTAAAAATACGAAAATTAGCCAGGCGTGGTGGTGCACACCTGTAGTCCCAGCTACTCAGGAGTCTGAGGCAAGAGAATCGCTTGAACCCGGGAGGCAGAGGTTGCAGTGAGCTGAGATCACATCACTACACTCCAGCCTGGCGACAGAGCGAGACTCCATCTCAAAAAAAAAAAAAAAAAAAAAGAAAAGAAAAAAGAAAAAGAAAAAGAAATAATCACTAAATGAGTTCAACGCTAAAGTCTATACTTTTAGTTGCTCATTTCTTACAATGACCAATGTCAACCAGGAACTTCTTCACTTTGTGCCCAGGCCCTTAATCTCCATGAAATGCATATCCCTGTCTTATCTCACTTCACTTTGCAAATGACAAAAAGCTCAACACTCACAATTACAAAACCACCAAAATCCTGAATTAATTCTGAGTAGGGTGAGGACACAGTTAACTTCAGCAAATTTACCACTAAGGAGCTTTATTTCTTCAGAAGGGTCCATGCTTGTTCATCTATTGTACTCTTTTATTCTTTCATTTGGGAAATATTTTAATGCCTTAAGGAACTTACAGTCTAAAAAAAAAAGTAGGATTTCAATAATTGTGCATTAAATGAATAAATACAGAACTAACAAATGCACTTGGGATTAAAATGGCTATAATTCTGGAATGAACCAACTATATATAAATTTGACAAAAAGATACAATCTCTTCTCTTAATTATCAGTTGATATAGAAGGCTGATACATGCATACAGGTCTTAAAATTGGTTTATGATGTTGAACTAATGAGTATCAACACCAAAAATCACAATGTGACTCATGTAAGTACTTGTAAGATGTAATAAAATACTAGACTTTAAGATAGTATGAAATGAAAATCAATCAACCATGAAAATGAAAATATTCTATGATAGCTTCCAATGAAGATGTAGTGAAAAACTTAAAATAGCTGTACATGATAGGTGCTCAATAAGTGTTGAAATAATGAGTCCTTGAAAAAATCATCTTTAGAAGCAGACAGAAATAACAATAAAAGAATGAATTTTTAAAATGTGAAAAATTGATATTGTTTGAATATAAATAGGATAAACAGCAAATTTCAGAAGGTAAATAACTAAAGAGTTATTTCAAAGTTTATCTGAAGAGCAGAGTAGAAAAAAAGTTCTACATTTCTGCAGAAATTAATTAACAACTTGCTGAAATAAAACCATATCTGGTATAAAATGTAGCAGTGGTTAAAAGTTCACAATCATTCTTAAAAATGTTTTAAGGAACATAAGCAGGAAAATATTACACCTATTTATAACTAAGCAATGGGGGAAAAGGTGAAGAGTAAGTAAAAGTCCAAACTGGCACAAAGTTGAACCAACAAGATGAACACAGGTGGTCAGAGATTTTATTTCACCTTTCACCTAAAAGTTGCCATCTTTTCGAGAGAACTAACTCTACCAGTGGCTCAATTCTGATTCAAAAGGAAAAGAGTCACTTTCTGAGTCATAACATCACTCTGGTTTTCCTTTCAATCCTCTGTTCCAAGCCCTACCAAATCCCAACCCATTTTAATTTGTCTAAAGGTGGCCTGGCCAGCACCAGAATTTAATGCTTCCATAAATGAACTCTGATTGACATGAAAGATGACTCACTCGCAGAGAAACTTGTATTGCTGCCATTTGGTCAGTTTGGGGTTTGTTTTTAAAATGAATGCCAGTGGAGGCTAAGCAGAAGCCAGGGTGTGTTTTTATTTTATGTCTCAAATAAAAATAAAGAGCTGGGTATGAATAATCAAAGGGGCAGGCGCCTCCCTGGATACTTCTAAACCTTCCAAAAGCAGTCCCAAGGCTCAGCAAAACGTAATATAGTCAAAACAACCATGAACAGCATTAGTACCAAGGGTTTGCCCCAGAAAAATAACATAATTGCCATACAGATTCCCTTGCAGCCCCAAACTCCAGTGCCTTTCAACTTTATATTAAGTTAAAATATCCTTTGTCGGTGGGTAGCAGTCCTAGAAAGAGTATTCCTAGAAGTTAGAATGATTGCAGATAATAGGAAGATGATATCATTATTATAGTAAAACTCTTAAAGCAAAACGAGATTATTCTAATTAGCTATATATGCTTTATCACTCCCTAGAAAATGGTAGGCGATACATGGTCCTCCTTATTATTCTGAGATTGATCAACGATTTTATGGATTATACATACTCTTCACTTCCTTCTCTACAGCTTGCCTTTTCTTTGATAGCTCTCAATACTTAACGCAATCAGTAAACAAAGAAAAAAGGAAGAGAGCGAGAAAGGGGAGTAGGCAGTAGAAAAACAAGAAGGTGAAACTAAGAGTAAAAATAAATAAGCAACATGGATCAATTCTTTAAAAAACTTCAAGGGAGGCCAGGTGCGGCGGCTCACGCCTGTAATCCCAGCACTATGGGAGGCCGAGGCGGGCGGATTGCCTGAGCTCAGGAGTTTGAGAGCAGCCTGGACAACACGGTGAAACCCCGTCTCTACTAAAATACAAAAAATTAGCCAGGCGTGGTGGTGTGCGCCTGTAGTCCCAGCTACTCGGGAGGCTGAGGCAGGAGAATCGCTTGAACCCAGGAGGTGGAGGTTGCAGTGAGCCAAGATTGCGCCACTGCACTCCAGCCTGGGCGACAGAGGGAGACTCCGTCTCAAACAAAACAAAACAAAAAAAACTTAAAGGGTAATAAGTAAAGGGAAATTAGCAGATTAAATGAGGCTTCTGTAAAATTTATGGATTTTAGTCGTCAATGTGTCCTAGAAAAAGAATTAGAGATTCGAGGCCAGTATACACAGCATAGTTGGAAATACTGATAACATTGTTCACAAAAATTTGGAACCCTGAGCCAAAAGAAATCTGAAACCTTTGGTTTTAATATGGAATAAAGAGCAATGTAAAGCATTTTTGGGAAAAAAAGAATTTTAGGAAAGAAACACCTATATCATGTTATATTTGGAAGTAATTAGCTCTATAGTATATACTGTGATGATAAATAAAAGAGATTATCTTAGAAAACTTGTGATGTTATAGAAGCCTTCATTTGCATATGGTCTGACTCAAGTTAAATGCCACTGCCCAGCTGCAGAATGGAAGTTATTCATTTTTAAGATCTCCTATAGCTGATGTACTCATCTCCTCAGCAAAACAACTCTTAAGGTATCTTTATTTTTAGAAAGGTCAAAGTCGTATGTGTGTGTGTGTGTGTGTGTGTGTATATATATATATATATATATATATATATATATATATATATATACACACACACACATTAGTTCCTAGTTTATATCCAAGATAAATAGGTATTACTATCACCACTATATACATAAGGCAAAAAAGATGCAGAAGGGCTGGACTTCAAGGACCCTAAAAGTGCCCTGAAATAGTCTAATGTGGAATACCTTGTCCTGTCACCCAGAGTTGGAGCCTCAAATACAGGAACTTATTTTTATATAGTCCAAGGAGTTAGCATAGCCCCCAGAAACTTAGCAGGAATTTGGGAAAAAAAAAAAAAGTTGAAAATTAAGCTCAGCAATTCAGAAATATCTCAGGGACTAGGTTGCTTGCATAATCAGAAAATAATATTTTGCATTGTCAAATGAAACTCCAGACTTAGGGCCTTAAAAAAAAATAGACAAAGTTTTCCTGGAGAAGTAAACTAACTGTAGAAATGTTTTTTAGCACTTTAAGTGACAATGATTTGTGAGGTGTTTTGAATTTTATGGTTTTAAATCAGCATGGAAACTTAATAGAGCACGCTTTCTATTTAGAAGCTCTACCTCAGAAATAGGTATGCATCTTTTTCTCCACACCTCAAGTTCATGGTTTTACACCATGTACATCAAACTAAAGTTTCACCATCATGCTGGCCCAGTATTGTAAAAGAAATAGCTTTTCTTAATCTAAAATTAGAGTGTAATAACTGCATAGCAAAGCAACTGTGTAATTAAAATAGTCATATAATTTTAAAGATATATCATTATAAAAATTATTATGAGAAGAACAGACTTCAGCATTACAAGTGGAGAACCAATATCGGAAAGAGTCTCCCAAAATGACATAGCAGTGATTACACAGTGACAGATCAGTGTATCTGCACAGGGAAAATCCCCTAGTTAGAGATCACAGCAGGATCCCATCCATCATATTACACATTAGTTCAGAGAACTAAAACTCTTGAAGCATTTTTGGCAGCAGGGAGAACTTCTAGCATCCTAATGCTTTTACAAGGCTGGATTTTTCTTTTCTCCCCAATGTGCTTCAAGATTTCATAACACGAGAGACATAGGAGCAAAAGTTAAAATGCTTTAATGGTCCCCATAGGCTATTTAAATAAACACTGTGATTGCAATTTAGACAATCTGGAGTCCATTCAATATTAAATCCCCACCCCAATCTACAGCTACTACACAAATGGGGAATTCATGGTATACTCCACATAGCCATTTACTACTGCACCTATTGCTTCTTGACAATCATGGGGAGGAGCTAGCCAGGCCTAACATTACACCAGTTAAATCTGTCAACAACCGGGGAGAGCGCTCTGCTGAGCAAACATACTGATCCCTCTCACACAGCCCGTCTTTGTCCTGAGTTTGCCGCAACAACACTAATCTTCTCATACTATCTTCAGCAGTGCAAGCAGAAACTTCTCCTGCGACCAGCTGTAACAAAAGATGCCTTTCTTTATTTTCACACACTACATGTATATATTTATGCTGTCCCTTCCGCTCCCTCCCCCTCCATTTCCACCCCTTCCTACAGACCCAATTCTAAATAAAGCTTGATTGGAATAAATCATAAGTGATGTTTCATCTCAGAAAAATACAGAAAGAAAGAGGCAACAGGACTGATCAGGCCCTTTGATCACACCCTAGTAAAAATAATGCTCCATAATGGACAGTTTTGTTTGTGCCAGGGAAAAGAGCAGGTCCCAGAACTAGGTGGGCAATACATATCCTAAAATATGGTGTGCCAAACTGAAACAATGGGGGTGGTGAAATACATATAACCACTGAATGTTCCTCCAACTACTTTCAGACCTCAGGAAATTCAAGGAATCATGGTGCCCTTTTTCATCTTTATTTATTGTTTTTTAAAAAAAAAAACTACTGTAAAGGACTGATATTTTAACCATGCCATTAGAAAAATAGTATTATCATTAGTTGAGACTTTTTTCAGTTATAAAAATGTAATATGGTATTTATGTTTAGGGAAGAGAACAAACATTTTTAGACATAATTTGTATTCAGTAAAATAAAAGAATCTTAAGTGTACAGCTCAAACAATTTTTACCTGCATATCCGTTTATGTAATCATCCTCGGATTGAGATACAGCCTATTTCTGTCATGCCAGATGGTTTATGCATGCCCTTCCAGTCAATTATCCACCAGGGGTAACCTCCATAGATTAATTTTGCCTAGAACAAAACTAGGCTAGTTTTGCCTAATCACCAAAGGTTAGTTTTGTCTGGAACAAATACGTTTGAACCTTATATGCCAAACATTATGCTGGAAATTTTCTGTACATTATCTTATTTTAAACTCACTTAGTCCTGAATACAATAGAAGACTGGCGTTTCTGTCCCAAGTTTGCCAGACAAAGGATAAGTAACTTGCTCAACATAAAGCTGCATGTAAAATTCTGCATTTATTATACTTAAATAATTAGTTATGCTATATTTATACCATGTAGACCATTAAATATGACCCCAATTAATGGCTTAAAAATTAAATGCTCACAAAATAACAGTGTTAATAACAATATTAACCCCATTCTATCTGGCAGGTACTGGGCAAAATGCTTAACTGCATTGCCTAATTTAATTCCCACATGAACCATGTAAGGCAGCTATTGCTATATCAATTAGGCAGATGGCTCAAGAAGGTGAAAAGATGTGCCCACATTTAAACAAGTGGAATCAAGCCTTGTTTTTTATTTTTATTTTTATTATTTTATTTTTGAGACGGAGTCTCACTCTGTTGCCCAAGCTGGAGTGCAGTGGCGCGATCTCGGCTCACTGCAAGCTCTGCCTCCCAGGTTCACGCCATTCTTCTGCCTCAGCCTCCTGAGTAGCTGGGATACAGGCACCCGCCACCACGCCCGGCTAATTTTTCATAGTTTTTAGTAGAGACGGGGTTTTACCATGTTAGCCAGGATGGTCTCGATCTCCTGACCTCGTGATCCACCTGCCTCTGCCTCCCAAAGTGCTGGGATTACAGGCATGAGCCACTGCCCGGCTCAAGCCTTGTTTTTTAATCCATAGTACTTAATTCATAACAGGTGGTCAATAAATACGTGGCAAATCACAGAATTAAAGAATGACGAAAAATGCTTGAGGAGGGGTAGATTATGTTTTGAAAATGCTAGGCAAAGTTGTTTATCACTTCCATGATAGCATCTGCAGAAACAAAATTATAAAAATTGAAAGTTAGATGGAATCTTAGACATTAGTTGATCCCTTTTCCTCATTTTAAAGATGAGTAAACCGAAGCACAAAGTAACCTGTTCAAGGGAACATAGCCAGATAATGTTGAAACTTGGACTGGAATTCAGGTTTCCCAATTCTCATTCAAGTGTTAGCTATGTTCTATTTCTATGGTTCTGAATCAAACATACTGCATGGGTTCTAAATAAGTTTGCAATTGAATTTGATAAGTTTATCAACACTTCAAATAGCTGTGACAACTATTCTGTAATGTGTTAAAAGGAGAAGGGGAAAAAAGAAGAAATATAGAGCAAAGTTTCTTTCCTTGAGATGCGTGGATATTTCATTGGCAAGATAAGAATTAACCTTATGAGACAGTGAATATTATTAAAATGTGTGCTCCTAAAAGAAATAAAAACAGATTGTCATATAAAAGATTGTATGATAATTTATATCATTAAATATAATCAACTACCACAATTTATGGAACAGATAACACCTGCAATGAAAGTCAGAAAGGGATGAGATCAGTGTTGGCAGGAAATATGAAGAAACTTGAGACCTGTTTAGAAGTCATAATAAGCTCACAGATTTGAGAAATCATCCACTGCAATTGCTAGTTTTAGACAGGAGGAAGTGTGTCCTGGGGGATGACGGCTCTTGCCCAAGGCCCTAAAGCTCTTTGATAGCAGCAATGTGGCCATAACTACTTACTTCCAGTCCATGGTTCTGTCCATTAGCACCATTTTGTCAACTTCTCCAGTAGACATTAATGGAAAAAAACCTACTCCTCACCTCAAAGAGTAAAATAAATTAAAACATTAATAAAGTGTCTCACATGCCTTAAAAATTAGCTATAAAAATATCACTTCATGGTATAATGATTGCATTGTTTCTGTTTTGAATGCTTTGACAAACTGTACTTGGACATTTACTATAATTTAAATTATACCCTACTTTACATGAATAACACATAAAATTTTTTTTTAAAGAAAACATAGATAAGTCACAGAGAATGCTGAATGTATCTACATTGGAGTTTTGGACACATATGTGCTCCAAATCATTTACTATCCTAAAATGGATACCTCAAAGAAAAGTAAAAATGTAAAATATATTTGCAAAACAAAGATTTTTTTTCTGACATCTTATGATGGAATATACTTTTCTTCTCCATTTAAAATTGTCAATGGTGCACAAGTGATTTCATCCTGTGCACCCAAAAGGAAGGCAACCACAGGCAAGCCTTCCAGCTGTTTTTCATCAAGGATTGTAATATTTATTCTGGAAGAAGCAAACAACAGATGCATTTGGAGAACATGAGTTCACCTGGATCCTATAGCATATGAGCTCAAATCCAATCTGCTAGTCAATAAACATCTTGTAAAAGAATAACCACCAAAACACAAAAAACAAACAAACATAAAAACCGACACATGCTTCTAAAAATTTAAGTTTACGACCCCATGGACAATCTTGACTCTAATCTTTATCTCTATACTCCTCCATTTACTGTTATTAATGACTAAGTGCTGGGGACACCTCTGTGAACATGTCTTTTCATTTCAACACCTTATCATGCTACCTTCTGTAAAAATGGTCTCTTCATTTTCTGGGATGGTAACTTACTGTTGCTCTAAAGATGACATAAAACGTATTTGTAGCTTTCTTTACTGATTTACAGCCATTTTCAATAAAACTGCCAACCATGCATGAGAATCTGTGAAAACACTTCAGGGACCCTGAAGGACCATTTATCATTTTTCAAATAAACATCAGTATTAGAAACTAGAATTTTTCAACAATGATTCAAATTTAACCTTTTACCTAGCACAAGTGCTCTGATTACATATTTTTGATATCTTCTGAGAGGAAAGATAAATAAATAAATAATACACAATGAATTTATGAAATTTTACAAAACCATGCAGAAAGAATAGACAATAAATTTTATTTATTGCTTCTTTAATCTTGCTCCCAGTTTTTGGCTATTTCATAATTAATATGGAAAAGAGTAAATCTGAGACAGAGAAAAGGTGAGACTTCTATCAGATTACTTCTTGATAGATTCTCAATAAAATCTGACACTGCACTCTAGCCTGGATGACAGAGACCATGCCTACATCCCTCAAAAAAAAAAGCTCAGTGTACACAAGATGTAGAACAAGTTCAGTAGAACCACACAGCTCTTGTTCCTCTTTCAAATTCATGTTTTATTTCTAAATTCATAAATGTATCCAAATGGAAATATAAATGCACCTGATCTCTCATCAGGTCACACACAAGAATCATATACATTTATTTCCTCTTCCCCCAACACTTCAGTAACCTCCATGATTTTTAAATCCTGCATTTTCTCTAGACCACAAATGACACCAAATTCAGCAGATCGAATCAAACCTGTATACTCAAATTCTAATTCTATAGAAAGACAGTGAATGATTTCATAATCTTAACTCAGGAAAAAAAAAACAGCTACCACCTGCACCTGGATAGGTACCAGCAATGATTATAAAAACTAACTACATTAAATATAGTTAAACATTGCTGTACATTTTAGTACCTATTTGATTAATGACAAGAGTAGTGACAGACAGTTGCAATATGGAATCTAATGTTTATACCCAAACAGTACATCAGTCATTTAGCCCAAATTTACCTTACTCCCACACAAACCTGGTGTCAGGCTTAGTGTTTATTTCTGTAAACTACCAAAAAAAAAAAAAAAAAAAAAAAGCTCAATATTCAATTTAAGTCTTAATTTTTTCACATGAACAAAATTTGTATGTGTTAAAGAAAATTCCAAAGCTTTTCATACCACTCTTGAATTCACTTTCGCCATTTCTCTGAAGCATTTATCACACTTCTCTTGAAAGTTTTGTGACCTACTCAGAAATCTTAACAATGACTCTACTGTATAACTTGGGAAATTTGGTTTCTACTCTTTGGATTACTTTCTTTTGTTTTTTTGTTTGTTTGTTTTATTTTGTTTTTTTTTTAACTCTCCAAACCTAAATTGATTAGCTTCCTGCTGATGGTCCTTTTCATTAATAGGCAATGCCAGCCAGGCATGGTGGCTCACCCCTATAATCCCAGCACTTTGGGAGGCAGAGGCAGGAGGACTGCTTGAGCTCAGAAATTCAAGACCAGCCTGGGCAACATAGGGAGACCCCATCTCTACAAAAAATAAAAAAAATAAAAATTAGCTGAGCGTGGTGGTGCTTGCTTGTAGTTCTAGATACTTGAGAGGATGAGTCAGGAGGATTGCTTGAGCCCAAAACTTTGAGGCTTCAGTGAGCTATGATACCATCACTGCACTCCAGCCTGGGGCAAGAGAGTAAGACCCTGTCTCAAATTATTAAAAAAAAAAAAAAAAAAAAAAAAAAGTCAGTGCCAGTCAGAAACAGGACCTGCAGGTTTTCCTAATTTTTTATAGCACATAAGTCTTAAATGAAAACTCAATATTATATTTGTCAATATGTTTTGAGAAATGAGAGGCTAAGTATAAGAAATCCTATTCTTATTAGATAGCTATGACCTACATTATCTGGACCGTAGGAAAAATGTAAAAAAATATTTAGTTCTAATGATAGTCACTGTAAAACTGCAGACAGATATATAAGGGGTAGAGCCATAATCCAAAGCTGCCCAAAAGTTTTTCTACAAGAATTAGAGAAACTTTTTATTGTTTTAATCAAGAAAATTACACCTTAAAAAACATGTTTGAACCATTTTTTTTTTAAAAAAGACATGATTGAAATAAGCAAACCCAAAGTTTAAATGCTCCTCAGCTGGACTCTAACTGAGAGTAATCACTGAATCTCATGGCTTGTTTTGTTTGTTTTTTCAGCTTTTGCTAAACTGTTTAACTCATGACAATTTTTCAAAGCAGCCAAGGAGGCCAAAGTAAAATCACAGTAACACATAATGTAATGCAAAGGAAATGCTCAGAATGCACAAATTCCTGCATACAAAGGCAAGATGCTGATTCCCACCAAAGAGAAATGGAGTTAGCAATTGGAGAGGAAGAAATGGAGATACTCAACACTTAGATATGGAGTAAAGGAGGAGGACACTGGGGAGGAAGATCTCTGGGATGGAAAATGAAAATGGTTGTAACTTTCGCCCCATTGGTTTACTTTAAATCCAGCCTGTAGAATGAGAGAGTGTTTTTTGTCGTTGGTTTCTTTCTCCCTTCTTACAGCCCTCTCCAACATGTGTGGCATCTAGCATCTGGGTTTGGGTGGCTTGTTATTATCTCTCTAAACATATAGTTTGATATCCCTTTAATTAAAATGGTGACCATCACCTAAAACAACTTTTCTGGAGACGGACCTTGTAAACCCACAAAACCCAGGCATGGGTTTGTTGAACCTGCAGGCAGTTTTGTTTAAGTGAGCATTAAAGACTTGGCAAGCCCTCCATGCTCTCATTTACTTACTCTCTATTATCTATCCACTTAATAATTTCAGAAACTTCAATCAGACTCTGACCAAAAAAATCCACACAGTGCTTGGGGTAGAATGATAATACCATCTGTTTTCATTCTTATGTGGGTTCTTTCCAACAGCACAATCCAGCATTCTGGTTGCTTGCTTTAAATGATCCTGACATTATAGGTGATTTAAAGAAAACTCTCCTATGTCACTTGCCCCTTGCAAACATGCAGAATCTTTTTCCATGTGAAAAAGTCTAAAGTATTTTCATATTCATGTTGATTGCATTTGAATTCTATAGATAAATAGGACCAATGTGAAATACTAAAAAAGATCCAAAGCTGCCTTTTTTTTTTTTTTTTTTTTTGTAATGGTTGGTAAGACTGAAAGCTCTTCTAAGGAGTTTATTTGGCATGAGACTTCTAATTCTCTTTCCTAAAGTCTAGATGGCAATTTTTTCTTAAAAAAAATAAAATCCAAACCATCCCTAAAAATAGAAACTACTAACTTACTGAGAACCTTTTATATACTGACTTTTCAAATGTGAAGCTCTCCTTTACAGTATTCCTTAAGAATCAGATTACAATACTATTATCCAAGCCCTAGGAATAAACAGTTATATCGTTTCCTTCAAGTCATGGTAACAACTGAGAATTGAGAGTGAAGGTCAAATGTTTTAAAACTCTTTGACACAGGAAGAATTAGCCAATGGGATGGAAAAATACATTCTAAATAATTCACTTTTGCAGATTTAACAATCAATATGGAGCACCATATGATAGCTATGGCTCCAACAATCTGTATCAATCATGAAGATTGGCAGTGGCAAGCTACACAGACCAATTTTTGTCATGCTACCACAGTCGACTTTACAGTCTATGTGTAACCAAGACTGACTCTGGTGCTTTCCCCGACACACCACACAGCCCCTTCCAAGATCTGCTTCCAACACATTCAAGGGCTTTTCTGAACCAAACCTGACTGAAAACCTTTGGAGACTGGCGCACAATTCTTACGATACTCCATGTTTTCCTTCCAAAGGCTGCATCTTTAATACATTATATTGGGTTTTTCCCATCACACATTTAATGTGTGAAATTTCTAAACTCTTCCCCTTCACTTATCTAAATTGAACTTTGGCAGCCAACAGTTAACTGTTGGAGAGTTGCTTAAAACGATCAAACCCTTACTAGATCTGATTGCAAGGAGTATCAGTGCCAAGATAGAAATTTCAGTCTTCATCATACACAAAATCAATATGTATGCTTCGCTCTGGAAAGAAAGCCACCTTGAAAATAATTAATAAAACATCAAAGCTGCACACAACTTCAAAAGTCCACACGAGACTGAAACATTTGAGGCAATTAAAAGAAATTACTAATTTATACAAGGTGGTACTTCTCTTCGAAAGGTATTTTCATATATATATATATATATATATATATATATATATGCAGCTAAGTGAAGACAAATCTCAGTTTTGGCTTCAAAATGGCAATTTAAAATCTTAACAACACACCCATAGCAATTCTGAATGTTACATTAAATACATAAGCTTTGAGAAGCCTTAAGAATAATTTGGAAATATTTAAATAATGTAAAAAAACCATAGAGAACTGCAACCTGTATTTCCATTGAATTATAGTGCACAGACATATTATTAGAATTTATATTTAAAAAGCATAACTTTTACCTTTATAATATGTACACAGATGAAATAACTTCCATAAAACACATGACAACAAAATACATTTCAACTATTAATTGTATTTTACTGTCCTACAAAGTTACCTATCGTTTGCTTATTTTTAAATCTTAAATAGATATGCTGTGTTTGATGGTGGATATTTTTAAAAACAGTTTTAAAAAAAGGTGACTAAGAAGTAACACTAGCTATGGAAGAGGGGAGAGAGAGAGAACTTTGTGAAGTGGGCGTGATAATACAGTTTGTACGAGGAGGAGGAGGTACCTGAAAAAGGAAAGCTTGACAGAAGATACGATGTTTGTTGTGGCTTTTGAATATGAGCCACAGTTATTGAACCTGTGATTACCTGGACAAGGGTAAGCAACTACATAGAGTGAAGGCTGGAAAGCTCTATTGGAGTGAGAGAGATAAGGGTCCTGTTTGCCTGGCTTAGGTGTTTAGACTTTAGCCTGTAGGCAACTGAAAGTCATTGAAGGCTTTCAATCAGGAGGATGACATAACCAGATTTGCATTTTTAAAAGATAACTGGCATCATCAGTGAGATAAATGGATCTGTAACAAGAGACAGGAGGCAGGGAGTCTGCTTGGGAGAACTCTGTGATACACTGTGACTCATGGTAAGAACCTCAAGTAAGGTAAAGGCACTGATATTTGAGAGCAATTATCTCTATGCTCTCCACAAAGCCTCAACTTCACATATTCAATGTGTTAATTTCCAGGAACTACAAGGGTTTTCGAAAACTTTATTTAGCATTTCTAGAATATGTATCTTTACAGAGCACTTTTTAAGGCATTTCTGAACCAAACCTCTCAACTTCCTTAGCAATGAAAGAATGTTTTATTGTCATTATAGAATTTTTTAATAGAAATATGGTTATTATGACTTAGTGTCTTTCATCAATGTCGTGAAACCATCAACTGCCCTCCTTCTCTGCTTACCATTAATTTTTTACACCTGATGATACAGCAAAAATTACAACTCTGCCCAGGTGCAATTTCTGTCTCCCTTCCCCCATGAGTTTTGCTCTGTTCAACATCACCTCACGTAGCAGCCAAAATGATGAAAAGACATGGCATTTGTTTAAATTAAGAGAAAAAAAAGTAGGGTGGATAGAAATGCTCTAACAATAAAATTAAAAAAAAAAAACCAGCTTCAGAATTTACGCAATATTTTCATTTTAAAGATAAAGTAAACTTGACCCAGCCAGGTTAAATGACTTGCCCAAGATAAGATCAACTGGTGAAAGGGTTTTTCTGCCAAGACCACAGGGAACCATCTAACTGTTAACCCATACTTCCAAAGTTGTTCATGTCATAAATTATAACAAAGTTGTTAAATGCAACTTTGAGGAAAGTTATTTTCCAAGGACCTACAAAATGTATGACATGAAAATAAATAGTACATTTTTGCATATTTCCTAAATTAAGGGGGATGTTTTTATTGTTTTATTTATTTTTATTAAATGAGAGAACAGTAATTTGGTATTTATTCACAAAGTTGCATTAATAATATCCTAATCCTGCAACGACACTGAAACACTAATTTGAAACCACTGATTAAAAAATTGTTTTCTTGGGTCCAATATGTATACTAAGGAGATCAGTCATTAAATTAATATAGTATCAATATACAGACAAAGTATCAATATATAGTATCTATATATACTAAGGAGATCAATCAGTCCTTTGGTTATTGATGATTTATATGTTATAGCATGATTGAGCTGGTCAACTCTTCTTTTTGAGATACCTGATTTTTAAACACCTTTTTTTGTAGTTACAGTCGAGAGCCGATCTGTATTTTAATAAGTGATTAAACAAGTGTAGCACATTAACATCCTCATAATTCTACCTATGAGTTTTAAGATAGCGTAATTATTCCACAGGAGAACTAAAAGTAATTAGTAGATAAACTTTCTGTGTTGTATACAATTACTACTGCTTTATTTTTTCAGAGTACAAGCAATGTAAGGCTCACAGAGGAAACTTTGGAACAATTATATATTGTTTTAACTTCAGGAATAAGTTCATACTACTTTTATTTCCTATTACAATTTTTAGCAAAATTGTATAAAGTTACTGGGAAGGCAAATTACTGCATGTAAGATAAAAATATGTTTCTGAGAGGACAAAATATCTTGAACTGAAAAGAATGCCTCTGTGTATTTTAGTCAGAAACAGTATTAATAACTACATGACACAAAAACATGTGAACACTTTGGAAAAATATTTAGTATAGATTAACCATTTCTATGATTGCAATGCTAACATATAGGAACTCAATAAATAAATGTTGAATATCAAATTAAAATTTGACATTAACTAAGTGCCACAATGTTATCTCCTACAATGATATATCTCTTAAATTTTCCCACATTTCAAGAAAGTAACATCACGCTCTTAAAAAGATCAAAATGAAATTTGGCTTAGTTGACTTTAATTTTTGTGTGCATTTATGTAGACAAATATAATTTTTATCTGCATTTGAAACTTTTATTGCCAATGCTGGTTTCTATTGTCTGTCTATTTACTTCACCCAGGACTATGGACTGTGTGTTGAAACTTCCAATGTTTGAAGATCTGCTTCTTTGCCCTCTGAACTGTAAGTCACTTTGGTTCCAAAATATTGTTTGCTGCATTCTGATTGATCTGTGTGTTTTTGCATCTTCCCCAGGATTCTACAGCTATGGCACATTGCTTAAACCATGCAGAGTGAGCACAAATATTTGATAAGCAAAGCTGAATTTTTAAAAAGTCTTTTAGGGGGAAGAAATGGCATTGTAGCTACTGTATGATTTTAATACATCTCATTGGAATGGCTAAGTTAAAAAACAACAACAACAATGAAGATTGCCAAAAAAGTAAACAAAAAACAAACTTTAAGGACAAATTCCATGTACTTGCACTTATGTGAGTTAGAATTATTTTAGCCTGCTCTCTGTAATTATTAGCAGTAATACGCTTATTAACTTGTGAATTTAATACATATGGCATCAGTGTAAAATCCAATGATGATATCAAGAGAAATCACAAAATGATCGTTTTCTCTCTTTATCCTAAGCTGAGCAAGGAACCTTTCCAAACAGTGTGAACTCATTGGCTTCCCCATAACTCTACAGAGCTCGCGCTGCCATATAACTGGGAATCAGAGAGGTGAGGTCATTTCATCACTCCTTGCAAAAAAATGCAAAACGTCTGCTAAAATCTGACTTCATTTGATTTACTCTCCAAGACTGTTTTTTATTAAATATGTTTGACTGCTATCTCTAATTAAATGTAGAATTAATTTTGGCAAACTAACCACAGATGCAGTTTATGTTCAATTTTATCAGACAGATTTATTTATAAGCTGTCAACTTCTTGAAAGACTTCATTTTGGAGCAGTTTTAAATTGCTAACAGTAGCTGTAAATGGAGCTACTGTTCTCTGGAACACTAAAGGAAAAGTATGCTATAAATGTCCATTCCATCTGTGAGGAATCATAAAACAATCACATTCCTTTATTTTTTTTCCTCCGTAGGACCTTTATTAAATTAGTTCAACTCAATTAAAAATAACTTCAAAAACATTTCAGAGCCTTTTGTTTCATGGAATACTTGGAACTCTCTGCACGGAACGTCACCCTTTTAACTAATCCCTTTTACTAAATGGAGGAGAATAGTGGTATTGTGACTTCAGACAGTGCTTTCAAGGGTCTCTACTGTACCGAATTGAGGTCACTGCAAGACAATGCTCAACACCCAATAGCCATTCAAACGTTCTTCACAACTCTATCAAACGTGTCTTTCTTTCTCTCACCCGCTTTCTCTCATGGCAAACTCAGAGGACAATGGAAAAAGCCTCCAGCACCATTTATGGTCACCATATTTGCACATGACAAAATCTATTCTTCCTGGTTTGCCAACTCCCTGTAAAAAGAATGAACCCTGGGATAGATTTTCCCACCGTTACTGTTATTCAAACTTACTTTGTATTTAATTTTGTTGTTGTTGTTGTTAGAGGGCTGATGCATGGCATTTGAGAAGCTGACTTGCTATTTTCGAGCATGTGTAACAAAGCAGAGACTAAATGCAGAATTAAATATGTCACATTATAGCCAGCATATGCATGACGGAGCGTACAACTCAGGACAAAGCAGAGACAAATGATGGGACTGGAACTATTATACCTTGTCTTATTGTTTAGTGTTATCAGTATTATAAAACTCACTGTTTCCCTGTGAACCACCATGTCTGTGCCCCACAAGCACTATTTAGTTTTGCCTGGGAGTTTTTATGGCTGCAGCCACAAACAAACAAAATCAATTGCTGTAAATTTCTCTCACCAGGGCTGCTCCTTTCGAAAAGAAAAAAAAAAAAAAAAAAAAAAAAAAAAAAGATGTATCCAGAGCCTCATCCTCCAAACAAACAAGAAAGAACACATATTTGCAAGCTATATAGTAAAGTTGTTACAATTAAGATTTTGATTTTAATTAAGAATGGGATTTGTAGGACAATTAGTGAGATGTAATATTCTTTGCAAGAAACGGTGCCCTTATTGGAAATACCATATAAAATGGAATTGGGGGCATTTGGAGCTGCACAGAGACTTGTTTCTATGGATTTCTACAGATAATGAGAAGAAAAATACCAGCAAAATGTAGATAACTCACCTGAAATGCAGAAATATTAATACTGTTTGATCTTTTTTTTTCTTAGTTTTTTCTTCTCTTTAATTCAGGTCATAGTTATCTTTGCTGTTGAGATTTTAGTCAGGTGTCCTCTTACTATTAATATACTTTATAAATTCTTCATTTATTCTAAACCACTAATTATTAGAAGTATACCTCATCTCATTTGCTTTTATAAAGATTTAATTACACAAAGATATAATGATAGATTTAACGATAATAATGGCAACAAACTTCTCAGTTATGTTGGTCACGCTTAGCTGCCCTAACATTACAAAGAGGACTCTTTCTATTATTCTGTCATGTTAAAGAACAGAATTTGTGTAATTCCTTAAATGTTAGAATAACCTTTCCTTGACAGCATATAGATTTTCATGTGTTATGAAAACTAAAAATGCATTCCCTAATCAAACGGCTGATAATTTTTCAAGTGTATTCAATTTGTTATACAATACAATTTTTATTTCTCCTCTTCACCATAAGATTAAGCCTTAGTAAGCAAATTAAAGGACCTCCTTCCCTGAACACATGAAAAAATTGTAATAGTGACTATTTCATCAGTTATTATGCCGTGAATTACAAAGACCAAATATATATAATCACACATACAAGATTTAAAACATGTACTGAGCACCAACTTTCTGCAACATTTATTCTACAGTATTTTCTAAGCATATGCTATCTGCCAGGCATTGTACCAAGCCATGCTACAGTACAATACACATTGTAGATGCCTTAATGCAGTTTATAATCGGCTGGGAAAACATACAATTAAACATTTGTAATCACTCACTGTGAAGCACTGTAGGTGCAGAAATAGGTATAACGTTTTTTTCTCAGTTTAGAAGTCAAAAGGGGAACTTCCCCAGAACTATGGGAGGCATCCTGAGTGTAACTTACCACAGTTATTGAGTAGCCATCTGAAAAGCATCGTGCTAAATTTATTAGGATTGAAAGGTGAAAAACTTAGAATATAGCTATAGCTGGGGTTTGGGAAAGAGTAGAGGAGAAGCAAGAAGGAATAAAATGTAAAAACACAAGGAAACAGTAATATGTCTGGATCATAATGAGGAATAATTAGTGGCCCACTTTATTTCTAATGAGGCTATTTATATGGAATTAGGGCAAAATAGGTCTGGAAATCTAGGCTGGAGCCATAGAGTACTTGCTGGTCCTTAAGTGCTACCCTTAAGTACAGCTGACTCGTGTGGGACGAGATAGAGAACTAGAAAAACAAATTCCAAGGCTTCTTCAGGATCTCACCGGAGAAGGAATGAGAGTCTGGTGTTTCTGCAGTGCAAGAGGAAAGGAGGAAAGGCACTGAGGAGATAAAAAATCTGTATGATTTGGAAACCACAGATATGGTGGGCAAAAGAGGAAGTAAGTCAACATGATCTGAACAGGTTTACATTAGTCTGGATGTATCTATAAGGTTGAACTATGTGAAACTGCCAATCTAAAATATCCAGGTGATATTTGATCAGAGGCAGTGGAGAAAGAAGAGCAGTCCAAGGGGATAAATTCAGTTTGTGTCTAGATTCAGGAAGCAGAAGGGTGAAGTGGAGTCAGTAAAATGGTTAAGTGAAACAGTCTACTGTAGAGATGGGATTCTGACTTAATTTCCTTAATATCACAGAAAAACATGGGAGAGCTCCTGACTTTTATCTCCAGTGTTAGCTTCAAAATAGATTTCATATCTTGAGTATCTCTCCAAAACCTAAGATTCCTGATTCTTTATTTTGCTCCTTCATTATCCTTTAATTAAATCCCTTATGTGTGATATTCTTTAAAATGAAATCTTAGTTTAAAAATAGTCCTCTATACATTTCATTTCAGAATCCATTATGTCAAGGGAAAATATTGGAAGTAAAATATGAACATGGCACATTTCAACAATTCAAACGTCCACTACCAGTTACAATAACTTTGCTCTTGTTATCAGCTGTCAGCATTAGTTTCAAAAGTGGTGCTCCTCATGCAGTTTCTAATCATCTTCTCCCTCCCATTTTATTCTAGAACTCCAGTGTAAACCCAAAAGGCATAAACTGCCTTTTAATAGTTGTTCTGTTATGCATAGCCCTAACCTATCACTACATGTTTTACATTAATACTACAAATGATACATCTTAACTATAGTTATCTTTTTACTAATTGATAAGCTTTATATAATAACAATGATGCTAACAGAAACCTTTAAGTGATTATATTTATATAAATCACTTGGCTATCTGCCTTTTTCACTTTCTAACTACCTTGTGGAAGAAGTGTTGTTAACATCATACTCTCACAATGATTATGTGAGACACAGGCTGACTTCAAAACCACAAGGACTACCTGAAAAAAGAGGGCGCATGTTCTTAGCATGGCTGACGTATACAGCCACCACTATCCTACTGGATTCCTCTGTTCAAATTAAAAAGATACTTTCTTTTGCCTGACCTTGCCCAGCAAGCAAGAGCATGGCCAGGAAGAGGGGCAACAGATGCCTTTCAGCCTGTTCACCCTGAATTCATCCCCTCAATGGAATACCTTTGGGCCATCTGAAAACTACACAATGTAATGTGGGCTCATGCCAGGGACTCTGCTATATGTGCCCCAGATACACTATCTCAGTTCATTCTCACCATGGCTCTATGAGTTGGATACAACTTTGTGCCCACTTTACAGAGGTCAACTAACTTGCCCACAGTCATAGCTAGTCAGGGGAAACATCAAAGTTGTCAGATGGCAGCGTGACCTCAGAGCCCTCATTCTTAGCTTCAACAAATTATTGGAAGTATCATTATGTTAAACCAGGACTTTATTTCATATATTTACATAATTATATTTTGTTAATTATTTGGCTATAATATATACGTGTGCTAATAGTTAAGGGCTAAGTCCCACATACACCTTAGAAACTACTATTTTCTTATGTAATTACTTCCTAATAAATGGGAGAGAGGGAGATCTAGAAAGATGTCTCACCAACGTAATTCTTATAACAAAATGAAATTTGTTATATTTGAAAGAAGAAAAGTTCTTCATTTTGGAAAGAAAAAAAATCTTGTCATTGACAAAGAAGAAAAACTAATATTAAGTTTGGGTAAAGAAATTAACTGTGAAAATATCCCTCCCTCTGACACCCTCCTCAAATAAAAGCTTACACAGCACACATAAATTGGTAAAACAATCCCCACAGGTAAGATAAACATCATAAGTTGTCCACACAGACAAGAACGGATATGCTAAAAAAAAAAAAAAAGTATTTGAAATTACACTACAAATATTTTACTTGGTAGTAAAATACTTAAAGTATTTCTCAGCTCAGACTACTTTTGCCAAATCAGAAGTTTTCTTTTGCGTGGTTAAGAAAGCCAAGAGTATTCAAAATATTTTTTAAACGGTTCTACCTATGATTCCCTCTGTTTCCAGTGGAAGCATTGGCAAACACAATTTGGCTGTTAAGGGAGGGGAAAATGCAGTACATTTTTTTTTTCATTGTCAAAATATACTCTTAGTTAAGAAACCCCTAGTTGGAAATAATTGAAAATCTGTGAAGTATAATAAGTACCTACCCAGACTACATAGACTCTCAGAATTTGTTTCTCCTAAGACATGATTACAGAATCAACTCAGGACACAATGCTAAATTCCTACAGTGCTTGTAAAAACTGCCACAGAAACAGCAAATCTATTTGCTAGTTTTTAAAGTAATCTTACATTACTTGAATGTAATGTCATGTAAAATTCTATATAGAATTTTGTAAATAATGAGGGGCAGGGGGAGAGGGAGAGAATGAGAAAGAGTAAACTGTCATGTTTTAAGAAAAACTAGTTTAAAAATACACTCATGAAGCTAGTCAGAAGAAGAACATTTCAGAAATGATTCTCCTGGTACTGATATTTCACCTACAAACCCAATCTTTTGTTTGTACTATATTATTACTTACTTGTTCACTTCTAGTAACTATATTCTTTCTATGGAGTTTGAGTGGTCTGAAGGCCCAGGAGACAGTCAAAACATTCAGCAAAACAGTTAAGCTCTTCTATTTTCTTTCTTTACATTAGTCGTTACATATAAACCCACTAAGGTTAGGAAGAATCTCCAAGCTCAAAGAAAATGTAACTGTGAGACACAAAAACACAGTCAAATATTCAAGGTTTAGAATATTATGTTCATTTACTCGAATAATCTTTAAATTTGTCACAAGTGGTATTTCAACAATAGTTCGGAATGTACCAATCAAAAAGAGGGTTCTAAGATCATTAAACAAAAATGGCATACACATATCGTGTTTTCACAAAACTTAGAGTGACCTTTTTCTAAATTATTTAAATATATGTTTAATTAACTCAGTACTAAGGGCTCATGCATATGTTTCTACATGTTGGACACTGCCCAGACAGTTACAGTACAACCACATGCTTTAAGAATTATCAAGTGTGTGTTCTCTGTCTCTCTCTCTCTCTTTATATTTTAGAATTGCTTATCATTATAGAATGGTAATAATAATCCTAATTATTGTTCCAGGAATTGCCAAAATTTTATCATAATTTGAGTGAAATGCATAAGAAAAAAGGACACATTGACAAATTTTCAAATAGAGATGTAATATTTCATTTGTGACATCCACTGTTACACGTACATTCAAAGGAATAATAATAATTGATTATGTCTCTTACCTTTATTACTCGTCATCTCTTGCTTCTATTTTTACCTTGAGTGTTTATTAAAGTGTACAGAGTAAAACCAATAGGGTGCTTTGCCTACAAGTGTCAGGCAGATTTACTTGGTTACCAAGGTACAAAGGTCTACACGGGGAGGATGAGTTTATTTTATCTTTGACAAAATGATTAAAATGGCAGATAATATGCTTTTCATTTTGCTGAGAGCAAATACTTGAAAAGGAATTGTGAACGTGGTATATTGAGAATGCAATGACCTTCAAATTAAGGCATAACCCTGGCTTGTAAACTCTGAGATCATTTAATTTACTACTGTAGATATATGTTTACAATATGTAGAATATGCCTCTTTTCTAGGAGCAGATTGTTAAACATTTTTTTTTTGTATAGGAAATCTTCCTTTTAAAATATTGTTGGGGGTTAGTATTTTAAAATAAACCACTCTAAATATTCACATCCTCTATTTATATGAATAACAGGAAAAAATAAAAGCATCTCTTATTTCTCCCCCTTACTAATAGAACTAACAGGGTCTTGGGTGTAATGAAGGAAAGGCAGGCTCTTTAGCCCTCAACATTCTTCCAACTAGTGAGTTTCTAACGATATCTCAGAAATGGGCCAAAAAGCAGGAGGAAGCACTTGCATCCCCCAGGAAAGCTACAAGCAATGGGTAATAATCTCTGCTATTATATTTTAGAAATACTAAGAGAAAGTATAGATATGTCTTTTCATTAATCTCATCTTTAAAAAAAAATCAAGGATATGTCAACACAGGGTTACTGAATCAAAAACATATTGATTGATATTACATATTTTTCAGCATCAATTTAAGAGTAAACATAGATTTTAGGGAAAACTGATGCATTTTGAAGATAGGCTTTTCCTTACCCCTGTAATTATAAGCTCTGAATAAGCTGTCTTAGAATTGTCTATTGTTGGCATTTACATAGTGTAGCAAAAGTTTTTCATTTTAATAAGAACAGTCTACTATCAACTATTTTCACTACTAAAAGCTGCTTTAGTGAGGTTTGCATGGGCATTGACTTACCACAACTCTGCACACGCACCTTTTCAATCAATAAAAGATAATAAAATATTGATTGGTGAACAAGAGAAGCACCGAGAGAAAACACACATATGAATTTGATAACTTGAATCTAAGCAAATATTCTAGAGATCTGATATTAATGAAGATGTGACTTACTAGATGCGAAAGGGCTCATTTTAGTCTTTTCTTTTCTCTACTCACCCTTTAATCACTACCATTTCCGAGTATTTGTTGTTTCTACTTGAATATGGCTATAGATTATACTGAGAAGACATCATCTTATTTCTAAATCAATCATTCTTAAACTTTTCCAATTCAACACATTTGAGGAACATTATACAATCCTACTGATAACAGTGGATTATGGCAGTAAATTTTAATTAGGGGGATATTTTTCAAATGAGGAAAAGTATGATTTTAAAAGTGCCTTCTTCACTGGCCTTCTGAATCACATCCCATGGAAAGGTTATATCACATGGATGTGAATCATTGCCAATTTCTTTAAGAATGAAACAGGATATTCCACTATTGATGTTTATGCCTGAGACGCCTACAATAAAAGTGCTGATGACTCGTTAAAGAGAATTTAGATAACACCAGTTATATACTCCTGGTTGCAAATGAAAAATACTGGTTTCATCCAAAGTCGGTAATATCTCAATGTAAAAATACCCATACATTTTCAGAAGATAAAAATATTAGTGAAGTAGGAAGATAAGAGAAATATAATTTCTAGCTGATCAGTAATTCCTTATTTTAGTCCTTGCTTCTAACAAATTCCTCCATATATAGGAAAGAGCAGATTTTTCTGCTTCATCCTAAAAAACAAAGAACGATTGCTACTCCCTTCCCCCCAGTTTCTATATACAGTCACTAAGATCCATCTGCATTACAGTCGTCATTACAAATGATAGCTTTGCCAAATCTAGTCCCACAAATTGATATATTGGAAAAACTGGCATGAATATTTTAATGCCCTGCCATTCTAAAGAATAAGCTTTAGGCTTTATATTTATACATGAATATTAGGAATGTATACATGACTATACATGCATGTCTTTATACATTCAGGAACAGAACATATAATCAAATAGAAAAATTAAATGTTTGTTAAATTATTTTTATAATTAACTACAGAGCTATATTGTCATCTTTGATAAATGTGGGAAATTGAGGCACAGAAGTACCCTCTAGGTGATAACCAAACAGCATATGACAAAGAGCAGAAAGACTGGTAAAACGCCCAGGCCTTATGTGCTTTCCTCTCTGGTCTAAACACCAGATTGCCATAGAGATTCCTATAAGGAATTCTTTAAGATGAGACCTGAATAGTTAAAGTAAATGAAAGATGCATTCTGAATATGGGAACTCTCAGCTATTATATTCCCTTCTTCATTTCTGGATGGTTCGTTAGCCCTCCACAAGTGTTTGGTACAATAAAGGAGCTACAAAGTGGTTCTAATGACTTTTCCAATTATTACACTTATCTCTGTTATATAGGAAATGGAAAGCAGCATGTAGGTATTTTTTTCCTTTATTCAAGGAATCAATACGTAAGACCACGTAAAACAACTTAAGAATGAACCAGTATTCTTAAAATAAGACATTTTAATGACTAAATATTTTAGATGTTTAACAGCATTGTAACATTTCATTTAAAATGTCTAGAAATCCCCAGAATATGGAGACTACCCCATTTTTAAAAACTGCATTTTTATTAAAAGCCTATTAAAATATTGTCCTTCTCTTTTCATTTACTTAGATCTTGAAATGAAAAACAACAAATCTATAGTTTACAAGTGCCCTTTCCAAATCCTTACCTTCAAAATCAGTGAAAGTTATAATTTATCTCACTTTGGAATGATAGTTGGCTAACGAAAGGGAAGCATAAACTCACATTCACTTACATTTCTATGTGACCACTGAGAACGCTTGTAGAATTATAAAGTGCTCTTTCTTACTGTTTGGTCAAAGACCACTGACTAAATCATCCCAAGAGCTCAAAGAGACATATGTAATGCCAGTAAGTGAGACGACAAAATTATATATTAGTACAATTCCATGAAAAGAAAATATTTAAAAGTGAGAAAATTACTGTACAGTCAAAGGAGCCTTCTCAACAAAAAATCCAAATACTGGATATTCCAAATATTTCAAATACTCAGATTACAGTATGGCCAAAATATAGACATATTTTACTATACCAATAGTTTCATTATTATTGTTAACAATTCCATTTTACCCCATATACTATCAATGTAAGATAGAGCAAGATCTGTGCTATAGTACTTTCAGGGTAATTGATGACACAATGTAGGCATCCTGAAAGCAAATCCTGAGATAATGGGGAAATGATATTTAGAGACAGAATAAATTACAAAACACTGAAACATCTGAACTGGAGCTCAGAGTGCTTGGGAGTGGTGGGAGAGGGATGTCACAGAGCACCTGACAATCAAGACTGCTTTTTGTGTTTTCAGCCTTCAAGTTGACAGAGAACTGTCGACACCTTATGGAAAAACTTGAAAAACATTCCAATAAGCAAGAGTTCTGCTGCTATATTTTCTTAACTTCCTGCCTTATAATTGTTATTCAGAGCAACTTTTAAAGAACAAAGCCCAAGTGTTTTCTTAAGTTTGGTTCTATGTTCGCCAATTCAAAAAAACAAACTTGTTTTCTGACATTGCCTGAGAAGAAATCACAATGTTTCAGAGATTCTTGACTTCTCAGCAGAATACACCATAGGTACTGATGCTTTCAAATATCACAGGGCTTGTATTTAAGCTGAACACGCAATAAAGGGAATAGAGGATGAATGAAACATAATTATATGTTATAACCAAGTTACGATATATTATTGTCATATACTGTATCATTGGTGTTTTTCTACTTAAAGCTAGTGGCTAAATTTCAAATTTGAGAAGTTTCTAAATGGAGAAAATAAAAATTAGAATTAAAGAAGCATAAAGTAAATAGAGAATGCTATTTTTTTTTTTTTTTTTTTGAGATGGAGTTTTACTTTGTTGCCTAGGCTGGAGTGCAGTGGCGCGATCTCGGCTCACTGCAACCTCTACCTCCCAGGTTCAAGTGATTCTCCTGTCTCAGCCTCCCAAGTAGCTGGGATTACAGGCACACACCACCACACCCAGCTAGTTTTTTTGTGAGAATACTATTTTATAGCAAATTTTAATAAAATAGTCCCATAATCAGATGAGACAGAGGCAAACGGCAGAAATGACTTACTAGGGTATGATAAATTCATGCTAGGATTGAAAATATAATCTTTTTTCTTTAAGAGACACCAATCATTAAGCTTTGATATCAGAAAATCCTAGTTAGGTGGATGTTTTTGGGGTCATCTAGCCATTTCTATTTTCTAACTATTCTCTTCCATTTCCACAGACCCCTCCTTTTACACCTACTAAAATTCTACTCTTCCATTTAATACGAGTTCCCCCAGGATACCTTACTTGATCTCTGCAATTAGACTATTAACTCTTTCCAAGACATGGCTTACCTATCCAGCCTCTGCCTAGATGCTTTTAGGGATGGTGTTTACTGCTTGACAAGGCACTGCATTTTTAAACTACTATACATCCTAGAAGATTCTTTCTCACAGTGAGCCAAATTGAACTCCTTATACTTTTAAAATGTAATCAGTAAACATTTGAAGCCCATTTGACCTCAAGAACATCAGTTTTCATCTCACTCCTATTCCTGAGAAAAATTCTCAGATTACAGTAAAGTAAGTATGGCTAAACTTCTCTGATTCATTGTCTTCTCTTTCTGCTATTCTGGGGAAAAATAAACTCCTAAAGAAAAACTTACTGACTTGATTTTTCAGGCTTAGGGTACAATGCTGCGGAATTTTTTTTTTTCCAGTTCTTAATCTACTTTAAAGATCCCACAAACGGAGACTCTCCTCCTACAAACAGGGTTTTGCATTATTTAGGAAGCAGAACATTATTCTTCTTATTCAGTCTCAGTAAGTGATGCCTCCTAATCTTTAGGGGCTGAACTACCTGGCAGTCCCCAAAGTGGATGCTTCACCAATAAATGCCGCCTCAATATAGATGCTCACACCCAAGAAGCCTGCAGACTCTTTGACTGGAAGAAACTGGTTAGACCTAAGTCTTGGGTAGTAAATTGAGGGTAAAGCCATTTTACTAATACTGATGCATCTTCAACCAGCCCTCAATTAAGGACCTTCATCCAAGCAACGGATACAAAAGTTTCATAGACAAAGTACAGATACCTGTGTAAAAACATCTGTAATATGGACAAAAATGTCCACAAATTCCTTTCATTCCTATATAAATATTCCATTTCAATGTGACTTGGCATCTATTTTTCCACCACCAAATCTTGTTCTGGGCATGTTTCTTGCTTTAGACCAATAAATAATAGCAGTAGTCCAGAAAAGTGCTTGTGCATTGGAACTTGTCTTTTCTCCTTGGCCTTTAACGCCACAGATTGACATGTGAAGAAGCCTAGGCTAATAGACTAGAAGGTGTGAGACCACATGGTGAGCGGCCCCAAGGATCCAAGCAGTCTCAGCCATCTCATCTTAAAAAATCATGAGCTAAATAAAAAAATCATGAGCTAAATAAAAAAATCATGAGCTAAATAAAAGGGGGGCTATTTCCAACTAAAGTTTCGGAGTGGTCTATTAATCATCAAAAATGCTAACTTGATACAACACCTTATCTGATGTACTAATCAATACTTTGTCACTACGGGTGCCCTATCAGTCAAAATGTCACTGAATTGGATGTTCTATAAAAAACCTTCAAAGCGGCTGGGCGCGGTGGCTCACACCTGTAATCCCAGCACTTTGGGAGGCCGAGGCGGGCAGATCACGAGGTCCGGAGATCGAGACCATCCTGGCTAACACGGTGAAACCCCGTCTCTACTAAAAACACAAAAAAAACTAGCCAGGCGTGGTGGCGGGCGCCTGTAGTCCCAACTACTCGGGAAGCTGAGGCAGGAGAATGGCGTGAACCCAGGAGGTGGAGCTTGCAGTGAGCCAAGATCGCGCCACTGCACTCCAGCCTGGGCGACAGGGCAAGACTCCGTCTCAAAAAAAAAAAAACAAAAACAAAAACAAAAATACTTCAACCATTCTCCATTCTGTTCAAAAAAGTTTCATCATATCAAAGAAATATTTTATATTGATCTATATTAATACTTGTCATCCTAGTTTCCCCCACAATTTATTTCTTGTCTGTTGAAAATATTTTGGTTGTCCTTTTTTTTTTTTTTTTAATTGAATAAGACTGCAATGGACGGTCTTGTACAAGTCCCGGGAGCTGATATGCTGGTCCTATAGTATGTGCTATTTAACTTCTAGATATTGCCAAATTGCTCTCCCAAATGGTTGTACCAGTTTCTACTGCCACTAAAATTGTAGAATTCTTGCTGCTCTTCACATTCACCAACACTTGGTATTTTCAGGCATTCATTTTAGGCAATCTGATGAGTTTGAAATTGTGTATCTTTTTTTGTTTGTTTGTTTGTTTTGGAACAAAGTTTTGCTCTTGTTGCCCAGGCTGGAGCGCAATGGTGTGATCTCGGCTCACTGCAACCTCTGCCTCCCGGGTTCAAGCGATTCTCCCGCCTCAGCCTCCTGAGTAGCTGGGATTACAGGCGCCCGCCACCATGCCCGGCTAATTTTTGTATATTTAGTAGAGAGGGGGTTTCACCATGTTGACCAGGCTGGTCTTGAACTTCTGACCTCAGATGATCCACCCACCTCGGCCTACCAAACTGCTGGGATTACAGGCATGAGCCACCACACCCAGCGAAATTGTATATCATTTTAATTTGAATTTCTGTCATAGCTAAAGTTGCATATCACTTTATTGAACATTTATGTTTCATATTCCATAAAATGTCTGTTTATTACCTTTGTCTGTTTTGCTATTATGTTGTCTTTTACCTGCTGCAAAATTGTAAAGTTCTAAATGCTTATTTTTTGGTGGCTTTTCCAATACCTCTCCACTATTAGTGGCTTTTTTTTTTTTTTTTGTATTTATTTAGAGGTGTCTTTTGATGTGTAGAAAATATCATTTACAAAATGCCAGATTTACTCATTGTTTCCTTTATGAAATCCTTCCTTAACCTGAGGTCATAAAAATACTCCTATTTTTGACAGTAAGATTTTTAAAGTTTTGCTTTTCAGTTTAAGGTTTTTGAGCCACCTGGGATTTATTCTGTCACCAGGATCTAATTTTACTTTTTCCCATATGGATAACCAATTGTCCTACCACCATGTACTGAGCAACCCATACTTTCCCCACCGGCTTTTAATGCCACCATTGCCACACATCTTGCATTCATATATGAATTTAACTATTTCTGGACTCTCAATTCTTCCCTACTCTGGCCCATAAGATTAACTCAGTGCCAACTCCACTCTGTCTAAATCTTTTAGCTTTATAATAAGTCATGATATTTTAGAGCAAGTCATGCCCAAATTTGTCCTCCTCTTCAAAATTTTCTTGGCTACTTCCTCTCTCCTTTTGTTTATCCAAGGAAATCATGTACAAGTACATCTTATCCTTCTGGAAATGATTGGTAATTGTCTTGAACAAAAAGATTGTACATTACAAATCTTCTTTTACTTTCTTATAATTTCTAGCCCCGAAACACACACACACACACACACACACACACACACACACACAGAGAGAGAGAGAGAGAGAGAGAGAGAGACAGAGACAGAGAGACAGAGACAGAGAGAGAGAGAGAGATTCCTTTCCTAATTATTGCAGAAAAAAATGGAGTCTCAAAAGAGCAAGAGAAAGGAAAAAGAAGTACAAATCCCCAGGTTTTATAATTAAACAAAATAGAATTGTAATTGTCTGTTTTCTTCCTTAACTCTATTAATATTATGTGTGGCAAATAGTTGCTTGATTCCTTCCTTCCTCATCCCATACAAAGTTCGGGGAAGTTTCATTGCCTGCTTGCCCTCTCCCTTATTTATTTATTTATTTATTTATTTATTTATTTATTTATTTAATTTTATTCTCAAACTTGAACACAGTCTGGGTTTTAGTTTCCTGATAGAAAATTCCTGATGCTTCTTCCTCTGCTTCTGGCATCACTTGGAATCACTTTGAATGTACTGTTTAAAACAACTTTTTAAAATTGTATTACAAGATTATCATTAACCAACTCTGATATGGTTAGGCAGTGTGTCCCCACCCAAATCTCATCTTGAATTGTAATCCCCAGAATCCCCGCGTGTCAAAGGGGAGACCAGGTGGAGGTAATTGAATCATGGGGCTTGCTTCCCCCATGCTGTTCTTGTGATAGTGAGTGAGTTGTCATGAGATCTGATGGTTTTATAAGGGGCTCTCCCTCCTTCACTCAGCACTTCTCCCTCCTGCCACCTTGTGAAGAAGGTGTCTTGCTTCCTCTTCACTTTCTGCCATGATTGTAAGTTTCCTGAGGCCTCCTCAGCCATGCTGAACTACGAGTCAATTAAACTTCTTTCCTTTATAAGTTACCCAGTCTCAGGCAGTTCCTTACAGCAATATGAAAATGGACTAATACAAACCTCTTACCCTAACGGTCATTCTTATTGATTAGCACTGAACTGGAAGATTAATTGTGCTCATTTTTACTATTAACTTTTACTTTTTGTTTTTTCATTCATCATGGAAAAAATTTTTAAACATTTTTTATTATACTTTAAGTTCTGGGGTACATGTGCAGAACATGCAGGTTTGTTATATAGGTATACATGTACCGTGGTGGTTTGCTGCACCCATCAACCCATCATCGACATTGGGTATTTCTCCTAGTGCTATACCTCCCATAACCCCCAAACTTTTAATTCTTACTGTGGTAAAATACACACAACATAGAATGTACAGTGTTAACTATTTTAAAATGTACAATTCTATGACATTAAGTACACTCACAATGTTGTGAAACCACAAACTCTACTTCCAAAACATTTACACCACCCCAGAAGGAAACCCTGTAAACATTAAACAGTCACTTCCCATTCTTCCTTTCCCTGAGCCCAAAAACCACCATTCTACTTCCTGTCTCTATGAATTTGACTACTCTAGATACCTTATATAAATGGAATTATACAATATTTGTACTTTTATGATTGGTTTATTTCACTTAGCACAATGTCTTCAAGGTTCATCCTTGTTGTAAAATGTGCCAAAATTCCCTTCTCTTTATGGCTGAATAATATTACATTGTATATTACACTGTATGTACAGACACATGTTATGTATCTATTCAACCATTGAGAAAATTTGGCTCACTTCTACTTTTTGGTTATTATTAGTGCTATTATAAATACTTGTGCAAAAGTGTGTGTGTGTGTTCTCATAATAACTTTTTGGTTATGATTAGTGCTGTTATAAATACTTGTACAAAAGTGTGTGTGTCTGTGTATGTTCATTTTTCTTGAGTATGTATATAGAATTAGAATTGCTATCCCATATGGTAATTTTTGTGTTTAATGTTTTGAGGCACTGCCAACCTGTTTTCTATAGCGGTTGCACCATTTCACATTCCAACCAGCAGTGTTTGAGGGTTCTAATTTCTCCACATCCTTACCAATGCTAGTTATTTTTTGTTTGTTTGTTTGTTTTAAATTCTGACTGTCCTAGTCAGTTGAAGTTGTATCTCATCGTGGTTTTGATTTGCATTTCCTTTATGACTAATGATATTGAGCATCTTTATAGGTACGTGGTGGCTATTTACGTATTTGGAGAAATGTTTATTCAAGTCCTTTGTCCATTTTTAAATTGGATCTTTTGTCTTTTTGTTGTTGAGTTGCAAGTATTATTTAATAACAGTAGACTTATTATATACAATTTGCAAATACTTTCTCCCACTCTGTGGGTTATGTTTATACTCTTTTATAGTGTCCTTTGCAGCATAAACATTTTGTTTTTTTATAAAGTCCAGTTTATCTATTGTTTTGATACTTGTGCACTTTTTGTCATATCTACGAAACAACTGCACAATTCAAGGTCATGAACATTTACCCCTATATTTTCTTCCAATAATTTTACAGGTTTTTTTTTTAACTCTTATGTTTAATTATTTGCTCCATTTGAAGTTTTTTTTTTATATGGTGTAAGGTAAGGGTCATCTTCATTCTTTTGGATGTGAATAGCCATTTGTCCCAACATTACTTTTACTTTTGGAGAAATTTAATCAGCAATAAAACAAGTCAGGAATGAATTAATTAGCTTCTCTATGAACAACCCTCCCTCATGTATAGGATTGGTACATAAATGTTTTACCTTCATAATATATATCACTACTGATCGCACTGTCATTTGATGTAGCTCTTCAAGCAAGGTGTCAACTTCCACTGTTGCATATTCCTCTGAAGTTTTATCCTACAGTATCTCACTATCTTTATTAAAATGTAAAAGTCTACTGTATGATTCATCTCCCATATATTGCTATGTAAACTTTTAAGCATATATGTACTTCACTTAATTATCCTCACTGTTACAATTTTTTCAGAGAAGTTCTGAGAATCTACACTATTCTATGTCACATCTATGATCTTCCACGGTTTCCTACTTTACCAACTTATTTCATTATTTTCCTTTTACTTTATGAATTTTAGTCACTAGAGTGGTGTGATGCTTGGAAGTAGGTAGGTACTTCCTACCTAGGTAGTAGGTGTGATGCTTGGAAGTTCGTATGTGTCAGTGAGTTTTCTAAGTCATTGTGAGTACTTTATTGCTAATAAAATTGGTTACAAGTTGGAGTTAACTAAAGCAATATCAATACACACATCCTTATTAACCACTTAGGTCTATAAACAACCTTTAATACTTCCAGCATGAATCCTCTATTATAAATTTCCTGCTCTTGGGGTTTCCAGTGGCAGTCCACTATTTTTACTCTTATCATAATTTTGCAGAGGCAATAGTGCTTTGGAAATATTTATTTTAGTATGCACATACACACACACGGTAGTTTTCAATTGCTTGGAAATTAGTATCAAGTTGACCCTTTAACTGAGTTGATTTACCCGCCCTTGCCCAATAGACTCCACCTGTAAATTATAGGACTTACTAACAGGACAAGTTTAGAGAACGGTCCAATGCATTTACAAATATGGATTTGAATGTTATCACTGTCTTGATAAACTAAATATTGTTCTTGAATATCAGAATAAATCTAGAATAAGAACAAAAGCAAAATTTGCCCTAGTAAAGTAACTTTTCTTTCCAGAAATGTGTATAGTTTCTTTGCCTTGAACACTCTCAGCTTCTCCAGACTCTCTCTCTTCCATCCCTCTCCCAGAAAAGGCAGACTTGTGCAGCTCCTGAACACATACTTACCAAGGGTAGAGGTAAGTAGGAGCTAATTCCCCACCAGAAGGAAAGCTCTGAAATTAGCCATGTGTCCATATGCTCAGACTGGCGCTAGCCCTGGGTATCTTATGTGCCCTCCACCCAAGTACAGCTTTCTTGTTCACTGGGTTTCAACGTAGTGTATGTCTAGCAAAATGGCTATTTGTTAGTTCTGGAATCATTCTTGATCTCAGTCTTCCTATCTAAGGCTCTGAGAACTTCTAAAATTTTTGTTTGCCACTTCTCTAAGAGGTCAAAACCTGATATCCATAATCCCCCAATCTCTGGCTAGGGTCTTATTCCAAATAAAGTTAATTTTCCACAATCATAACCCTGATGTGCAGTCTAAGTTCAATCTTTTCTTTCTGTAATAATCCACCTTCCAGTTGTGACATTTAAAAATATTCAGGCTGCATGTGATCAACCTCAAGATTGCTCTCTTGGAATTGTTGGCCCTACCCTTTGTGGGTGTTTTAGGCCGGGATTCTTGAGGAAACAGATCTTGAGATAGAAACTTGCATGCAGGAAGATTATTATTGGGATCAACAGCCTGGGAAGAAACAGGATTGGTCAGAGAGAGGAACTGCACTATGATATAATCCAAACTAAAGCTTCAGCAGATCATACAGGAGTCTCTGGATCAGTTAGATCTGTCCTGAATTCGGATGAAGGAGCTACTTTGTTCTCCCTTTCATTAATCAATCACTGGATGCAGAGTGCCCACAGTAAGAGGGTGTGACATGGAACAAAGTAGTTATTTCCTGATGTAGTGAGTCCAGGAGGGTGACTTGGCTGAGAGTTACTGGCTGCCAAAAATCCTGGCAGTTGGGGGAAAGGAAGCTTCAGTCTTGGGAAGGGGATCTGGGTAGCATAACATATCATGTACTAGAGTTAACTACATTTCAAATCCAAGCCACTATCCTATTGGTTTCTTGAAGATGTATTAAGTTTACTCACGGATGTAAATGCATTAGTTATGTCATAAAGTAAGAAAAGGCTTCCTCCTCCCTACACTGCCCCTTCATCAACAAATGGTGCTGATGGGATACTCCCCAATTCATTAATTAGCTGTGAGACAAGCTGTAAATCTTGTCTCTTATCTGCACCTTTGTTTGGTCAGCTGTAAAATGAGAAATTTTGATGTGATGAGCTCTGAAGTTACCTTCCAACTCTACTATTCTATGATGAGAAGCAAATTGTGTCAGGTTAAATGTTACACAAAAGCAGAAATGCTATTTATCAAATTTCGAATCTTATACTGAGGAGTGCTCTTCCTTTAAAATACTTCTCTAGTTCAGTTCTTTCTCCCCTTTCCTGCATCTACAATCTCTCCCTTCTTACTGGATCATGGAAAATAGAATATCAAACGTTCTGTTATTTCCCATCTTAAAACAAATAAACAACACTTCCTTTGATCTCCAAATCTCCCACTATTTTTTAGGCTCCTTATTCACAGCTACAATTCTTAACACCTCTAAACTCACTTTCTCCACTTCCAAACCACCCAACTCTTTCTTAAATTTACTTACTCCAATCTGCTACCACTCCCCACCATTGCATTGAAATTATTCTTTTCAAAGTTAAAAATGACTACATTTCACCAAAGTCAGTCCTCCATTTATATCTTGGCAGCATTAACACAATTGACTCTGCCATTCTCTCCTCTCCTGGGCTTCCTCCTACATCACTGTTTCTTTCTCAGTCTTGTTCCATTGCTCTTAAAGGTGATTGCCTCAAATTGTTCGGGGAACCCTTTTTTAATCTACACTCAGTTCAGGTCATCCCATAAAGGCCAGTGCCATCAGATGCCACTTTTATGTGCTTCTGATGAACAAATTTATGTCTCTAACCCAAATTTTTTCCACTGATCTCTGGATTCTAATATTTAATAAACTACTTGACATCTTGGCTTTGATATACAATAGGATTTTATACACTTAATAAATCCAAACAGAGCGCCCAGAACTCTTGATTTTCTCAAATCTGGACTTCTCAAGTTTTCCCAACTTCACTAAATGTCATCTACATATGTCTAGAGTCCAGTCCCAAAATACAGAGTTATTATTGATCTCTTTCCCTCTCTTACATCCCATCTGCTTCATTAGCAAGTCATGTCGGTTTTACCCTCATAATAAGCATTAATATCCACATTTTTCTCCACCTTTGCAATTACCATCTCAGTCCACAATTTATCAATTCTATTGCAATAACCTCCTATCAGGGCCTTCCATTTTTACTACTGACCTTCTCCAACACCTTCTCCACAGAGTGAACAATCATCTTTAAGAAATCAATGAGCTTCAGTCACTCACCCTCTTAAAATCCTTCAATAATGTCTACTGCTCTCAGAAGGAAAACTAAACTTCAAACCAAGTCTTTCCTTGATTTGGTTCCTGCCTCCATCTCCAATTTTATCTCCTAATTATGTTCCACACAAGTAACAATACTCCAGCCATACTAGCTTCCTTCCTGTGCCTTGAACATGGCAACACTATGATCACGTCCAAGACATCTCCCTTGTTTTTCCTTCCCCAGGAAAATCTTCCTCTACAATTCCTGTGAATGCCCCATTTGTATTCTTCAGTTCAAAGGAAACCTTTAGAAGCTCTATCCTGCCTCCTCTTTATTTCCTTCATGACTAACACTCGTTTCAATCTACAATTACCTTTTTTAACTTAATTATTGTCTACTTGCCCCAGTAGAACAGTCACCACAAGAGCAGAACTTCTTTTGATTTGTGTTTTCCCTGTTTGCAGTTCAGTTCCAGACACATAGTAGATACTCAATTCGTAAACCGTCGAATAAATGAATGACTGGACACTATACATCAAAATTCACCAGCAGAAAAAATAAGAGAAATACCTCTGTCATTCAAAATTAATATTGACTCTTTCCTCTGCAGATTCACAAGGGCAAAATGTGATTTCCAACCTGGTTCCTCCTACTATCCTATGCTTCTCACCTGCCTTATTAAGTTGGAAAGATTTGCTCAGGGAATGCAAGCTGTTCTTAACATTATTCTACAAGAAACATGATGTGGAGGATAGACCCATACCAATAAAAATCTCATCATTCTTTTAACAATATACAGAAAATTGGATTACTCAATATTTGAAATCATCTGCATACTGTTATCTTCCATTGAATGGGATTCTCACAAGTTGAGAATAAATCTCTGCAGCAAAGGATTTCCTTTAAGTACATCTTTCACTTGGTTCTATTTTCCAAGTATAACCCTGACATAACAAACAATGAGGTTCCAAATCTCCATTAAATTATCTATTTTTCCCTTTACTGAATACAGAATTGTTGTTTTGGCTAGAATTAGTCAGGCACAGTTAGTACAATAACACTCAGTGCCTTCCTGTGTAGCACCTGCTGCATGTTATTTATCTCTTGTTAACTACATAGTACAACAAATTGTGTCTTTTAACAGCTCATTGACTAGAGGAGGAAAAAGTGATGGCAGTGGGATTGTTGATAATGTTCAATGGTGTCAATACATTTCTTTTCAAATAACCAACTAGTAAATTTGCAATAACACCATTTGTTTCCCTGGAAAATGTCTCTGCCACATAATTTCCAATGACCTTCAGCCGACAGCAGCATGAGTAGAATAAGTATAGGAAATGACCCATGGCTTTAACATATTAGCAAAGGTGCTTTTAATTGGATAAATGCAGGATAGGGAAACAAATCAATTCTTCTTTTCAAAAATCTTAAAAATGTTAAGATGGTATATTCAGTTGTTAGATTTCCATACGTCATCTAGAGTTCTTTGGATTTAACAATATGGTTAAATAAAACACCATCAAGAAAACAAAATCTATAGTAAGAACTTTCCAGGGCACTACCATGTCATTGAAACATCTTCTAGAATAGCACAGTTGCATTAAAGTCTTCTCAATTTATGTGGACTCTCATTTGACAATTTCCTATCTTATCTACTAATTCAGTTTCACTGATGAGTAAGATCCAACAGTGTTTGAATGAAGTACAGGGCAGTGGCTACTAATTTTTTCATCTGTGCATTTTGTTTTATTATGTTAGAGACTCTAATTGAACTTTGTTCCAAGCTATTAACCTATGACAGAAGACTGTGGAGATAAGATTTCACTGACATACAGAACAAAGAAAAAGAAAGGGCGTGAAAATTACAATGACAAGGTTGCCTTAGCAGTTTTGAGGTGGTAAAATGAAATCCCTGACTAATAGGCCTAGCTAACATAGGAACGGTGAGGATGTGAAAGGGGAAGACAATTTCGGATTGAACCCACTGAGAGGCTTCTTTGAGAATCCATAATAGATACACACTGTTATTGCAAAGTTCAAATTGCAAAGCAAATTAAAGTATGCCTCTAATTGTTATAAGTTGTACAAGAGGTTCATATACAAGGAACAAATTAAGGAACATTATGAGTAAATTGTGGATATTATCTGAGCAGCCAATTTTTGTTTAAGAAAAGGCTAAAATCTTAGCTTTACATTTTATACATTATTCAGTTTTCTTGGCTTTCAGGATCTCAAACATCTTTAATAGTAATTCTTTTCTCAATATCTTTTTTTTTTTTCTTCTAAGAGCAGAGTCTCATTATGTTGCCCAGTCTGGAGTACAATGATGCAATCGTAGCTCACTTTAGCCTCACACTCTTGGGTTCAAGTGATTCTCCCACCTCAGCCTCCCAAGTAGCTAGGACTACAGCCATATGCCACCATGGCCAGCTAATATTTTTATTTTTTGCAGAAATAGGGGTCTTGCTATGTTGCCCAGGCTTGTCTTGAACTCTTGGCCTCAAGTGATCCTCACGCCTTGGCCTCCCAATATCATTATCTGAATTCACACTTGAACTGAAAATAATAAAGTATAAAAGCTTTATAAAATTGTTTAACCTATGAAAGAATTGTACATGGAGCTTTATATAACAACATCATATGAACAAACCAATCTTTTGTATCAAAATCATGTTCTGACTCATAATTTGAGTGATATTTCTCAAATATGGGGTAAGGAGTACATGCAAGATGGAATGGAGACGTGAGTTTAGTGTAGCTCATTAACACGGTCTTCTTCCTGAAAAAAAATGCCAATGTTTTCCTTCCTAGCCAGCATATGTGAAGACTTCTGATGAGACAAAAATTGCTAAGGGAAGTCTTAGAGGTTTAAAGCTGGAAGAAATAAAGCTGTGCAAGCATTGTTTTCCCAGAACAAGCCAGAAGGGTACAGGAAAGTTTTGAGTCTATTTTATAACCAAGTTTTGAATCTATTTATTTTAAAAATTTAATGATTTCAAATGTATCCTCATGTAAATAGTAGATAGAATTTTATCTATGTTATTGGTTGGCTCATTGTGAACATGCAAGCAAGAAAGTTTATGGAATGTATGTCAATAATGGAAATGAAAAATTTACATGTTGAGATACATAGAAATTAGAAAATATTATCACAATAAAATTAGTTCAAAAATTCCATATCAAAATGACTAATATTAGGTTCAATTATTTATTCATTTTAAGTGGTAAGAAACATTATCTACAGGTTTTATTCATCTGAAAGCCAAAAACTTATTTTCCCATTGGAAAGGATACTGTTATAATCTAGAGGTAACTTCTGGGAAACTAAATACACACCTATAAGATACCATATCAATCTGACATTATACAGATTCAATTTGAAAAACCTCTAAAAATTTACTATAAAATAATGATGTTTAGGGAAAAATTAAGTAATTTATAGTATCTAGGGCATATAGAGAATGCTTGGTGACATCATTATCATTATTTTTATACAGTTTCACTACAAACAATGATTAACTCAAAGTTCATGATGATGGCAATATCTACTATTCTGCTTTCCCATCAGTACATGCCAGTGAGGAGTGTGTGAGCCATTTCTGGCCCCAGCAACAGAAACAGTCCCTTTTCAGAAATGTCTCTGCCAAAGGGCATTTTTGCAGATAAGCTCATATTAAGTCAGAGCACTGGCCTATCTTGAAGACAATATTATGTTCCAATATAACAGTTGGGTTTTATGTTCAATTGTTTTATTCCACGACAGCCAAACAATTTGGAACCTTGATCACCAGTAAATACAATTGCAGACTGCTTTTGTTTCACCCAAGCAGCATATAGTCCTGTCAGGTTTGAAATATTATTTTGAATTATTCAGATCATTACTTTGGAACAGTCTCTAAGTCTCTATATAAAAAGAATACTATCAAGAAAAAGAGACACAGTATATCATCTACTGAAGAATGGAGGCAGCCATCATTTTGGTCCATCTGATAATGTCATTTATATCATTGGTAGCTGAAAACTTCATTTCAATGCCTCCATCTTACCTTATCTGCTATACCAAAGGTAAACTTGCCCCTAAAGCACATTTGTTTAAGGTTCATACTATCAGTTTTTCATCTAAGTCCTCATGCTGAATAAAAAACAAGGAAATGATTTAAAACCATTTTTTGGCCAGGCACGGTGGCTCACGCCTGTAATCCCAGCATTTTGGGATGTCAAGGTGGGCAGATCACTTGAGGTCAAGAGTTTGAGACAAGCCTGGCCAACATGGTGAAACCCTGTCTCTACTAAAACTACAAAAATTAGCCAGGTGTGGTGGTGCACACCTGTAATCCCAGCTACTTGGGAGACTGAGGCAGGATAATCACTTGAACTGGGTGGGTGGAGGTTGCAGTGAGCCGAGATCATGCCACTGCACTCTGGCCTGGGTGACAGAGCAAGACTCTGTCTTAATCAATCAATCAATCAATCAATAAACAAACAAACCCATTTTGCTTTTCAGGACATTTCAATGAAACCATTCCAAATCTATAAACCAGTAACTAAATATATTGTGAAATATAATACAATTACATAACATATGTAGTTGATAAACTTCAACTTGCACATAAACTATATGCAATATCACCTCAACTCTAAAGTAATTATTCCAGTTTCCGAGTCATTTTATGTTACCATAGTCAGAGCAGGAGAATTAATGGTAATTTTCTGATAGGGAAAGCATTCAGAATAAGTTTTTTTCAGAGCCAAAAAGTACAGAAAGAAGCTTTGGTATCATCATAAACAATGTAAGAATCATTCCTCCCTGACTGTTTTCACAAGTTAGGAAATTATTTCATTCTTTTCCCCTAATACTTTAGAATATCTTCCTTACAAACGTGTTGAAGGAAATACAGTAGCAAACCTTTGCCCTTGGGATAGTCAAAGATGTCTCAGACATGATATAAAAAACAGAAACTATAAAAGAAAAAATTGATAGGTTGGATTTTATATAAACTAAAATCATTTGCATTTTAAAAGGCAATGTTACAAAATGAAAAGACAAGTCAAGGAATGAGAGACTATATTTGCAATGCGTGTATCACACAAACTGGTAATTAGAAAAAAAAAAAAAAATTAGCCCAACACACCAAGTCCTAACAAGTCAATAATTAAACAACCCAATCAAAATGGGCAAAATATTTAATCAATAAGGTTGATTACAAACAAGAAGAATCTTCCTCAAGTCATTGCTGAAAAACTATGTAAACAAATGGGACTGTGGATACTTACAAAACATTATTCTATTGGGGAAATATTCAAAACTATACATGACATCTAGAGAAATGAAGCAACGGGAAACGTAAAATAATTCATGTGAAATGTATCTTCTAAGGATTATAAAAACAAAAACGTCAAATGGTTAAAAATAATAAGAGAAGCCAGGCGTGGTGACTCATGTCTGTAATCCCAGGACTTCGGGAGGTCGACGCAGGCGGATCACCTGAGGTCAGCAGTTCGAGACCAGCCTGGCTAACATGGTGAAACCCCCGTCTCTATTAAAAATACAAAACTTACCTGGGTATGGTGGTGAGTGCCTCTAATCCCAGGTATTCGGGAGGCTGTGGTGGGGGAATTGCTTGAGCCCAGGAGGCGGAGGTTGCAGTGAGCCGAGATCGTGCCACTGCACTCCAGCCTGGGCAACAGAGTGAGACTCGTCTCAAATAATAATAATAATAATAATAATAATAATAATAATAATAATAATAATAAATAGAAGCATATTAGAACTCATTTAAGATTCCAAAGGATGAGAAATACCCTAAAAGAGATTATAAATTTGATTAGCTGGTTTCCAACATCAATGAAATCAATACAAAAATCAAATGAGCCAAAATTGTCACAAAATTGAGGTAAGGTAAAGAAGAATCCTAGAAGTATTGAGGTAAAATTAACAATCCTAAGTGGAACAAATGAAAAGTAGTTAGGACAAGCATTTCATCATTTATACTATTCCTCTGGCACTGTGCCTAAATCTGTTACTACTGGATACCTAATAATCCTCTTCTCTAATCCTTCCAACCAAATTTTGTTTCTTCTACCCAGAGTATGTTATGCCTCATGACAACAAGCTCTTACAATCCACCTCAAACACAACCAAAATGTGAGTATCTTTGGGGCAGCCACTCTCTTCTTATTTTTACCATGCATGTATTAGTTAATAAATACTTTCTATATTCTTAGTGTGTTTTAGATTATAGTCCAAGGAAGAATGATTGAGTTGCTAACACTATTTAGACCTTCTGAATATACCTCATTTATAAATACACTAAATGGGAAAGGGAATTTGTTTCATTCAAAAAAGTGGAAGTAGAAATACTTTTTGTCTTTATAGGGTATACAGAATTTTAACAAACTGCCACTTACACATTACTTAATTTTAAAGTGGACAAAGCCAGGGCTTCTTGAAACAAACAAACAAACAAACATAAAACCCAAAAAACAGCCTTAGTGTTTCATTGGTGTTTAGTGGAAGTGTGTTTTATTCTCTCTAAGCTAAAGCTCCCTAAGGAAGGGTTTAAAAGGAGTTCCTGCATCTTTAACGTAAGAGGATGAAGACCTTGATATGACGAAAGGACAAAGCTAAGATTACAGGGGAGAGAAAAGAATTGAAAACAATCAATGTGTTGATGCCGGGCTTAAAGAGGGTCACTGAGAGATCAGCTTTACCTGCATCTGTTCCTTAATTAAAACGAGAAAGATGACAGTGTCCACTACTCATCACTATGGTAACATTTAAATATCAGGCAATTTTGACCAGCAGACCACTCAAAAGCAAAGCCAAGTGAATGGTTAAGTAAATTCATACAGTGTATAGGCTGCAAATACGTGTGGCAGAGCTTCAAATAAAGTTTTAAAATCAAGTCAGATGTTAATTTTCTTCAGGCATCTTGTAAATTGGAAATATTAAAGAGAACTTGCTAATGAAAAGGCAGAATAGGACAACATATTTGTGAAGGGGAAGTCTTTTAAAAGAGCTTTTGAACAGATTTCCATTGTTTCTCTGTGTAAGTTGCATTACATTATCTTTTGCCTTTCACCGTTTCAGTGATCCAAGCTATATCCACCCTAATTGTCGAATAATTTCCATTGTTCACTTTGTTCCATTTTTATTCTGCAGAAATCTATTTCACTTACATAAATTATTGTTTGTGGATGTTTTTTGTTAATTATAGTTTTTCCATCCTTTTTTTATTCCTATTTCCTATCTCCTCATTTAATTCATGCATCATCATTACTGTCATCAAGAAATGTTCATCACTGAAAAATGTAGCTTTATTTTCAATAAATTAAGCAAGACTTACAGAACTTCTCTTTTCTGAATGATGTGATTTATCATTGATTAGTCTATCACACACTACATTGTTGACTTCTGTCAAGTTAACTCTCTAATTATTTGTTCTATAAGTATCTTTATAAGTACACAGAATAGGAAAAAGTTTAAAATGACATTAATTATAGCCTATTAACAAATTCAGAAATCCTATCTTTACAAGTGGAATAGACATTTGTTTTATATTTTATCTGGCCTTTCATAATATCAGAAAAATTCTCAAACATGACTCTGATATACTGTATATGCAAAATGCATTTTATTAACAGAGTTCTCTCCTCTACCAGTGTTTAAGTCCTTTATGAAGAAACAGGCTGTTTTCCTATTCAAATGATACCTTTCTCAGAACAGAACCAGTTCCATAAACCATCAACTTATTGTACAATGAAGTGAAAGTAATAACACTGTTTGCTTAGGCAATATGATGTTCTACTGATATTGGGTTCATTATATAGTCATCATTAACATGATTTTTACTTAAAGATGGTTTCTAGCTCTTTGTAGCTAGCAATATTTGAAGTTTTTGCCACATCACAGGTATTTATTCTGCTTCTCTTATTTCCAATGTTCTGAATAGTAGCATATTTGAAACCTGCAGACCTAATGTTTTAACAACATTTTACAAAATCCAAATGAATCTTTATTTCTAAAGTTTATTATCTAGGTACTATAAATAGATACCTTGTATGTCTTATTTTGAGAGTATGTCTTTAAAGAGTAATCAATTTTCATGTCATCAATTTCTTTCACTTGCTATTCTTGCTTTAACAAATCTAACTGGAGATCAGATATATAGTAGCATCAGGTTACATAGACTACTTTTAAACTGTTAGCCAATTTAAGTGAGAAAACCACAAAATAATTGGTAAAAATCCTTTTCTTTAAATAGTGTTTTGAAAAACTACAAAAGCGTTGCACCAACTTTTGTTTAAGATATTTATCTTTATCTAAGTTTAAAGAATTATGCACTTCTACCACTTTCTGCCTCATTAAGGCTTCCTAAAAAGGTAATTTAACCACTTGGAGTTCCTTTATTAAAAATAGTAAAGACAGTTTTGATCTTGTACAACACTTCTGAAAGTGAGAAACAAGTAACAAAGTCTCACCCACCATCACCTGCTTCTTTATGCAAATATCGAAGCTAGCTGCATCTCATATCCACTAGGGGGATCATTACACAGTAAAAATAGATTGATCTCTTTATAGGTGTTTTACTTTCCCACTTAATAGCACAAAGAAGAAAATTAGTTTTAAACAACAACAATGAAAATCATTTCAACAGAACTAGTGGTAAAATATTTTTAAAATATCAGATGTTGAAAATATTTTCATTTATTTTAAAAAGCTATTATTTTAAAGTCCACATTTGGAAACTAAGCCTACAGTCCATGTCCTAGTTTCCAAAAAATAAAGACAGAAGCAGAGTCTTTGCAAAACATACGTCCACAAATTCAAATATGCCATAGCCATTAAATTTACTTTAACGCTAATTTCATTAAAATTTTTTCTGATGACACATTGTTAGAATAATGATGAGGTTTCAACATGAATTTTGGAGGACACATTCAGATCATAGCAATGATGTTCACACTTTAAAAAACAACTTACAAAAGTCCTTTACTGCATCCCTTTGCCTATAAGAGGCTACCACTTACCAGTGGTCCCTCAACAGTTTTGGTCTATGGATTGTTTAAGCAAGAAAATAGAACTAAACATTCTATAAATCAACTATCTTGCACCATTCTCTTGCCAACACCAATAAAGCTTTCAAAACTTCATGACAAACCTACCCTCGCTCTAAAGAAACCTAATGAGTTGCTATCATGTAAGAGAACATTACAAAATCATAGAGAACAACAACAACGCAGTCATCTTTACCATCTACCTACCATTCATTAATCTAGATGATGACCATCTCTTATTCAATTTTGTACAGTCAACCTAAGTCCCACATCAAGTGCTTGCTAAAAGTTTGATAAACAAATGGATGACTGATCTGGGAAGAGACAATAACAACCACTCATTTCATTATGATCCAGATATATAGGGAAATGCTGCACTTTTAAATATCTCTGTAAGGAATGTATTAGAAGTGCCTCATTGATGAACATTATTTTCCTAATTAAGAAGGTATGGATTTAGGCCAGGCATGGTGGCTCACGCCTGTAATCCCAGCACTTTGGGAGGCCGAGGCGGACGGATCACGAGGTCAGGAGATTGAGACCATCCTGGCTAACATGGTGAAACTCCGTCTCTACTAAAAATAAAAATAAAATAAAATTTAAAAAATTAGCTGGGCATAGTGGCAGGCGCCTGTAGGCCCAGCTACTCGGGAGGCTGAGGCGGAAGGATGGCGTGAACCCAGGAGGCGGAGCTTGCAGTGAGTTGAGATCGTGCCACTGTACTCCAGCCTGGGCGACAGCGCGAGACTCCACTTCAAAAAAAAAAAAAAAAAAAAAAAAAAAAGAAGGTATGGATTTAAAGAATCCTGATGACTTCGTTCTCAAATTTTACGCTAAGCCAGGATTTCTCGACCCTTGGCATTAATACTTTGGGTCCAACATGTCTTTACTGTGGGAGACTGTGATATGCATTGTAGGGGGTATAGCAGCATCTCTGGCCTCTCTACACACTAGATGCCAATAGCATCCCCCAACTGGGAAAAGCAAAAATGTCTCCAGACATTGCCAAATGTCCCACGGGAGGTAAAAATCACCCCCCATTGAAAACACTGCTCTAAGCAAACCACATTTCTAAACTTGAATCACCAAGAAAAATCTGGAAAAGGCTTCAGGGAATATCTTACACATTACCTAACACCTGTCAAAGGGCAAAGATGACAGTCATCATCTGTACTCATGCTTCAAGGAATGAAGAATTTATACAATGCATCCTGTGAGTATCAGACTAGTCAACACTGTCAGATCTTGTGCTTACCAAGTCTGACTAAAACAATTACCAAAAAGTCATGCTTTAGTATCATTAAAAACTGAAATGAAAGGTAATACTGTATTGGTTATTTCAATACCTAACAAATTTGTGCATATCATTAAGAAATAAATATGTTATCTAGTTTAGCTCAAAATCGATGTTTCTCAAATCCATATATTTTAAAGTCAGAAATTCCAGTAATTCACATTGTAGGCTGACTTCAATCTCTACTGATTCTTAAAACCATGATGTTCCTTATGTATGAATCACTAATATTTTATTTAAAAAAAGATTTTTCGTCAAATTATCAAAGCTGAAAAAAATACTACCATTAAACCTTAGAATTCTTCATGGCAATTCTTCAAATATGTGATGACTCATGAGGCCCTCAAAAACTTTCCGTTTCCTTTACTATTCACAACTTCAATCATTACTCATAAATTATTTTTCCTTGACCTTTAATTATTTTAGGTTAATTTATTATAGATATTTTCTGCCTTCTCTACATTCCTTCTTAATGAAAGAATCTCTATTCCATCTAGTTTTTGTAAAGGATCTTACCATCACCAAGAATGGTGACAGAATAACAGTGGTGTTTTTTCTATGAACAAAGTAACCAAGCTTATCCACTGTCATGACAAACAGCCAAATAAAGAACAAGGAACCATTAGCAAAATGTTAATACCTCTAAAGTCATGTATACCATGGCTTCGCTATCAAAGTGCATGCAAAAATTTTAAGACGTTTAAATGATTTTGCTATTGGAATGGATAAAAACATCATTAACGAGAGCCGCCCAGTGAAACTGGAAAGTTTGAGAATCTCAAAGACCAGGGTTTGGCAAACTATAGCCCATATGCCAAATCCAGCCTGTGATCTATTCCTCTCAAAAAAGTTTTATGGAAACATAGCCATGGTTATTCATTTATGTACTATGTATAGCTACATTCATGCTGTAAATGCCAAAGTTAAAGTGGTTCCAACAGAAATGGTCTAGCCCTCAAAACCTAAAATGTTTACTCTCTGGTCCTTTACAGAAAAGGTCTGTTGACCCCTATTGGAGAGCATCAAGTAGAGAACAGGTAGATGGAATGTGACTGCAGGGATACAGAACAACTTCAAGGTTCCTTTTTTTTTTTTTTTTTTTTTTTTTTTGAGGCAGGATCTCGCTCTGTTGTCCAGGCTAGAATGCAGTGGCATAATCACGGCTCACTGCAGACTTGACTTTCTGAGCTCAAACGATCATCCCACTTTAGCCTCCTGAGTAGCTGGGACTACAGGCATGTGCAACTGCCCAGCTAATTTTTTTTTTCTTTTTCTTTTTGAGAGAAGGGGTTTCACCATGTTGCCCAGGCTGGTCTCGAACTCCTGGGCTCAAGCAATCTGCCTACCCACCTTGGCCTCCCAAAGTGCTGGGGTTCTAGGCATGAGCCACCATGACTGCCCTAAGGTATTTGTTTCCTAATCATTGCTTTTAGAAAGCATCAATGGAAATAACGGTCTTTAGGGTTCCATTTTTTTTCAATATGTGGAAGTTTATTCTTATTTTCCTTATCAAGACTGAAAGCCATAAAATATTTCCTCTTACACTGGTTCCCAACCATATCAGACCAAAGCGCTCATTTTTAAATAACAGTTTTTATCATCTCTTTACTATTCTGAAAGTTCAAAATTATGTAAGCTGTTCAGGTGCTTATTTAGACAAAATCAATACAATGTCCTACCTGTAATATAAAGTAGGAAATTAAGAGGAATTAATATATAATAAAATTATATATTTATTTGAATATGTAAATGCTCAGCATGTCTACCCTGGAAGAGAAATGATCAACTCAGATACTTGCAAATATATGTAGAATCATAAAAAAAAAAAAAAAAAAGAGCTAAAAGTGCAGACTGATACAACTAGGTTGTTATCTGGTAACTCAAGAGGTAAATGTTATTTTGAAATGGTGAACAACCCTTGGTAAAGTTCAGGAAAAAATGAAGTATAATATTTATTTGTTTTCATATTTGTGTTGCATTTCTGAAAAAAATTAATGTATATTGAAGTTTACAAAAATACTTTGTTTTGATAAATGGTAGAAAGGCCTTTGGCTCAAATAATCATAAACAATATAAAACCTTAATTATTATGCTGTGATACCCAAGGCTTCTGGTTTAAGATTATAAACATTCTTCTCCAATCTTTCAGAGACACCATACTACAATAATAAATAATAAAGATAAAAAGTTTAAAAAATGAAGAGTATGGGATGTAATTATCAGTGGATATAATTTTTTCAACAGATTTCTGGACAATGAAAGGGGCAAGAGAAAGAATGACAAAGCAAAATCTAGAAAACTGCAACCTGCAAGAGCCAAGAAGCGGCTAAAACGGAAAAAGCAACTGGGTGCCCTGTTATCTGTTATACTTAAGGAAGGTTCCAGACTTGGAATTGTTAGCTAATGGAGGCCACAAAGGAAATCCTAGAGGGAAAGCTTGGCAGTTAATAGAATCAAATCCCCTCCCACTCACTTTACCACTGCATGCATGTTGCCTGGAATTCAGTAATGCAGCAAACTCCCTCACAAAAAAATGTGAGAGTTTTGTTAATGAAATTGGCAGTCCTCCAATAAAAGACCTCTCTATTTTGAAGGACTGAGGAGAATTTAGAATTATGGCTAGCATCTGACCCATCTTCCTAAGTGAGGTCTGCCCATTGATAAGCTCTGTCAAGATATGTAGACATCAGAGTCTGCAAGTTTATATGGGCAATCAAGAACCACCAAACATTTGTGGAAAGATTACAATATGAAAAGGAGAGACAAAATTTTCAAAAAAAAGTCCTGGGAGAAGCAGAATGCAGGGAAGAAAATTTTTTTAAAAAAATCTTAAATTAAAATATTCAAAGACATAAAAGACGAGAACAGTGGTTCATGTCTGAAATTGCAGCACTTCTGGAGGCTGAAGTGAGCAGATGGATTGAGCTCAGGAGTTTCAGACCAGCCTGGACAACATGGTGAAACCCCATCTCTTCAAAAAATACAAAAATTAGCTGAGTGTGATGGTGTGTGCCTGTAATCCCAGCTTGTTGGAAGCTGAGGTGGGAGGATTGCTTGAGCCTGGGAAGTGGAGGTTGCAGTGAGCTAACATTGCACCACTGCACTCCAGCCTGGTGACAGGGCACACCCCGTCACAAAAAAAAAAAAAAAAAAAAAAAAAAAAAAAATTAACAGACTTGAAAAAAATATTGAATTTATAAAATAGTATTCTGGCTAGGCATGGGCATAGGGGTTCACGCCTGTGATCCCAGAACTTTGGCAGGCCACGGTGGGAGAATCAAGGGTCTTTTGAAGCCAGTTCAAGACCAGCCTGGGCAATGCAGCCAGACTCTAAACAAAATATTTAACTGGGCTGGGCATAGTGGTGCATGCCTATAGTCCTAGCTACTCGGGAGGCTGGGGTGCGGGGATCCCTTGAGCCCTGGAGTTCAAGACTGCAGTAAGCTATGACTAGGCCACTGCATTCCAGCCTGAGTGACAGAGTGAGACCCTGTCTCTAACTAAATAAAGTAAAATAATATTCTATGAAAATGAAGTATCAAAAAAGTATACTTAAAAATTGAAAATAGATGTGATAAAAGTTTTATAAATTTCAAAGATAGGCTTGAAGATTTAATTGAACGAAGACGGAATGTATAAGAGAAGAGCTATAAAGAATCAATATAAAATGTTTAATACAAAAAAGAGAAAAGAGAAAACAAAGTGCAGAAAGTAAAGCAGAAGAACTCAATACATAAGACATTAACATTCTTAAAACAACCCACAGATTAGAGGTAGAGTCTTGCTGTTCAAAACATAAACAAGAACAAAAAAGAAACAAAATACCGATTAGAGAAACAACTAGTCTTGATGTATCTTTGTGAAATTTCGAAAAGCTGAAATGGTTATCAACTTGGAACTCTATATTCCACTAAATTATAGAAATCAGTGTTCGAGCAGAATGAAATCATTTTGACACATAAAATCTCCGAAATTTTTGTTCCTTGCAAAGTTTCTTGGTAAGTTACATGAAGATGTACCCCGATAAGCTCTATAGCAACCTTAAAAACAACCAGAATACCGCAATCCAAAGGAGACTCCAGAAATGGGAGACCCCAAGGAGGGAAAACAACAGCCCTCCCTGTTGGGGGAGGGAAGTATATTTACTAGAATATGTGAGAAGCCAGAAAGTGTGAGAAAAATTGAAGATTTGATAAAGGCAAAGATTGCCAAAAAATAAAATAATAGGAAAAGAAAGTAATTACAAACTTCATCATGAAAAACAAAGAACTGCTCAAAAAGGTTATATATACACTACAGTGAAAACTTGCATAGTCATAACAATGCAAATAGTGTTTAAGATCTTCACCAATGAAAATTAACATATAAATAATTGTGTTTTCAGAACATCATTATGTTTTTTAGAACAGAATGCATATGTTATTGTTTTTGAGATTGTTAATATAAAAGTAATGATGACAGAAACTGGAAAATAGGAGGGTGGAAGCAAAAGCCAAAGAAAAGGATAGGGATGCTAATATCTTCCTGTAGGAGAATAGAACATGAAGAGACACAATTAATAGCAATATTAATTAAGGTATATACATAGATCCCTAAATTTAAAAGATAATCGATTGAGAAGCAAAGTAAAGTAATATAACTATCAAAAGATGGGGGGAAAAGAGCTGATAAAACGTTACAACTGAGTTCAATCCTCTTCTTTCATAGCAGAAGATGCCTTAAATACCTAAATTTCATCAGTCAAAGAACTGTGTGTATAACAATAGAGATTGTTAACATTTATTTGGCATAAACACTATTGGCAGTCTGGTGAAGCCTTTGAAACTGTTCTCAAAATAATATTTTAAGTGCATAAAACAAAATACATAAGATTACAAAGGAAATCAATTATACTGAAACACAAAAATATTAAACAAATGTAGCAATTGATATAGCAATAATCTTATTAATGCATTAAATGAAGTAGAGATGAGAAAAAATATCTCAAGGCAGATTTTTGTAAAAACTTAATGTTATATGCAAATATTTCTAAATTCTTTTTTTTCCATAACCTTCCCGGAGTAGTCTCAGTAATTCTTTCAGAATTCTATCACTGACAAAGTCACAGTACTGCTGATGTTATTGTGGATTATTGCCTATGCTAGCTTTCAATTTACAGATTAATGAAAATAAAGATGTAACCCTTTTTTTCCCTAAGCACACAGTCCTTCTGAATTTTATTCATGCATTCCACATTAAGAATTCCTGATTTAGAAGTATGGAGAAGAAATCATTATAAGAAATGTAAATGCTTGTGTTTGAGAAATGCCATAGGGCTTATGGATGTAGTAAGGTACTGCTGCTCTGTATTGTTTAATTTTTCAAATCATGTGCATGTATTATTTTGATGACAGTATTTAAAATACTTGAAAATTTTAACTGCCATCTATAATGCGATACATATGTGTATACATATTTATGTGTATGTATGTAATAATATAATGTGAAATATTGGGCCCTATATTTCTAAAACTTTATCCAATTATCTAAAAATGCAAAAAAAAAAAAAAATCTGCACAGCAAAGAAAACAAAAGAATGGAGAGACCGCCCACGAGTTGAGAGAAAATATTTGCAAACCATACATCAGATAAGAGACTAATATCCAAAATATAGAGGGAATTCAAATAACTCAACAACAAGAAAACAAATACCCCAATTAAAAAATGATCAAAGGATCTGAACAGACATTTCTCAAAAGAAGAGATATGAATGGCCAATAGACATGTTTAAAAATGCTCAACATTACTAATCATCAGGGAAATGTAAATTAAAACCATGTTGAGATATCACCTCACACCTGTTAGAAGGGCTGCTATCTATAATACAAATGGTAAGTGTTGGTGAGGAATTGGGGAAAAGGGAACCCTTGTACACTGTTGGTGGGAATATAAATTAGTACAGCAATTTTGGAGAACAGTATGGAGGTTCCTCAAAAAAACTAAAAATAGATTTACTATATGATCTAGCAATCCCACTTCTGGATATATATATATACGTAAAGGAATTGAAATCACTATGTCAAAGGAATGTCTGCCCTCCCATGTGCATTTCAGCACTCTTCACAGAAGCCAACATATGAAAGCAACCTAAGTGTTCATCAGCAAGTGAATGGATAAAGAAAATATGGGATTATACACAGTAGCATACTATCCAGCGTTAGAATAGAAGGAAATTCTGTCATTCACGACCACATGAATGGAACTGGAGGATATTATGCTAAGTGAAATAAGACGAGCACAGAAAAACAAATACTCTATGATCTCACTTACATGTGGAACCTAAAAAAGTCAATCTCCTTTGGGAGGCCGAGGTGGGCAGAGCACTTGAGGCGAGGGATTCAAGACCAGCCTGGCCAACATAGTGAAACCCTATCTCTACTAAAAATACAAAAATTAGCTGGGCGTGATGGCGGGCACCTGTAATCCCAGATACTCGGAGACCAAGGCAGGAGAATTGCTTGAACCTGGGAGGCAGAGGTTGCAGTAAGCCCAGATGGTGCCACCGCATTCCAGCCTGGGGAACAGAGCGAGACTCTCATTCAAAAAAAAAAAAAAAAAAAAGAAAAAAAAAATCTGTCTCACAGAAACAGAGAGTAGAAAAGTGGTTACTAGAGGCTGGGGGGTGGGAAGGGATGAGGAAAACGGAGATGTTGATCAAAAGTTACAAGGTTTTAATTATACTGGGGGAATAACTTTTAGTGATCTTTTGCACTGCATGGTGACCAGTTAGTTATCACTGTATATTTCCAAATTGCTAAAAGAATAGATCATTAACATCCTCACTACAAAAACATGATAAGTCGGTGAGGTGATGCATATGTTAATTAGCTTAAGTATTTGTACTATCTACTATGTATACATACATTGAAACATCACATTGTACCCCATAAGTATACACAATTATTATCTGTCAATTAAAAATAAATTAATTAAAGGAATGAAATAGAAATGCAAAATTCTTAGGGCCTTATTTGCCTTGAATTCATTGACACAGACAGTTCTCAATGACACAATCATAGACGAGAAACTACTAAAGGTCATTAAACATCTTGATAACATCAAAACAATAGATGAGATTACTTGACATGATCATACATCTTTAAAAAAAAAGCCTAGGAAATCTCTATTCATCAGTAATTGTAATTATTCAATTGTAGGCAGGAAAATTCATCTGTAGATGAAAGCAGACATCACAGTCTTGGTCAAACTTAAAAAAGCTTCAAGTAAAATAGAATTTAATTGACCTACATTATTCTTTAATCAAGGCATTTACTGTGTCAAGAAGAATAACATAACAGGAGGATATACCAATACCAAAATAAAGTTACTGTAAACAGACATTTGGCAGATAATATGAGAACAACTTTAAATTACACAAATGTGTTCTATTAATACCAGCAGTAACTGAGATTACGCAAGTGAAAATTCTCTACAGACTGGAAAGACAAGCACTGAAAAATCTTTGAGAGTTTTGATCTCAGTCATAAAATGTATTAATGATATATCTTTAGAAGTATCCCTTAACTATTTTGGGTCTGTTTCCTCATGTAAAAAATGAGGAATATTTTTTTTAATATTTGGTCACATACAATTATAAAAATTCTGACTTTATGATTCAAATTTAAGTTGGTATTTTCTTATTAGCATCAGACACTAAACAAGCATTAGGTTGTCTGAAGGGAATATTCTCTCAGGAACTATTAGAACAGTGAGTACAGTTTGGGGAAACTTCCTCTGGATGATTAATGTTTTGTATAAAGAATCTAAAATTCCTTAATCTTCAGAGCGAACAAAACATTGAGTAGAATTTTCCCATTTTATAAAAAACTTTTTGTATCATTAGCACTATTCTCACCATCAACATTGGGAGAAATCATTTAAAAATAAGAGGCATTATGTTAGGCATGCCTCACATATGACTGGCTGATTTACACTTGAGGCTACATTTTACTTTTCACATTTTGTAAAATGAATGCAGATTCTTAAAAATATCTCTGAACTTGGCAAGAATCATACCTTAAACGTAATTATGTAAAGCCATAATTTATGGAGTACCTCTATTTAACAATCCATGCCACTCAATTTACCCTAATTTTATACTAAAATAGGTAATAAGATATTAGAGAATATTAAAAATAAATAAATTTCCTTTAATTATGAGTAATTATTCCATTGAATTTTACAAACCTATTAGTTTTTCATTTTAATGTATTATTAAAGAATAATTTACACAGAAAAAAGGATACAGGTCAATGTATGCACAGCTCAAGATCTGTAACCAATACATCTGTGAAATCCTGCAGTCACATCAAGAAATAAAGCATTACCAGCACCCCAAAAGCCTCTCTTCTTTTATTCCTTTCCAGGGTAACAACTATCCTTAATTTATAAATAGCAAAGATGAGCTTTGCCAATTATTGTACTTTGTAAATGGGAAGTTATACAGTATATAGTATTTTGTGTTTGGCTCATGCACTCATTGCGATGGTTGTTAAATTCATATATAGTTGTGTGCAGTTGTAGATCACACATTTTTATTGCTGTATAGTTTTCCATTTTAAGAATAAACCACTATTTATGCATTCTGTATTTGTTGGGCATTTGGATAGCTTCTTGTTTTGGGCTACTATGAACAGTGATACTCTGAACATTCTAGTATGTATCTTTCGGTGAGCATATGTATGTATTTCTGTTGGATATACACTCAGAAGTGGAATTGGAGTCACAGATATACATTCATATGCTCAACTTTAGTATATACTGCTGAACGGTTTCCTGAGTGGTTATGCCAATTCACATTCTCACCAGCTGTGTATTATTAGAGTTCCAGTTTCTCCATATCCTCACTACAGTACACATTTTGTTTAAAAAGCCTATTATTTTTAATTCAGTAAATTTTCCTTCAGCATTTACTGAATGTTAGCCACTTTACACTGGCCATCTTGTTCAATACTGTAAGTGATGAAAATCCAGAGAGTAAAAGTGCTTTTGGTATCTAGAACATACATTTCGAACTATTCTTTCAGAACTAATGAGCTCTCCCATCGCCTAAACAACAGAATGCAAAATGATTTTATTTGGAAAGAAATGGAGGAGATTGTTACAAACTATGACACAGACTTCAAAAATAAAGCATTCAATATTCCTTTGATATCCCAGTCAATATCATGTGTACCAATCTATCTGTGATCTTATGGCTAAATCAACATATAATATGTTTGAGAGCAATGAAAATACACTATATCTGTAACTTTTTCTTATGGCAGAGAATTGAAATGGATGATCCAAGGACCTGATCTGATCATGGTTGTGTTTTGTTTAGTCTTGATTGATTTATCCACCGTTTTTGGATAAACGTTGAAAAACTGAGACATTCAACAGTCAGACTTCTGACTTTTCTTGGAAAACAAAAATAAGACTGAGTAACAATAAACTCAATAAATGAGAAAAATTTACAGTCCTTGTGGTTGATGCAGGTGATCTCCAGATTCCCATGGTCCTTACTCCCTCATTATCCCTTCCGTGGGGTCTGGCACCAGAGAAAAACAGCACCAACTAGGCACATTTTGGGATCACTGAGTTCTTACACTAAACCCAATTCACTCATTGCATTACCTTTCTCACTCTGGGGTTTAAATGCTTACAAAACAGACATTCTACGTTGTAACATTATTATTTTATAACAAGTTATCAAGAACTTAAGAGAAAATGGCTCCAGGTTACAGAAATATTTACGATGACTACTGATAATAAATACAGATCCATGAATATGAGCATTCTTCCAAAAGTTCATGGAAAATGTGCATTACTAAAAACTATGCAGGGATTTTAAAATTTTTTGTACCAAAACAAACTCATGCTAATTTGTTATCACATGTCTGAACAGAATCTAGTTCAAGCCACTAAGAAGGATAAGACATCAGCTTGAAAAGAGCCCCTATGAGAGCAAATGAATTTTGCTGAAACCGAACAGGAACAAATATCAAATTTATGACGAAGCATGGGTGGAACAATGGTGAAATCACTGATGCTTTACAGAAGTTTATGGGGACAATGACCCAAAGAAATCAGCAGTTTACAAATGGCTAACTTTTTTTTTTTTTTTTTTTTTTTGAGAAGGGATGAGATGGGCCGGGCGCGGTGGCTCACGCCTGTAATCCCAGCACTTTGAGAGGCTGAGGTAGGTGGATCACAAGGTCAGGAGTTTGAGACCAGCTTGGGCAAGATGGTGAAACCCCATCTCTACTAAAAATAAAAAATCAGCCAGGCGCGGTGGTAGGCGCCTGTAGTCCAAGATGTTTGGGAGGCTGAGGCAGGAGAATCGCTTGAACCTGGGAGGCAGAGGTTGCAGTGAGCCGAGATCGTGCCACTGCACTCTAGCCTGGGCGACAGAGTGAGACTCTATCTCAAAAAAAAAAAAAAAAAAAAAAAAAGGGATGAGATGATATTGTATTGAAGATAAATCTGGTAGTGGCAGACCATTACACATCAATGCAAGGAAAAAATTCATCTTGTTCATGCCCTAACTGAAGGGGGCTGATGATTAACAACAGAAACAAAACCACAAACATCTCAATTGATTCAGCTTACACAATTCTGATTGAAAAATTAAAGTTGAGCAAACTTTCCACTCAACGGGAGCAAAAATTCTTGCACCCAGATCAACTGCAGACAAGAGCAGAACTTTCAATGGAAATGTTAAACAGATGATGTTACGATCCCGAAGCATTTCTTTGAAGAATTGTAACAGGAGATGAAACGTGGCCTTATCAGTATGATCCTGAGGACAAAGCACAATAAAAGTAATGGCTGCCAAGATGGGGAAGAGATCCAGTCAAAGCAAAAGTGGACCAGCTGAGAGCAAAGATCATGACAAAAGTTTTCTGGAACGACCAAGGAATTTGGCTTGTTGACTTTCTAGAAAGCCAAAGGACAATAGCATCTGCTTATTATGAGCATGTTTTTAAGAAGGGGACGGTTAGGATTCAAGACAAACTGCCATCACAGATTAAAACATGCTATCACCCCAAGCATAGTAATTATTTAGTGGCGCATTACACTTGTTTTTGACATTTTGTCAAGAAGACAGAAGTAAACTAGAAGATCAGAATGTTTAATCTATATCCTGTAAACACACCAGAGTTGGACAAAGAAGATGTGAACCTATTTAAAAAACAGTTGTAGCTTTATTGAATATTTAATTTATATTATATTATAAGTTATAATAGCCTCTGGAATAGCTCAGTGAGATAAACTATTGTGTCTTTGTTTTGTTTCCATTTCTTTCCTGAAAAATATGAAAACAAAAGTTTTTTAAAAGCAATTTCTGTAAGTGAATTAGAGGTCAGCAGAACATAACTACAGAAAAAAAATGTTTGAAGGACACAATGTGATGTTAACTTGAAGTAATGTGATGTTTACTTAAGGAGCTGAGAAACTGCTCTTGGGCTGCTGTGAAGCCATTAGAGGCAAGTTCAATGTCAACCAAGGTCGAGGTTAAACATAAAGCTCCCCAACAAAAGCCAAACCAGATTTCACTGGCAAGTTTTAGTTAAAATCATTTCTGAAGGAGAGCAGAACAGTCATGGCAGGTCTTCCACAGTCTGTGCACCTCATGTGCCCTTACCCAGGTATATGGACACCTCCTCTGATACATGCATGATCTTCAGAGGAACTTCCTCAGTGCCCATTTCTTCCTATTCACTAGCATCTGAGGGGATGTTCTTTTGTTTCTTTGTTGAAAAGAAGTACTTGTATAGAAAAGATTCTATCCACCAATGCTAATAATAAAAAAAGGATAGAGGTAACTAATTCAAAATAGCAGGTAATACTACACAATGTGCCATTATATCTCAGAGATAGAGAGTTATAGTTAGAAAATCATTTTCTTCTTTTTTAAATTCCCTGAATTACATTGAATATACACACTAACTAGCAACATAAAAAGTCCTTCTCTAAGTTATTTACAGGAACATTTTTATAGAAAAGCAACTTCCTCTTGTGCCTTCCCCAAACCCTTCCCCTTCATTAAAGCTTACTTACAGGCCATTTTTCATTACCCAACCATCATGTAGTTGAAATGTGAATAATTGGATAATTTATCTAAGAACATTACAGAGAAGTTGCATATGCTGCAGTAAGTTATAGAGCATATCTCAAAAGCAATATAAATTACAATAAGATATACACCTTTCTTCTTATTCCTTGTCCCAACTTTCAGATTCAACCAGGAGTCGACTATAAATCATTTTGGCATAAATACCATCAGGCATATTCCAAAACAGAGAAACAGTTACAATTGTGTGTACCAAAGCAAACTGCATATCATCACTGACATATAGGATATGAAGTTCTTCCTCAAACATCCTCCCTGTATTGAGCACCAGGGTTGAGCAGCTGGCACTCCCAGCTTGGTAGGCGATCCCAATCTCACTCACTCTCACTACATTCTTCCAGAAGTTGCATGCTAAATGCAAGAGTCTCACCTTGTGCTAAAAAGTTGATAGTTAAGTCGATTCTTAAAATGCAATTGCATGGCTGGTTAAAATACTTCTGTGGAGCTTCATTTTGGAAAGAAATCTAGAATAGTAATAGGATCCTATTAAATACAATATGCTATTTTTCTTTTTTTAATTAAGAATTTTAAAAGGACCTGTATCCTCCTTTGGTCCCACCTGCTGTCCTGATCCACTTTGTACTTGTACTTCTCCTCCCACACAATAATCCTTCATTTGTGTCTGCTCAGGAGCAAATCATTCTTATTGGTTGATGCAGATTTTAATGTAAGGCAGAAAAATTTTGCTGTATACCATCTGCATAGAAATTACTTGGAAAGCAGAATGATGCTATGCATACAACAGGTCTCTTCTAATGGCCACAGAACATTTGGAGCGTGGTTTTTCCTAACAAAACCATTCACGGAGAAGTTCACACAAGAGGGTGAAAAGTCAAATGCTTGGGACACTTCAGTCATTCCTCCAGCAAAAAGAACAATCTGAAAGTGCAGGCCTCATGGAAATTAGCATACATTAAAATTACCTTCCATTATGCAAATGTTCTTGTATAAATCACTTGAGGAATGGGACAAAAAAAAAAAAAGAAAAAAAGAAAAAGAAAAGGATTTTGGGTGGATCCCCAGGACTACAGTATGATACAAAGTTGATCAAGAATCTTTTACTTTGAAAAGAAGAAGAATTAGAGTCCAGTAAGCTACATTCACCACTGGTCTCCAGTGGAGACTAATGGACTAATTGGAATAAAATATTTCTCAAAGATAGCCACTATCCTTTCTAAACCTAAAAGGGGTTATTCAGCCTTTATTATAATTTAGTCATTCAGCATATAAGAAATGAAGAATAACCATAAATACATGATAGTAGCATTTGTGACACATATTCAGATACATTCGTGTGTAAAACAGGGTTTTGTTTTCCTCCAGATTCCATTCTAAATAATGTAGTGATATCATAGATTTCCTCAAACTCTAAGCACAAAGAGAATCTCTGTGAAAGTAAGATGGAGCCATTTTCTGATGATTATAAATATAGCCATTTTTTCTAAAAGAGAGAATTATGAATTACATCAAAATTAGACTGGCTTTTAATCCTAGGTCAAAAATATATAAAAACCCTTATTTTCAATGCAAATACAATTCCCCATTGTAAAACTTCTGTGTATGAATTTATTACATAGGCCAAACTTTCCCTAAAGGAGGAATCTCAGAGCAATTTCATGAAGGATATAAAGATCTCGAAGACATAAAACATAGATCTCATTAGAAAACACCAGTTATGGGCTTATTTCTCATTTCCTTTCTTCTCCTCACCACCAGTTTTCTTTCCCTGAATCCCAATCACTCCCACTTCCAAACCCCTTTCTTCTCCTTTTCTATTATTTTCCTTTTCATTAGAAATAGCATGAGGTACAAAACAGTTATTCTGTCATTTAGCAAATAGTTACTGAGGCCTTATGACATCTGTGGTAATACATTGCTAAGATATTGCATCAAGCATGAAATAACATCTTGCCTCCCCGTCGTTACAGGTACCATTTTGCCCCTTCTGTTTTCCCAACTCTCTTGGACACGATCTCTGAGTAGCAGTAAAAGGAAAACTTAGGGAATACTGAGAAATCGTCTCTATGATGGTTTAACAGATGTGTTAAGGTTAAAATAATACACATTTTTAATACCTACACTTTAACCTCTCCATTTCCTTCCTTCAGCATTCAAATTACCTGAAGTCTATTTCATCTTAAAAACCTAAAAGAAAACAAAAATCTTTCCCTGGATATCACTTTACCTCCAAAGGCAGATAGGTCTGGAGCTTTCTTTTGGGGATATTTTTCTCAATTTTTATTCTCTTCTCCACCCACACCATTCTGGTTTCTGTACCATCATCCTTCCCAGGACGAAGAGTGGAGCTAGGCCTCTAATAACCAGTGAATCCAAGAGGGCCTTTCAGATCCGTATCTTGCTTGGCATCTCAATGGCATTTCAATGGCCATGGGCACTTCCTTTCCTACAGGATCTCTCCTCTGAGATGTCAGGACACTCCAATTTACAGGTTCTCTTCCAGTAGGACCTGTTCCAAGGTTCTCTCCTCTAGCCTTCTCTGTAAATCCACTTCCCCCTCAGCCCATACCTTGAATACTGAAGTTCCTCAGGGCTATGTCTGTATGTAAGCCCTCTTTTAATTCCCTGTATAATCATATCCACTCCCTTGTTTTGAATTCCCCTTCCATGCCAATGCCTTCCAAATCTATATTTCTCCCTGTATCCTTATAGCATGTCCCAACGCCCACTTAATCCAAATATCTACTCAACATCTCCATTACAGGCCTTTCAGAAAATACAAAATTCGTGTGCTCAAAACAGGACCCATTCATGTGGGTGCCACTCTCGGCATTCCTTATTTCAGTAAGGCCACCACGAAGCACCCTGCAAAGCGAAAACCAGGATAGCACCCTTATTCCTCTCTTCACACCATGCTATCCTTACTAATAAATAATCTAACAAATAAATAACACTGTGCTGCAGAGTCTACAAAATTTAATAAGTTTTCAATCTGCCACTTCTCGGCATCTCCACCACCTCCATTCTATTCAGCCCATTAGCACCTTTTGTTTGGAATGATGAAATAAGCCACAGAAACATTGTCTCATAATGTAAACCCGACAATTGCATTCCCTAGCTAAAATAACTACTTTGGGTTCTTTCTGCCCAAATCCTGCAAATGTTTACGGGATGCTTCACAATCGAGCTGCAGGTGCTCTCCACCTTGTCACTGGGCATGTTTGGTCTCTGCTGCCCTCGGGACTCTAGTATGCTGCTCTTTCTGGGGTCACTGAACATGATGGGGGTCATCTCACATCCACCTTCACACAAATGTCTCCCTATATGGAACTCCTCCCTTTCTTCGAACTTTTCACTTAACTACATCCTGTTTCAGATCTCATCTTAAAAGGCTTCTTAGGGATGTCTGCCTTGAAACTCAAATGAACAGTTTTATGGCTACATGTTTAAATACTATATAATTAGTACATACTACAAATGCATTTAACATAAGATTGCACATTATAAATGTCATAATACTTCCAAATGAAGACCAGATATAGTAAAACAAGTTGATGCCAGGCACAGTGGCTCATGCCTGTGATCCCAGCATTTTGGGAGGCCAAGGCAGATGGATCATTGTTTGAGCACAGGAGTTTGAGACCAGCCTGGGCAACATGGCAAAACCCTGTCTCTACAAAAAATACAAAAATTAGCCAGGCATGGTGGCGCATGCCTGTAGTCCCAGCTACTGAGGAGGCTCAGGTGGGAGGATTGCTTGAGCCCAGGAGGTGGGTTCAGCTGTGAGCTGAGACTGCCCCACTGCATTCCAGCCTGGGTAATAGAGCTAGACCCTATCTCAATAATAATAATAATGATAATAATAATAATAATAATAATACCAATTGGTTATCTAGTTTACCTCATTATCTTATTAATGCTATCAGGTCACTACTGCAATACTTTTGAATTTCTATATTCCTACATTTATCTCTAAGCCACCTTGAAGGTAGATATTGAGGAAGATCCTAAGCTTCTCCGCCACACTTTTGTGATCACTTCAGCTGTTGCCACAGTGTGGGAATAAAAGGAGACTATATCTTTGTTTTACAGCCTTGACAAGGCATTTACATTTTTAAACCTTCTTAGTGTGCCTCCCCAGTGAGATAAAAAATCACCACTCTCTTTGGGAGGGGTATGATACATGCCCCCTGCTTCCACCCCAATACCACCTCACCCCACCTGGGGAAGGGAAGCCTGATGCATAAACCAATCACATAGAGAAGTGAGTGCATTAGAGGCAACACCGTCTCATTTGGTCTAATTTGTATATAGGTTGCACCCTACAGTTTTCAGATCAGCCCACAGTTCCCAAGAGAGTCTACCATTTCCCTTAGGGAAATAGATCGGATCGGGCAGATACCTAGCACAGCCTCCTAGGATTTGGTGAAAAATTCTTTCTTATGAGTAATGTTTTACACCATAAATCAAACTAGTTTTTAGTGGTGGTATTCTCCTCCTCCTGTAAGCATTCAACCTCAGTTAACTTCACTGGAGGGTTTATTGTTATCTTTTGTTTCGGTCTCACCTTAATAAACTTTCTCTTTTTAGCAGTGTGCTGCTATTGTGGGTTTTGCTGTTATTTGTATTATTATCATACACAAGGATATTTAAAAATAGCTTATCAAATGGATACAGTTACTTAAAGAGGTTACTAAATTCATTGTTAGTCATTTGATAAGCATCTTCTGAGGAAAAAAATTCTGTGCCAGTCCCTGTGCTATTAACAGGACCCTGTGAATGAAACAGGCATTAACCTTTACTCCTTGCTCATGAAACAGACAACTAGTGGGGGAGAGAGGAAATAAACAGTCAAAATGATACCAAATACTGTAATTGTAAGCATACAAAGAAAACAAACATGGTGAAATGCTAGCAGTAAAGAGTGAGCGACAATTTAGATAGGGTAGCAAAAAAAGACCTCTCGAAACTTGATATTTTGGCTGAGACCTAAAGGATGAAAAGCCAGACGTGGTGAGGCAGATGTGAGAAGGGGGCGGTTCTACACAGTGGGAACAGTGTATGCAAAGGCCCTGATTTGGGGACAGCTTTCGGCATGTTCTCAAAATGGAAGTGACAGAGGTAAGCAGAAGCCACAACCCGCAGGGCCTTTTTGGTCATGGCAAAGACTTTAGGTTTAATTCATGTATAATGAGCTGCTATTGGAGGGCTTTAAACAGGGGAATAACATGATATGATTATAATATAATCTGATTGATATCGTCCTTGGGCTGTTGTGTAGGAAATGGATTTGTGGGGTTGGGAAGAGAGAGTAGGCAAAGTGGCCAGGTGGGAAACTATTGCTGGAGTCCAGGAGAAAAACGATGGTGGACTAGGAAGGTGGCAATGGAAAACACATAGAAATGGAGAGCTTCAAGATATACTTTGTGAATAGAAACACTGGGATTTGCTGATGGATTTAAACGCAATTATGCACATTTACAAGGACATCTGACTACTATTAACCTACACAAACATTCAGTCATGACTTAACTTCACATTGTGATTATAATGGGTATAATCAGTTGGATGGATGATACTAATTTAAAGCAAAGAATAATTTAGAGAAAATATTGAAAATACATCCATTATGAAGGTTCTTTTGAAAGAATGTTAAACACCTTTTCATTTGAATAAACCCCTTATTGTCATTAGCAACATATTAACAGCTTTAGTCTACGTCTGTTAAAAACAAGTTCAGTACAATAGGAATATTGTTTTTGTCATGACTAATGTACCCTTTACTAATTTTTTTAAAGTAATGCTACGGACTCTATTAACTACAATTTTATTACCCAGTGTGTTATCCATTCCTTATCTGATCAAAACCCCTTTTCTTTGGGGTGTTCCTCTCCCATACTTTTGGGAGTACACGTGGTCCATGCCTGGCACTGTGCCTGAACTCAGTGGCCTCAACAAAATTGTGCAGGGATGGATGGGCATATACCCAAATGAGGTCTTCTCTGGATATTTTTTAATTGCACATGGAGGGTGACCGTCCATTCCAATGTAGAGCTGGGGCTGCCAGCATCGCAAAAGCCTGAGTTCAGCCTGAGCCTCAGATAATAAATCGGAGCAGAGTCAACCAGAAGAATACAAAAGAGGCAGAGTGAAAGAGAGGTTCTGAAATCAAACTAGTTTATCTCACTACAACTGGGAGTCCTAACTTATATCAAGGGAGACACATTTAATAAAGAGTATTCAAAAATATTGGGAGAAAGTTTTGAAGGTTAAAGTTAAAGATTAAAGAGATTGAAAAGCCAACGTTAGAGTTTTAGGTTTTTGTCCATTTGTTTTATTTTCTTTTAGAGGAGATTTCAACACATTTTATTTTAAATAGTTCTAACATGCCCATGGTAAAAACTCAAACTAAAAATGCACATGTGTGCTTGTGTGTACATGCCTGCATGTATGTATGTGTATATTTAAGATAGTGTATATTGCATGTATCTGGAAAGATACTTAGGAAATTATTAATCGTGCTTGTCTCTAGGAGAAGCAAGAAAAAAAAAGAATACAAGTGTGAGAGGGAACTACAGGATCTGCTAGAAATATAACCAAGGAGCATGGAAGGTAGACATGAAATAGCACATTTGAAAGCAGTGATGTGAAAATACATATAGGAATGAAGGACCTAATACATTCCGGTCCTCAATAAAATTACCACATTAGGTTACTGAAGAAAGCGACGCATCTGGGGTGAATAATGTGGGTGGTCACTATGTCTTTTGAAAGTCTCTTTAGCTCCAATGAGTAAGAAATATATTGACAGAGAACATAAAAGGCTCAAAACAATCTGCTTATAGGTATAAGAAAGAGGGCAGGTGGTATAAAATCATGTTCTGTGTGGATCTCACATAAATCTAATCCTGCTCAAATCTGTGCTAAACTTTGAAATCCTGCATTGTTAACTTATTCATATATAGATATTTCATTTCAATGAATGAAGTTGAGTAAAGAATGGTTTGCTGGGAGGAGCAGCAAAGGAAAAACAAGAGCCTCCTTCCCTAGACCAATGACTATAGACATAGAAGACAAAGAGAAGAGAAAAGGAGACAGGGTCCAGCACCTTCAGGAGAACAGAGAGGAGGCAGTGGCTGCAGTTATCTTAGGAATTCACAGAGCTGACCATGGCTGTCTCTTCTCACCTTTTGCTGGCTGCTTCCCTGTGGCCATTTCTCTTTTTCCTCTATGCATTCTACACAAGCATATTGGTGCAACTCATGGCTTTTTTAAGCTAGCTTGGATAACTCAAAGACTGCCAAATGCCTGTCTTCAACCCTCATTTCTATTCTACATACCAGCTCCATATTCCTACCTAGGACATCTAACATCTAACACAGCCACAAGTGACTCACTGTTTTCCATTCCTGAAACCTGTACTGCCTTCTGAGTTCCAGCTACACTATTGCCATTCATCTAATTATCTAAACTAGAATCTCTGAATTGCCTTCAAAAATTTATCATTTAAGATTCAACTCCAATGATAGCTCATCTGAAACTTTTACCTACTTCCTCTGAGTTATTTTTTGCACCATCAAAATTATTTTAATAACCCAATTAGAGGTGAAGATAGTAAACCAGAAAGCATAAAATGTTCTAATCTTTGTGTTAAGATTAACAGGTAAAATATGCATAGCATGTGTTTAGGATCTACATGCTAATTGTACTAATTCTCCTCTGAGTTATTAACTCTCCTGGGTACACCTACAGTATTGTGTAAATGTCTTTATTATAGCATTTATAACACCATGTTGCAGAGTTTTACTTCTGTGACATGATTTGACATTAGACTGGGAGTTCCTAGCGGGCAAGAGATATTGAATGCATTTTTCAAAACCCAGAATATAGTACGGCATCTATCACATAAATAAAGGCCCAATGATTGTTCATTGAACTTATTTATTTATACCACTTGATTACATTTCACAATTTAAGAATAATCCATTTTAAATTAGAATGCATTACTAAACTAACACTTTAAATATGCAGCATTAACTTTACATATATTTATAATCTCACTGTAAGAATATGCAGAAGATGAAAATGTACAACAGAAGTGAATATCAGGTGGATGATTTTAGCTCTGCAGCTGCTGTTATTTATACTTTAGGAATTATGAACTATGTGAATAATGGCACACAGAATAAATTCATGTGATTGCCATGTGTAGGCTATGTGCAAAAAAGAGAGGGAGAAAAGAGGGGTACACATCTGTTTTATTAAAATGGTGTCTTTGTTTAAAACAAGTATTTTTAGACTTCACAGGATGGTTGGGTACAAATCCATGACCTATACATTTTGTCTACACGGACTAGATTTCCTGCATTTTTTCTTTTTTATCTCTCATGTCAGGGGCTAATTCAGACTTACTGAAGTTATTTAGCTCAAGGAGCACGACCACATCCTTGTTATCATTTCATTGATAATTTAAGAGAGATTCTGTTTGCTCTACATTGTGTTACGTTCCCATTCCAGGCTCTCTTCAATCCCTAATGCTAAGTAAAAAGTTAAAAATAAAAGGCTTACTTCAGTTACATTCAACAAACGTGTAGATCATACATGTGCCAAGTAGTCTGCTATGGGTTGGAATACAGAAACGATAGATAATCAGACAATGCCCATGACCAAGTAGCTCTCAATTAAACAAATTAAACAGTTAAGAATGATCCTGCTATGTATATCCTGTGTGCAACTGGTAAGTAAATCATTCGAACACCCTGGGAAGAGCAAAGCTTCCCAACAGGATAACTAACCTTTTGTTAAGGTTTAATGTGTTTTACAAAACCAAAGATTTCTTACTAACACTTTAGGAAAACAATGTGGTATCTATATATATTTTTAATTCGTTTTGACTTCTCACATCCTGTGCTATTAGTTATTACAGGACTAAATGTCCATCGATGTTCATGTAAAGTGGGAAAACAATGGAAAGAGAAAGGAGGCTCTTAAGTTATTCTGAAGGAGGAAACCATTAGAAATACAGTATCCGTATACTTGGGTTAGAATTTTAAGAAGCAACTCTAGGAAACCAAATTTATACAGAAACTATTCTTAAAGAGAATTTTTAAAATTCCTTCCAACATAAAAATTGATTCTAAATATTTGAATTCTAGTTTTAAAATCAAACAAGCAAAAACGCCACCACCAAATGATGATGGAAAACACGACAGAACTCATAAACTAAATTTTGAATCCTAACATTCTTAAAAAAACAGGATAAAACACATTAAAGGAGGGGACAGGAAGAACAGAAATGATAAGCTTTTGCAAGGGTTTACACATACATCTAATTACCTCATTTCCCTGGACAACAACCTGTCCATGCCTAGAAAGGACTGCCCAAAGTACCATGTCATTACATCAGGAGACCAGGATTGCAGTAAGTAAAAGATAAAGTCAACCTAGCGCTGTTATCCTTGGAGGTAAGATGATAAAACATCCAATTCTACACATTTTAATAGTTATATAATATTTCCAACACTGCAGTAAAAAATAACAATAGGAATATAAAGCACTCACTGGCATAAAGGCTTCCCACTCTGTTTTAATAAAAAGGAAAATCGTTGCAGAAATGCATAAAACTACTGATGAGATTCTGGGTCTTGCTACTGCGAGCAAGTAGATTACTCTGTACATGTCACTCCCTGGAGAAAGAGTCATGCGAACAGCTTTAAAAAGTCATGAAGGAAAGTCTGGAATAGTTTCCTTTCATCCAGGGTAATAGTTTTACAAACTGTCCTATTGGCTCTGGCGCCTTACCTAGTTGTCAAAATAACCTGGAACATCCTCTACATTTAAGAAAGATAAAGAAGAGATGACTATGGTGTCTAATCAGATAGGGTGAGGAACTGCCTTCCCCTTTTAAGAGCAGCATCAATTAAACCCAGGGGAGGTGGGTACAGTTTACTAGTTAATTAGTCCAGGGATGTGGTTCTTTCATGTGTAATTCAGAACAGGAACACCTGGTGTGCGGCTCTTCAAAGCACAAAGGGGGGTGTGGGGGACTGTGGCGGGGATGCCAAACAATGCAAGAGAGGTCACAACAGAAAGCAAGAGCACAAGAACAAAAACTGTTTCTATGTGACCTTCACCCTGCTGTAAATAAAATGAGATTCCTTAGGGTCCTCTCCCCGACTGGTCCAGGGAGAACAAACAGCTCCTGGCCCTCTCGGGTAGTTCTAAAAAGACATGGTGTTAACTAATTGTTTTATAACCCAATTAAAAAGAAAACAGACAGCCAGAGAAATGCAAATAGGGATATAATGATTAGAATCACATTCTGATATATAGCACACACCAAAAATATTGGCATACTCTCTCTTTGCCACGTGACCAGAGCTGCCCAGGTAACATTTGACAAAATCAGGAAGGGAGGCTTCTACTTTAGGGCAAATTAGCTTGTTCTACTGAATCAGAAATTGAGCAGTTTGCTAATGGAACACCTCTTCTTGTGAATTCTAAAATGATGAGGTAATTTTTTTTTTTAAATTGTTGCTTCTAAACATTCTGGTTGCAGACAGGTTGATAAATGCAGGTGAAGAAACATTAATGTTTAAATTGAGACAAACAATATATGATTTCAGCTGTGGTATCCATTTAAAGACAAAAATAATAAATTTTTAAGGGTTGTGTTAGTGGGTTCATTCAGAAGGAATGAAGAAAAGTATCTGCTGGAATGGATGGAATCTGCCACCTTTTAAAAACCACTGCTGTGAGAAATTCTGCAACAGAGAACACTGTGTGTGAGGATACCATGAAAAAGCCTGCCATCAGGAATTTTCACTTAATTTTAAAGATTGCAGGTTCAGAAGAAAGTGGCTTAACAATTTCTAGCATTGATTATACTTGTTTCTGCTCTAGAGAAAACTTTAATAAAAACAGTCTAAAACCAACTTTGTGTGTCTGTGTCAGTGTGTTATAAATGTGTTTATTTATAACACATGCACACACACACATAAACACACATACACAAAACCAGGCTTCTGATCCATTAAACCAAAGACATTTGAGAGAGGGAGGTGAACAAGAAAATGAAGAAATGGTGAAAATGTTCTCAGCACATCTCTATAGCTCTCTATCTGTATTAAGAATGAACAATGGGCCAGAGATGGGAGAATTGAACAAAAACACAGAATTACCCAGTGACGCAAGGCAAAGAAAGCTGCCCAAAGGAAAAGTAAAAATAAGTGTTGACAATTTATTTGAGATTCACTTTTAAACACTGAACATAAGGAGAACAGTATTCTCCCAACCGTTCATAATGATTAGTTTCCACTATCTAGTTTTTAAGTAATAATCCAGGGATTAAAAAAAGTACCTTTCCTCTGTATTTTTAAAAATACATTCACTTATTTGTAAAAGTTAAAATCTGTCCTGGACTGAAAGAAAACAGCCTTGCCATGAATCAGGCTGCAAAGACAGACACAGAAAAAGCCAAATGCAAACAAAACAAACTAACAAAACAGAAAACACTGTTTCTCCCAAGGCCATGCAGGAATTACAAAATGCCATTAAGGACTCCCTCATTTTTATTGATGTCACTCTACCCCAGACCTGCTCCGCTATTTTCATTTCTTCCTGGGAATACCCATTTGCTGCTAAACCACCCTAGCCTAAATTATGACAGTATCCAATCACAAGTTAATTCCCACTTCCAATCCCGCCTCAGATATAGCAACCAATCCAAAACGGATCCCTCCTTCCCTTAGACCCTCCTCTGAATCCTTCAGTAAGAAGCCAACCTAACACAAGTTGCTCTCTCCTAACTCTTGTCATAGGAATTCCATGTTTCCTTGGAATTCCCTCCCTTACTAAGTCAATAAATCTGATTGTGTTGGACTCCAACCTCGTTCCTGTATAATCTTTAGCTGATTAGCCTTTTACACATACAGTAAATAATTACTGAGTATCTGCTTTGTGGAATGCACTGGCGTTCTGTGAAAGATAAATGAGAATAACTAGGATTCTCTGCTTTCCCAAAGTCCTACTATCTTAGAGATAAGACAGATATGTACATAATATAAATAAATGTCACTTATAATAATTACAACAGGACAGATGTAAACAAAGCACTCTGGATGTTCAGAGGATGGAGGGATGGCTGTCAGGATGGGATCTGGGGATGCTTAAGAGAAAAAGCAGCATATGGTCTGGACCTTCGGAGAATGAGAGTTCATGAGGCCTGGGGGCAGGCAGTCCAAGTGGAGGGGGAGGTGGAAATCAAGATGTGGATGTTGGGAAGGGCTGCATGTGTTCAGGGAGTGACAACACAAAGAATGCACTTGAAATCACTGGGAAGTTAGCCTGAAATCTGAGACTAAAATGGATGTATTTCATTTGGTAGATGATATGAAACCATTAAAGGTTTTTTTAAACCAGGCAATGGCTCCATCAGTGCTATACTTTAGGGCAATTTATCTTCTAATGATGTGAGGGATCGGCAAGATAGAAGTCTATTTTAAATAGTCCCAAAGAGATGGGTTAAGGGTTTGAAGTAGGATCCTGAAAATGGGAATGGAAAGGAACAAAGAATCTAAGAGAGATTATAAGTCAAAGCTCCAGAAAATGATGACAGACAGGACACGTGGAGCAAGAGAGAAGTCAGAGGACCAAGCTCTGGAATCTGGGTAACCAGAAGGCCCAGAGAGTCCTCAAGGGATGCTGAGAAATCCTAAGGGGAGACACGCAGTGGAGTAGAGTCATGGGTTTTCATTCCACCACCATCCAATCTACTGCAGTCCCAAATCCCATTCTGTTTCTGTTCTACTTTTAATAGCTATCCTGGAGAGCAAGCAAGCATTGTTTTCAGACAAAGAAGGACAGTATCTTATGGTGAAAGCCGGGTTTAAGTATCACTTTGTCATTACTAGCTATGTAACTTGGCAATTATTTGCCCTCTCTAACCCTAAAAGTTTTCCTTTGTGCATAGGGGATTATAACAGCACCTGCCTCATAGAGATGCTCTGATGACTAAACTAAATTAATGAGGGATGTGCTGCTATTGTTTAAGGGGGCTTCAGAACTTGTAGCAGTGAGGGGGAAGGTGGGGAGGGCAGTCTTGGCTGATCAAGGCATCTTTCAGACCCTCTCCAAGCATATGCCTAAAGAGAATGACTTTCCCACTCCTTCAAAAACAAACAAAAAGGCTGCTTGAACAGCAAATTCCCATTTTGGCAAAAGCCCCTGCTTCGACTCCAAAAGTTGAATTTAGTTTGTTAGGGTTTTGTTTTTGCTTTTGTTTCTAAATATGTATGCTATCTGTTGTATTCAGACTGGACTGAAGGCCTTTGTTACACTTTAGCTCAAATAAATTAGAGTTTTAATGTCTACTACACTATAAACATTCTTTTAGACCTGTTCTCACCCAAAATCTCATACTGTGCTCCAAAAATATCACTCACTCCTGAACAGAGCTAATAAAGGTCTGGAACTTTAAAGTGTCTTGGTCTTAGAGAATAGATCTTAAAAATGAAGTATACTATTTATATTTCACATGTTCATGATCCAGTTTCCAAAATCCAGCTTCTTTTTAGTGGTTTGTTGTACATAGGAAAACATTCAATGTATTGTATAAACACCAAAATAAATGCAGTCATTACTGACAATTATGGACGGCATATGTGGTCTAATAAAGCAAAATAATGAATCTACACTGGGCAAGTTCTCTCCTGAGATTCTGGTGTGCCTTGTACTGAGGAGGTACAAGGTTGGAGGGGGCTGATATCAAGCTCCCTTTGCTGAGCTGTGAAACTCTTTCTAGGCCAGGCAGGGTGGCTCAGGCCTGTAATCCTAGCACTTTGGGAGGCCGAGGCGTGCGGATCACGAGGTCAGAAGTTCAAGACCAGCCTGACCAATGTGATGAAACCCCGTCTCTATTTAAAAATACAAAAATTAGCCGGGCATGGTGGCGCGCACCTGTAATCCCAGCTACTCAGAAGGCTGAGGCAGGACAAACACTTGAACCCTGGAGATGGAGGTTGCAGTGAGCAGAAGTCACGCCACTGCAATCCTGCCTGGCGACAGAGGGAGACTCCGTCTCAAAAAAACAAAAACAAAAACAAAAACAAAACAAAAAAACTCTGTTGTAAGTCTTCAAACTTCATTCTAGGCCTTTATAACATTAGCCTTGACAATGATCATACCTAAGTTCCCAACTCACAAATATTATATTTCTTGATATCACAATGAGTTAGAATAAATGAGAGCCTGCCTGCAAGAATCAGTAAAAAGACACGTAAAGTTCAAAGCAATTGGCCGTAGCCAGGATCGTGATGCTGTTTGTGCCTTTTAACTAGATATGATCAAACTCACCCCCAATCCCTGATATGCTATATCTTTTGAACTACAGTAGCCCACTGTTGGGCAGATTAGAACATAAAGTAAAGAATCCGGTAGCTAACGGAGCTGGCAAGGAACTTGCGTATAGTGGAATGTAATTATCCATTAAGGACAGGACTCAAGCCTTAATAAGAAAAAGGTATCATGCTATTTTGGAGGCCACAAATAGGTCGAGCTCTGCTTTGTATTTCATTCTTAAACATAAACTTTTAGCCAAAATTTGCCACTTAGAACAATGTCAGAGGAAGTTTCAGTGCACCAACTCAGAGAACGGAGGCGTATCCACTTGATCATCAGCTGTTCATTCCTGTGTTCTTTAGCAGAAGTACGAAAGCAAAAAAGGAAGTGTGCTTGCTTTTGAGAACTGATTTTTTCTCCTGTTCATCTGCGAATATTCTCTTACATCGCAGTTTGCATTTATTTTACAAGGGCTATATTGATCTTATACACAGAGATGACACCACTCCCCTCCAGGCTGGCCTGTCAATCAGTATACCATCTCTTCACAGACAACATGCTCCAGATTTCTTTGCTAACATAGCCAGTGGTGTTTTGGTTTAGTTGTGCATTAAGCTATTGCTACTTTTTCATGAACACTTAAACATCAGATCTAGAGAACAGGACAGTGGGCATGTATTACAGAAGCATTTGTGTAGAGGAGGTTGGTGGGGGATGGGTATGGGGAAAATGTTTGCAAGTCAGGTAAGAAAATACACGTTTTTCATTTTAAGCATATTTATTCTTAAAAATTCAGGTCTAAAATGCTACTTTTACAAAATGACCTTCAGTTCTGAGTGTACCCAGGCGAAAGAGCAGATAATAATAGGTACACTTCAGAGACATAAAAATTTCTCTCATCAATTTCAACTATGCACATCTACAGGATGATCCTAGAGATATTCCCCCCATTTTAAAAATTGCTGAAGGATGTTCAGGCTATTGCAACTGTGTGTATCCCAGGCAACATAATAGATTATACCTCGACTCCTTAAAGAGCACCCTGATAATATGCAAGGCTAAAATGTCAGAAGCTATTAGAAACTCTCAGATGCACAATATATCTCCATCCCTGAGTTTTCCCCTTACACTGCGAAACACCAGACAACAGGCATGCAAACTGCTCAGCTGCAACTGTTCCAAGTCGAATAATTACAACTTGTCAGAAAGAATTAATTTTCCCATTTCTCATAAAGATGTGTAAAAATTACCATGTTATTATACACTGACACTCTCTGGAGGCAGACACAAAATTTAATTTTGAATTCTTTCCGCATATTAAATTAAATCCATAAATAAGAGTTTAGGCATTCACTCGGAAGCATATGTTCATTGGGAGCGAAAGCCAACACGAGCCCGGCTGTAATGGCTGTTGTAATGTTTTAATAGCTCGCTTCTTCTAAGCACCAATAAATTTACATGATCATAACAGTCGTGGGCATACAAGAAGCCCATTACTGTCTGGGCACAGGCAGCAGCGTTAACAGGATGGAAAAATGGAAAAAGGAAAAAAACTCTTAAATAAAATTAGGCAACTGCACTTGTCAGCTGCTCCATGATTGAATTTTTAATATTGTGGTCAATTGGTCAAAACAAATGATGGGATAAAATATTTTAATGTATTTAGAACCTGTTTCTGTGGTTAGCCCACAAAAATAGTTTTTTGTTTGTTGGTTTTGCAAAGAACGGACCGCTTCAATCTTGCTGTTTTGAACAATTTTATTTTTAAAGACACACACTGCAATTTTTAATCTCTTAGAGGACATTTGCTCTCCATATTCCCATATTTAAAAATTGGAGCATTTTAAATTCGGCTTAACGGGTGATTCTTTTTAGCCAATGGAGTCTCGCCTGAAGGAAACTGCTTGGGGTGTTAAGAAGTTAGCTCTAAAGCTAGGTACTGGCAAGCCCTGTGGAGCACACCAGTGCATTACCTGCCTGCCCTCTGCCTGGATAAGATGATACTTTCCTTAGGATATACGAATGAATACGTGCACCGTCATCAGAATCCACACTGCAAAGGAAACACAGAGTCTTCAGACCATTACTGTGGTGGTACAGATTCCACTTATCAGGGTTTGTTTGTTTGTTTGTTTTTCCTAAATGAACAGATTATTTCTTTAAATTCTATGAGCAAATTCACCCTGGTTGCGAAAACAAAATAGGGAAATACCTATACCATATTTCACACTACTTAAGTGTTTTTCAAACATAAAAAGTCCAAAGTAATGGATTAATAGTGTAGGTCAATGCTGACCGGTTGGCATTTCTGATCTCGATCATACATACACCGTCAAAGATAGGAAGCTATGGGGGTAAGGGAGGGGTGGTGGTGTTAGTAGAGAATTAGAGAGGAAGTGATGTTCAGAAAAAAGGGATCTGTTGGAAGGATAAGTGAATGGACCAAGGATTCTCCCTAAAGGCATGATGAGTGATGTGTTCTTATAGAAAGAATACAAATTAAGGGTGTAAATTTTTAGAAATTCATTTTTTGAAAAATAACATGTGGATTTTATCATGTATACCATTATAAGTAAAGACTATGGTCATACAGGTATTGCTTATTTCTCTGATCTCTCTGAAGAAATTGATGCCAATGAAATATATTATAGCTTTATAGCTCAGTTTTGAATCCTGAGATGTTTTATACATATTCAGATTTACAAGGAAGTCAATGGTTTGAGTGTTCTCTGTTTAGGAATAAGGATTAAACCCAATCACTTTCAAAACAAAGATAGAAAATTCTCCCCCCTCAACAAGAAAAGATGTTAGAATCTTTCTAACAACGTATGTATTTACTCCTAAACGGTCTATAATTAATTTTTACCGTTCAATAGAAAGTCAGAATAACTATTCTACTTTTCCAAAGCATCCATAGATATAACGACAAAAACTCTCTTAAAAACAACTGAAATTGCTCAATAAAAACTGAAGTTAGCTTCAGGTTTTCAATTAAATTTACAGAAAAATTGAACTAAAGAAATACCCTAACACTCCAAATAGCACATAGCTATATTTCTATCAAGTTACACATATTTTAAAAGACAGTTTTTAAAAAATAACTAATCCTCAAATACTTCTAAGAAAAGGACAGAGCATACGCAGTAGGTATTTCTGGGTCAGAAATAGAGAAGAACAAATATAAAACCATTAGAACATTCTCAGAAAAAAGACACACCTTCCCAAAACTTCACTAAATTACTCTGAAACCTCTCTGCAAACCTCTCTTCATGGCTAAAAAACAAGGTATATATGGAATGTTTTTTTAAACATCCTTTTACATCTTTCTTCTCCTACATGATTTAGTCCAGGTTGCTATTAAAATGGTTTACCAGGTGAAGCATATTTATATCCTAAGTGTTGCAAAGTGTTATTAAATGAAGGAAAAATCTGTCAGTAAGAAGTTTTAAGGGAAAAATGGCTACAGATTGTATTTAGGTAATGGAAGACAGTGGATATATTGACAGGAAGTTAGAAGGTTTTTCACAGTTCAATATGTACATAGATTGATGAAAAGAACACAGGCCAATTAGCACTATTACTTGTAGTATGAAGAAAGATTTGGAATGGAAGAAGATACTAGTGTAATCCACCCCTTTTGCCTAGCAGGGTCTCTTGTTTTGTAAACGGCTGGAAGAATCCTTCAGGAGCCAAATGACGTTCTGCTCAGTTCAAGACGGACACTCACTGTCCCAATGGACGGGTACCCTCTCTTGCACTAGTGGATCCTAATACACACAAATGAAAAGATTTCCCTCTCAAATGCTATAAATTGGTTTATTATTTATACAAGTACATCAATGTGCCTTTATGCCCAAGGTTCTAGTAACAATGTAAACAGGTGGTAATGGCAATTTAGGTTAAGTTAATAGGGCCTGAAATGTGACCAAAGGCAAGTTGGCATAGTTTTTAAGGGGGTATGGAGAATGTAAATGCCCCATGTGTTGAATTAATCGCTGGCTGAATCATGTTTATATTCGGGTATGATGGTCTCTGTGAATGGGAAGGAATCCTTAACTATAAGGTAAGGTAAGCCTTACAAAGTCTGCTTGAGGTTTCTCTGTACTAAAATATCCAGGATCAAATTATCCAGTTTTTACTTTCTTATTTCCCCTTTTATGTTCCTTTTAAATGGAATTTTGGAAAACAGAAAATTTCTCCTTTTTCTGCTTTTTCCCACATTGTAAAAGGAACTACCACCATCAACAGAGGTAGGTTTCCCCAGAAACAGAAACATCAAATCCACAACCAGGTGCTCACTAGTATGGGGTAGAGAGAAAAGAAACCAAGGAGATTGGGGGTAAGCAGCACTCCCGCTTCTCCTCAACTTTCCCCATTCTATTTCTTGAGATTGGCCTTAAATTGGAGATAAGTGTAACAATGAACACCCAAGGCATGGGAGGGAGACTTAGGGATTGTTTTCAACACCATGAAGGAAAGTGTATACTTCAAAGAGACACAAAATTCGGATTCTGGTACATTTGTTCTAGACTACACCCAAAGTTGTATTGATGGTTGTGTATAGAAACATGGTCTAGTTCCTGTTTCTTCTCTATAATGCGCAATTTGTGGGGTGGACATTTTATAAAGATACTTTACTTTTTACGTAAAGCACAAACTATTGGGGCAAGATGGAGTAACAGGGACTGGATTTACTGTTTTGCCTGAAATAACGTCTAAACAATGGACCTAATATATGTAACAATGCTTTGCAAATATTGAACATCAGGCAACAGAGAACACTTATCCCCAAGAACCAGAATACAAATGAGAGGAGCCCTTTGATTGGCCCAGCTGACTGTCTTGAGAGTTTCCAGACTGTGGCTTAGGGAAAGGGAGCTCAGGTGGAGCTGGTAAACGCCACCTTAGTGAAGAAAGAGCTGAATCCCGGAAGACAGAGGCAGCTAGAGTTCATAAGGCCAGCTACTAGATAAGACAAACCTGCATAGAGAACTTGGGAGATGCGTAGAGGGCCCTCCTTAAGTATTTAGCAGGATACTGGTCAGCACGTGTGCAAGGAAACTGCCCAAGGCAGGGAAAAGAGCCACTCAAGAGGATTAGAGGAAACAGTAACTGGGGTTTACACAGGCTAGGAATAAAGCCTATTCTGACCAGCTATGCTGGAAAAACAAACAATTCACAGAACTATGTTAGAGAATTCAAAAGTGTCTCACTTTAGTAGGAGAAAATAATTAGCTCTGGAATAAATGCTATTAATACTTTGGTCCTACCTAACAAATAATAAAAGTAAGACCCAAAGGGATTGATCTGCTTCCAAGACACGTCACTGAGTCCAGGAACAAAGCTCAAGAATATTTATAGGAGTACAAAAATATCTAGCATCCAATGAGGTAAACTTCACCAAATCTGGTATCCAATTAAAAAAAATATTACCAGCTTTGTGAATAAGCAGGAAAATAAGACCTACAATTAGAAGAAAAATTAATCTCTCAAAACTAACCCAGAAATGACACAGATGTTAGAATTCACAGAATATAACAGCTGTCTAACCATATTCTACATGTTTAAAAACTTAAGGAAAAGATGGAAAATATTAAATAAAAGCATGGAAAATTTAAAGACCCAAATCTAACTTCTAGATATGGAAACCACAAGGTTCCCAAGGACAAAAAGAGCAATACTTAAACTCAGAAATGCACTGGATGGGATTTATAACATAATAACAGGTAAGACACTAGAGGGAAAAAAAGATTAGTGAAACTGTAGATACAGAAATAGACACAATCTTAAGTAAAACATAAAGAGAAAAATGACTCAAAAAAATGAACAGAATCAGTGAGTTGTGGGACACTCTACTCTGGGAACTGTGCATTCTTACATGTGTGCAGACAGAACGACAGGTAATAAGAGAATGGATGGAGAAGAAAAGAAGAAGAAAGAAAGAGGAGGAGGAAGAGGAGGAGGAAAGAAGAAGGAGGAGAAGGAGGAGGAGGAGGAAAGGAGGAGGAGGAGGAGGAGAAATAATAATAATGACTATATTGCTAAACAATTTTCCAAGTTTCATACATCCACAGATAAAAGAAAGTTCTTAAAAAGACAAGACCCCAAGCACATAAAATGAAGAAAATTATAGCAAGTCACCTCAAAATCAAATTGTACAACTTGTGATAAAGAGAAAAATCCCACAAGCAGCCAGAAAAAAAAAAAGATATCATTACAAAGAGACAAACAGAGCATGACAGCAGATTTCTCATCAGAAACAATGCAAGCAAGCAGTGAGTGGAGCAAAATCTTGAAAGTTCTGAAGAAAAATAACTGACAACCTTGGAAAAGTTAGATATAAAATACAAAATGCAAATACAAAAGCTGAATGATTTTAACACCAGCAGATCCATCACACAAGAAATTTGAAAGGAAGTCCTTTAAGCAGAAGATAATAACATACCAAATGAAAATAGGGATCTGCAAAATGGAATGAGAAACACCAGAAATGGTAACCACATGGATGTTATAAGCTTTTCTAATTTATTTAAACCTACCTAAAAGATAATTTACTGTTTAAGCAATAAAAAATTATGTAGCGCTGCATTTACAACATACATAAAAACAAATTATATAATTAAAATAGCACAGAAAAGCCAAGTACAGCAGCTCACATCTCTAAACCCAGCAGTTTGGGAGGCCAAGGCAGGAGGATCGCTTGACACCAGGAGTTTGAGATCAGACTCAAACTTGGTGTGGTGCTGGGCACCACAGCAAGACCCCATCTTTATGAAAAATGGTTTTAGAAATTTAGCCAGCCTTGGAAGCGCACACCTGCAGTCTCAGCTACTTGGGAGGCTGAGGCAGGAGGATTGCTCGGGCCCAGGAGTTCAAGGCTGCAGTGAGCTATGGTCCTGCCACTGCAATCCAGCTTGGGTAAAAGAGCAAGACCCTGTCTCAAAAAAAAGAAAAAAATAGCACAAAGGCTACAAGGGGAAAAATGGAAATATACTATTTGAAAGTTCTCATAATATATGGGAAATGGTATCATATCTCTACAAAAAAACTACAAAAAATTAGCCAGACATGGTGTGCACCTGTAGTCCAAGCTGCTTGGGAGGTGGAGATGGGAGAATCACCTGAGCCTGGGAAGGTCAAGGCTGCAGTAAGCCACAATCACAGCCATTGCACTCCACCCTGTGAAACAGAGTGAGACCCTGTCTCAAAAAAAAGATTAACAAAAATAAAGAAATAAAAAGGGAGGAATATGATAATCTGAAGATGTATCGACTATAAATCCTAAAGCAATGCTATGACAACAAACAAGTAGTTCTAGCTTATACCTCAAAGAAGAAATAAAATGTAATTATAAAAAAATTAAATTAATTTTTAAGAGGCAAGTAATAAGCAAAAAACAAATGGGACAAATAGAAAACAAATGCAAGATGGTAGATTTAAATCCAACCATGACAATAACAACATTAAATGTTAATGGTCTAAATTACCCAATTAATAAACAGAATGAATTTTTTAAAAAGATCTAACTACGTGCACTTGACAGAAACTCTAGTTTAAATATAAGGATATAAAGGGTTAAAAGAAAATGGATTAAAAAAGATATAACACAATAACTCTTTTTTTCTTTGAGATAGGATCTCACTCTATTGCCCGGGCTGAAGTGCAGTGGAGCAATCTCGGCTCACTGCAGCCTCAACCTCCCAGGCTCAAGAAATCCTCCTGCCTGATCCTCCCAAGTAGCTGAGACTACAAGTATGTGCATCATACATGGCTGATTTTTTATCTTTTTTGTATTCTTTTGTAGAGGCAGGGTTTCACTACGTTGCCCAGGCTGGTCTTGACCTCCTGAGTGCAAGCAATCTGCCTCCCTCAGCCTCACAATGTGTGGAACTACAGGTGCAAGCCACCACATGTGGCCAATACCATTAATTTTAAAAAGCTGAAGTGGGTATATTAATAGCAGGCAAAGTAATTTTCCAAAGAAAGAATATAACCAAGAATTAAGAAGGTTGTTTCATAATAATGAAGAGGTCAATTTATCAAGAGGACATAGCAAGCTTAAACATCTATGAATGAGATAACAGAGGTGCAAAATACATGAAGCAAAAACTGATAGAACCACAAGAAGAAAAATAGAAAAATCCACAATTATAGTCACAGATTTCAATATCCATTGCTCAATAATTGATAGAATAAGTAAACAGAAAATCACCAAGGATACAAAAATTTGAAGATTATTGACCATTTTGAACTAACTGGCATTGGTAGAACGTTCTACCCAACAGTAGCAGCATATATTTTTTTTCTCAGTCTGCATGGAATATTTACAGAGTCCATATTTAGTCCATAAAACAAGTCTCAATAAATTTTAAATGATTCGAATCCTACATAGTATGTTCCCTAACTATCATAAAAATAAATTAGAAATTAATGACAGTATAATATCAGGAACATCCTCAAATATTTGGAAACTAAATGTCATACTTCTAAATACCCCAAGGGTCAAAGACAAACTCAAAAGGCAAATTAGAAAGTATCTGAACTAAGTGAAAATTAAAATATAGCATGTCAATAGATGTGAGATCCTGCTAAAACAATAATGAGGGAATAACTAGTACTTTCAATGTCTATACTATTTTTTTAAAAATGTCTCAAACCCATGACCTCCGTTTCCACTGTAAGAAATTAAAGAGAGCAAACAAAAGACAATGTTAGCAGAAGAAACAAAGAAAAGTAAATTCAATGAAACAAAAAATTAAAAAATCAATAGAGAAAATTAATTAAACTAAGATCTGATTCTTTGAGAAGATTAATAAAATTGATGAATCGCTAGCCAGGCTGGTCAGGAGGAAAAAAAAAAAAAAAGGAGAGAAGATACAAATTACCAATATTAGGAATGAAAGTAGGAACATCACTAGGAATTCTGCAGATGTTAAAATTTTAATAAGATAATATTATGATTAACTTTATATCAACACATTTGACAACTTACACAAAATGAACATATTCATTAAAAGATACAAACTATCAATGCTCAATTAAGAATAAATAGATAACACAAATAGCTTCATGTCTATTTTTTAAATGGGATGATAGTAAAAAACCTTTCCACAAAGAAAAATTTAAACACAGATTGCTTCACTGGGAAATTCTGCTAATCACTTAAGAAAGAAAAAAGTAACAATTTCTACACAAATTCTTTCACAAAGGTGAAAAGGAGGAAATGCTTCTCAAGTCATTTTATGAGGCCAGTATACCTTGATACCAAACCAAATAAACATTTTACAAGAAAAATGCTGACCAATGACTCATGAACATAGATGCAAATATGCTTAACAAAATGTTAAGAAATCAAATTCAAGTGGAATTTATACCAGGAATGCAAGGTTGTTTTAAAATTTGAAAATTGGCTCATGTAATTATATTACCAAACTACAAAGAAAAACTATGGAAGCATATCAACAAATATAGAAAACACAAAGTCCAATATCCATTCTTCATAAAAATTTTCAGTGTACTAGGTATAGGAAGCAATATTCTCACCACGATGAAGAACACCTACAAAAAACTTACAGGTAGCACACTACTTAAATGTGAAAGAATGAACACTACCTCTTAAGATCAGGAACAAGACAAGATGTCCACTTTCACAATTTCTGCAGTGGAGGTTGTATGGGAGTGCAATAAAGCAAGAATAAGCACTAAAAGGCAACTATACGTGAAAGCAGTAAGTAAAACTGTCTTTGGTCACAGACAACATAATTGTCTACCCAGAAAATCTGACTGAATTTACAATAAAGCTACTAGAGCTAATGAGTTTAGAGGGCTGCAGAATGTAAGATCAATAAACAACAATTAGCTATATTCTATATATCAACAAGGAAAATTCAGAAATTAAAATTTAAAATACATTTACAATAGTATCAATTTTTAAAAAACCTAAGGATTAATCTAAAAAATGTATAAGACCTACATATTGAATGTTACAAATTATTACTGAAAGAAATTAAAGAAGGTCTACATAAATGGAGATATTTACTTCATTGGTCAGAGGGCTTGATATTGTCAAGATGTCAGTTCTCTCCAAATCATTCCATAGATTATGAACAATGATTCCAACATGATCCCAATAAAAACTCCTAGAGTTTTTGGGTAGAAACTGACAAATTCATTCTAAAATTTATATAAAATGCAAAAGCCCTGGAGTAGCCATAAAGATTTTGAGAAGAAAATACAAAGTGTGGTGCACCAACCAGATTTGATTTCAAGACTCATTATGACACTATGATAATAATGAAAGTGTAAGTGGCATAAAAAGGGACAAACAGGCCAGGCATGGCGGCTCACGCCTGTAATCCCAGCACTTTGGGAGGTCGAGGTGGGCAGATCACAAGGTCAGGAGTTCAATACCAGCCTGAACAACATGGTGAAACCCCGTCTCTATTAAAAATACAAAAATTAGCTGGGTGTGGTGATGTGCACCTGTAATCCCAGCTACTCAGGAAGCTGAGGCAGGAGAATCACTTGAACCCAGGAGGCGGAGGTTGAAGTGAGCTGAGATTGTACCACTGCACTCCAGCCTAGGCTCCATGTCAAAAAAAAAAAAAAAAAAAAAAAGAGAGAGAGAGAGAGACAAACAGATCAATAGAACAGAATAGACTTTAGAAACAAACTCACAGGGGCTGGGTGTGGTGTCTCACACCCTTAATCCCAGCGACTCAGGAGGCCAAGATGGGAGGATCACTTGAGGACAAGAGTTTGAGACCAGCCTGGAAAACATAGTGAGACCCCCATCTCTACTAAAAAAAAAAAAAAAAAAAAAAAAAAAAGAAGAAAGAAAGAAAAGAAAAGAATTGGCTGGATATAGTGGCCCATACATATAGTCCCAGCTACTTGGAAGGCTGAGGCAGGAGGATCTCTTCAGCCCAGGAGTTTGAGTTTATAGTAAGCTATGATCACACCATTGCACCACAGCCTGGGTGACAGAGGGAGAGGGAGACTGTCTCTAAAAATAAACATAAAAATAAAAAATTTAATCCACAGATATATTGAAAACTGGTTTTTGATGAAGGTACAAAACAAACTCAGTGGATAAAGTATAGTGTTTTTAATAAGTGGTGTTGGAACAACTGGGTATTCATAAGGAAAAATAAAAACTTCGATCTCCACTTTGCCTCATATGCTAATATTGATTCAAAATGGATCACAGACCTAAATATAAACCCTAAAACTAAAAAAGTTCTAGAAGAAAACAGAAGAAAATCTTTGTGGTGTTGGGTGAGGCAAATATTGCTTGGATACTACAGCAAAAGAATATAAAAGAAAAAATAAGTTGATTTCATCAAAAATTGTCAAAAGACATTTTAAAAAGCATAAATAGTCAAGACACAGGTTACAGAAAATACAAATCATATATTGATAAAGAACTTATAATCCGAAAATATATAAAAGACTCTCAAAACTCAATAATAAAAAAAGAAATAACCCAATTTAAAAATGGGCATGAGATTTGTACAGACATTTCACTAAAGAAGACATGGAGATGGCAAATAAGCATATGAAAATATTCTCAACATCATTAGTCATTAGGTAAACGTAAATTAAAATGACAGATAAACCTATCCATTAGAATGACTAAAATTAAAAAGACCAGCCACATCAAGTGACAGCCTGAAGGAACTGGAAATACTATTGTATTCTCCTGGTAGGAAAACACTGGCAGTTTCATAAAAAGTTATATGTGCATCTACCCTATGATCCAGTCATTCCCATTCTAGGTATTTACTCAAAAGATATTCAAGAATATGGCCATAAAAAGTTTGCATACAAATGTTCATTATCTGCTTTATTTGTAACAGCCGATCTAGAAACAACTCAGATATTTATCAACAGATGAATAAAACTGATGAACAAACAAATACATAAAATGGGATATTGCTCTGCAATAATAAAGAATGTATTATGTGATACACACAATGACATGGATAAACCTAAATAATTATGGTGAGTAAAACCAGATGCCTCCGTCACAAAAAAGAACATTGAAAAAAATAAATGTGTATAATCACATTTGTATAAAATTCTAGAAAATGCAAACTAATCTATAGTGACAGAAAACAGATAGGGACATGAGAAAACTTTTAGGGGTGAAGGGTATGTTCACTATTTTGATAATGGTGACTATTTTTTGGATCCATACATATGTCAATACTTACCAAATTGTATACTTCGAATATGTGCAGTTCATTATCAGTTATATCTCAATACAGTTGTTAGAAACTCATTGTACAATATGTATATGATTTGTTTTTCTCCTTTACTAAAATGTATGCTCCTTGCAACCTGGATTTTCTCTATTTACTGCACTGTTACATTCTCAATGCCAAAAAAATAATGACTGGCTGTCAGAAGGTGCTAAATAAATACTTTTGTAATGAAGAGTCTTACAAGGATGTAGACTACAGAAGAATAGATTTTGGTTGGACTGAGGAAAATATCATTAATTTGAAAATGTGAAATTAAGCTGTTTGTGGTAGCTTCAAGTGAAAATGGTGAGTGAAAAGTTGTAATAGATGAGTTTATGGACGGAAGATAAAAATTTGGTGACCACGAGCATTTCAGTAGCAGTCAAAGCCATTGACCTGAATGAAATTACTCAAAGAAAACTGGCAAAATAGAAGGTAAAACGCCCAACAGAACCGGCAAGATAATCATCATTTAAGGCAAGCGCAAAGGAAGAAGATGATATAAAGGAGCTTAAGATAGGGTAGCTAGAAAGATAAAGAAAAAACTAACCTAACATTTCTTAAAAGCCAATAGAGGTAAAAATTGTGAAAAGGAGGAATTAGTCAATACCTCACATTCAGCAGAGACACCAAGTAAAACAAGGGCTGCATCCTTGTTCCTGGACATGGCAAATGAAAAGATCTGGGGTCTTGGTTAGAACAGAATGGTTGCAGGGCTGGTGGCAAAGGCAAGATCTCAGTAAATTTTTTGAAAAAAAAAAGTTTTCATTGATCAATGAAACAAAGGCTTTGTTTTAGGAAAACATGATCATTGCACAGGAGATAAATTTAAAAACAGAATCAGGAAGGAAGACTACTTGTAAAGCAATGTATGAGAGTGAGGTGAAGAGGAATTGTATAAAAATGGTCAGTGGAATAACAAAATTAAAAACACTGAGCAAGATCACAGAAAAAATACTGTGTAACTTATTAATGTATTTGGTGTAAATGTCAAAATAGATGAAGGACTAAAGGGTGGTTCCATGTTTATAGTCATGACGAACTGGGAAAATCGGGATAATAAGAATAGCAGTGAGAAAGTTGGGAATGAGACCTGGTTAGAGGAGGAGAGGGCAACATTTTAACTTACTAAGTATTTTTATTATACTCTAATTTCCCTTTCCAAAGTTTTAGAAATATCTGCAAAGGTGTATGTACATAATGAATGTATATTTCATGAAAAAAAATTCTACACAGTCATTGGATTTAAAAAATATTGATATGCCAACCTAATGAGACAGTGTATCATCTACAATTTATTTGGGTGTTATTGGTAACATCATAGCCAAAATATCAATTAACTATTTACAATTGAAGAAAAGTCCTCTCTGATACATTTGTTGAAACTTTAACTATTTTGAAGGTGGTAGTAGTGATGATGATGATAATGTGTGAGGTTTTTTTTTGTTTTGTTTTGTTTTTTAAGAAATCTTGATGTGATAGCAGTGTCCGCAGGGAATCATATTAGTTGTTTGGTGTTTGAAAGGCAACTCCTTTTTCCTGAACTACTCAAACAGCAAAATGAACACAATATACTCTGCAGTTACTGCTATGCCCTCAAGCTTGGGTTGGAAGTTGAAATGAAAAACTTCTCACTGCAGTTCTTTTTAATTAGGACTGCAGAAAACCTGTGGATAGACAACGTCTCTCTCTCTTGAAAGTGAGTTCATAGAATACGATGCAAGAAGTAAAAAAATAAATAAATAAATAAATAAAATAAGCTTACTATTTCTCAAGACCATATAAAATATATTTATTCTATCATAATATGTTTGATAGTCTCCCTATATCTTATTTCTGGCTTTGAAGAAGCAAAGAAAATGTCTCATTGAATTCATTAAAAAGTATTCAAACATTTAAAACTCCCAGTCTTCCTCTATCACTGAAGGGCTTTCAACTGATTTGTTTTCCAACACACCAGCATTTTCTATTCTGTAGAAATCTTATCTCAAATCTTTATGAAATTCTTTAGGCTTTCATTACTATCCTATGTTTTTAAATAAAAATGAAAGTTGACATATGTCATGGGTACAACTAATATTTTTAGAGTTCAAAGATTTTTGTTCATTAATTAGTTAAAAGCATATTACAGCATTTCACACGTCATTGATTAAAGAGGTATTTTGTCTGTGTATTCCCAATCCAGCATGACTTTCATGAACATTTTATGAGTTTTTATCCGGTAGGTTTTAGCTACCTTGAGCAAAAGTTCTTTCATGACCCTCAGAGTGGGGTGTCCCCAGAAAGTGAGCTCTGAGTGAGTCATACATCTTAGCCAGCCTTGCTTTGCTCCTGACCTGCTTATCTTATCTGTGCCCTGGATTCCCCACCTGTGAAATGGAGATACTTTTTGCTTGTACAGACCTGACAGGTTTAAAATAAAACAATAACAGAACATCACCTTTAAAGTGTTTCAGAAAAAAAGCTATACATGAATAAAAGTTAACATGCTTACCCACCAACATGAACACATTCGATTTATTGTTGTTACCATAGTTGTTCTGTTTTTGAAAAAAAAATCATCTTAAATTTGATAAAGGTTTTTGAACATGTCATCATACTGGAAGCAATGCCATAGGACAGGATAGTATTGTTTTATTTGATAAGACTTTGTTATAAAATTGAGCACAGAAAACAAAATGAGGGGGCTTTACTGCACTTCAGCACTGGCACAGGAAAAAAAAAAAGAGAATTGTAATCATATCTAATTAGAGTTAAAATAATGTTTCCCTTTGAAATGTTTAATTAGCTCTGTTTTATTACAAAAACATTCTTGATGTGGAGCACAGTGTTGAGCTCGAAGACTCTGATGAGTTAAATGGTGTAAAGTGTTCTCACGCCCTATGTGGAGCAGAACCTGACCAGGAGTGGCTGTTGTCAGCAGATGTCTGGACCACTGGGGAAACCATGATGCTTGCTCCAAGCAGCAGGCCATCATTTCAACCTTTGTTGCTTCCACCAAACCTCCCATTGTGCTTTCAATTTAACAGCATCACAAGCAGACAAAGAAATTTCTTACAATTTGCCCTTCAGTTCAGAGACGAATCCTATTTAAACTTGTCTAACCTCTCATAACATATTAGTTATTGTTGCCAGCCTGCGTGTGTCCTCTGGCAATGAGCTACTCATTCTGGGAGAAGGAGGGGGTGCCCTTCAGTTTGATAAAGCAAGACCAGATTTACTGGCACACTTACAGGAGGCTTGTCTCAAGACTGCAGCAAATTTAATTAACCTTATTACAAATATGGGTTTCTTGATGATTACATCACAATTTGGTATTACTTTGCCTACTGCTGTTTCAAAGTAATATGTGCTTTCTAAAATAGTTTTCTAGAAAACGCCAGGATATTGGAAGTAGTAAACTTATCCTAGCCATGACCTACCCTATCTATGTCCTGTTCTCACACATACATAGGTTATCAACATCTTCTTTCCTGCATCCTATGACCTTACCTCTGTTCTTGCACACTCCACTGAAATAATGGCAAGAGGTAACTTTACATTAGAACTAAAGTGATTCTGGGACAGTAAACATACATCAACACTCTGCTGTGGAAATCGATGCCAGACTAATTGCTGCCCTAAATTCTTACCAAAGAGATGATCCTGATCTGTGAAAAGTACAACGAATTTTATCACTTTCAAAGTGCCAGTCAGGCCTTTTACAAATAAAATGTTCTCACTTGAATACACACACACACACAATCACGCACACAGACAAACCCCACTCAATACGTGTTTATCTTCAAAGAACCTTCCTCTCCCCAATCCCTGAGACCTTCAGTCTCTCTCTAGAAGTAAATTCGGAGCTTGAGAAGGAACATTCCATCTTTCATCCCATCAGACTAACCCTTAGTATGCCCAGGACCAGCGTCAGCACCACCTCCAATGTAATGTGCTTTCCTCTCTGCAAACAGCTTATGAGATTCTTCTTCCTCTAGATTTCCCAGGTTATCTAGGAGAGCAGTAGTAAACTACACCTCACCCACAAGCAACTCTCAAGGTTCCTTGAGCTCTCAAAATATGCATGTAGCCTTTTGCTTATATGTGTTATCAGCCAATGGAAACATCTGTTATTGAGTGCTATTCAGATCTAGGCCACTCACTTGACTTTAGTTGGTGGTCAAAGGTATAAGGCATTCTCAGCCCTGCCTAGAGCCCATTACTGACTATTATGAAGTTTTATTCCCAATAGAAGGTTCTGGTTGGCAGGAAGAAGATACATGCGTAATGCAAAGGCTCAGTAAACAACAAAGAACTGAAGAGTGTTACTGCACCTTCCTCATTGCTATATGGAAAGGTTCAATCACTAAAAGTCTGGCTCATACCACTTTTAAAAGGGTAAAAGAGAAAAATTTGTAAACAAGTTAGGTGTCCAACAGCCAGGGAATTGTTAACCTAATAACTCATTCAGTGCAATGTTTGGGAGGCATTAAAAAAATTTATGAAGAGTTTCTAACAACAGAAAAATGCTTAGGCTTTCATTTTAAGTGAAAAGGGCAGGATATAAAAGTGTATAAACAACATATAAAAAACCAAATACTTGGATGAGAAAAAAATACATTTAAAGTGGTGAAGTAAAGAAGCATTTTTGTTTCTCTTCTTTCTTGGGCTCTGATTTTTCATAATATAATAATACAATTCATAAATTACACTGATAGAATTAATAATAATTATGTTATTAGATATGGAAAATTGGGTATAAACTTTATTTGGAAAATTAAAAAATTATAAAACTTGTCAGAGGATTATAAAAGTAAATCATGCCTTTTGATCAGAAATAAAGTCACAATATATTATTGGATAACCACTGTGAGACTACTTCCTTCATTATTTTCACTTGGTCCTCTAGTATTGGCTGAGTACTTGAAATTGAACATAAATGGGTGTATCCTCCTTGAAAACAGGCATCATCGTACGCTAAGCACAGCTCAGACAAGTCTCATCACAGTAAAAGTCCTCTATAAATATTTGAAGAGTGAATATAATGAACACTATTGATACATATTATTTTCAGGGGTTTCATGCAAACAAATTACACATACATCAACCTATGTAGAGATGAGAATTTAGTCAGCCATACCCTGCTGGTAGTAGGGGGAATAGAAAAAAAACATATTCATAATTGCTAAGACAAATGAAAAATGTTCCCATTTTTTTCTTCTATTATCAAGTGTTTGTCAAACTATTTTGAGTATTTTTAAAGAGCTTCCAAACTTCTTCATTATCAAACTTCTTATTTTTTTGACATTGTTTCCATAATTTTGCTGTCATGACATGAGTTATTTTAAAACTCAAAGTAACTCAACCCACAATGTTGCTCCCACGAAAAAAACCTTTGGGTTCAGAAGTACAGAAAGCAAAATTAGCAATCTAGGGCCCTTTCCTGCCCACATGGTGGCCTTCCTGCAGAAAAACTTCTTTCCTTGAAGCATGTCAAGTCCTCTTCCCTTAAACTGTCTAAAGGACTATGATGAGATGTTTTAGGTTAACAATTAGCTTTCAAACACAAAAGATAAAGTAAGGTGAATGAGTTCAAACCCATCTCTTTTCAATACTTAGTTGAGCTGTGCTAACGAAATGAGACTTTTAATTGGGTATGGAGAGAAAGTACATGGTTAAGCATGGAGCAGTTTGAGGAAGGAGGGCAGGCCTGCACATGGGCATCTGGACAGCGGCTCTAGAGCATCAGGTCCTTGAGAGGTTAGGAGGAACAGTAGCAGGAGGTGACAGTAGATATAGAAAGAGCGGTAACAATGCAGCAAATGCAAATACTTCTATTTTGAATGCTGTTTATGGACGCTATTTCTGCTCAGACCTGATGCTCTCTTTAGTGGTTCAGAGCACCCAACTCCCAGTGGCTATGGGCCTTGTTTCTCGTGCTTAGCACTGTGAATTTTCCTCCGAGCACACATTAGGCTACTAAGGCCTCTTCCACTGTAGGAACATGGAGCGGGAAGTGCCTGGGAGTCGGTGTTTCATCCCGTTACCTGTAGGCTTATAGCCAAAGACTGCCTAGTAGGACAGTGTGAAAGCCCAGTGCCCTTGCCTGAGATGATAACAACCCAGAGGTATAATTTATATTCCACAGCTCCCCTCAAGACTACATCAGGACTTCTGAAAGCATAACCTGCTTGGCCTCTGCCCTTCCCTGTCCTGCCGCCCCCACCCCTTTACTGGTTTCTCCTGGGAGCACTTCCTTAATAAATAACAAGCACATGAATCCTAGTGTCAAGGACTGCTTCTGGGGAACAATAATATAATACAATACACCTTGGAAAGCAAGACTTGTTACCATTTTACTTTTCTCCTCCTTGACATTTTCTGTTCCTGTATTCATTCCTCCCTGATATCAGTTTCCAGAACTTACAACAGATAATTATTCCTAATGTTTATCTGCTGTATGTATTAAAACAGCTGTACCCAGCATAATTCTAGCAGAACTTAATGCTTAAGAAACTATAATACAATTAATTTATGTACTCATATATTTCATTGCAAAGATAAATATACATCTTATTTTCTCAGATACAACAATTAATGAGTTCAATGGCTTACTTCTCAAAAGAAGAGCATAAGTTGTCCATAATAAAAGAAATATAGGAATTTTAAAGGTATTACCATATTCTTTCTACAGCATTAAAAATCTATGCATGGAATAGTTAATTGAGAAGGTAAAACTTGTGAGAAAATGTCTTTTGGTAAATAATGGTGTTTTATCACATGAATTGAGAAGGGTGCATGCTATGAAAACAATATCCAAATTATCTGCAGTGTTCCAAGTTATAGGACATATTCTGTTTTATGTTTGTCCATGATGATTACAACTTATTTCTGCTTAGCATTTAGTACTTCTCTTTGATTAGTCTAATGATATTTTACTTTCTCATTTCCAAGTGTTTATCTTCAGTGTTTTCTTTCCATTTTCATTGTAGTAGAGTTTCATTTTGACTTCATAATCTATTTGATCTCCATTTTTGTTTCATTAGCATTTCTATGGTATCGTGGCATTCCTATACATAGTTAAGCATTTTAAACTTCTTAAAATGTATAAATATTTGATTAAGTAAATATAAATCCAAAACATTAAAATCCTTCATTGAGCTAAATTAATGCCCAGAATTGCATACAATTATTATAACACACTTAAATACTGCACTAAGTTAGTTCAAAGTTCAAGGTAGGTGAAATACCTTTAACATTCCACTCTGCAGAATCTATAAGCTTAATTAAAACAATAATTAAACAAATGCAGAGAAACAAATACAACTTATATAGTCACAACTTGTTTCTCACCTTTCAATGTCAACAGGTATAATTTACTAATCTCTAAATGCTTACTTGTTCAATGGGGCAACGCAACTGTTTTAAATAGATACCTAAATGGGATTTGGTTGGATAGATTGAAGATCCAGCTCATTACAGTTATCCTATGGGTCAATGTACTCTGAATTTCAATAAGTGATTTGCCAATGAATTCCTATTAGACAACCTGTCCTAATAGAAGCCTTATAGGCAGTGCCTTCACATTTTGTAGATAAATAAATTAGTCAGCTAAGTCATTCCCCTTGATACCATCTGTCCTATTAAGGGAAGCACCAGTATTTATGGCATTAAAATCGTATCTCACCCAAGAACAAGAAATAGAGTAATAACATGGCGCCGCACATGGGCTTCTGCCTCCATGAGTCAGAGTTTGCCTCTCCTTCTTTTACACTTCCTTTGTCTCTGTTCTACACAATAGCCATGAATGTTCCAAAATAAGGTAGTATATAGGATTCTGTGTTAGTGTTTACTATTTCAGAGTACCTCATTTTTATTTTACTTTTGTTCCTTTAAAAGGAGAGTCTTGAAGACTCAGGTTAGAGGTGAACTAGTTATTAAAGTAAAGGCAATTTCTACCAAGGTCAGTTTCTTCACAGGAAAAATCCAACACATTTAGAAAACCAAAACCTTTCAAATGATTTTACTAAATTAATTAGCATGTAGGTCATACTAGCATTCCCATAAAAGGGGGCAAGGCAGTAGAAAAGGCGGCATATCATTTTATTGCTTTATACCACAATAGCTAATGCAATAAAAATGTTTATTTAATAAAACAAAAATCCTTGATCCTCCTGGCATTGACAAACCATTAGTACTATATTTTAAAATTTCAGAATTTCATTCTGACCAGGGAAATATTTTACAAAATAAATACGACTGAATTATTGCTGCTCAGGAGGTCACAGGAATAACTAACATTTACCCAGAATGAATACATATTTGAAAAAAAGTCTTAATTTTATAGAAATTCATCAATACATATTTGTAACTTTCTTGGTATGTCAAATCACAGTAATCTTTATGCCATTAAACGTAGCTTTGAGGTATGGGTAACAGTTTAATAAGACTGCTTTTTAGACATACTTTCAAATGGGGTTTGCCCCTTCAAAATAGTCTCCTTGAAAACAACAAACTTATTCCAGTAAATCTATTGTTCAAATTCTTTTTGGAATTTTCACTCAGAAACTGCCACATATTCTTTGAGATACACCTCAAAAAGCAAAACTCCTCTGAAGGCCTATGTGATTTTAGAGAAACAAAAGTCATTTTGAGCCCCTTGCTCTCTACTAACTTAGGTGACAGCATTTATGTCACCTAAGCAAGTATGTCATTTATGTCAGCAAGTACGTTAGGTGACTAACATACTTGGTTAACATTTGGTTAAATTTTTGAGATGTTCTTATCAAATAATGAATCAATGAAGTTGGTTTCTTATATAGCTTTAAAGTTGTTTTGAAATTAAAAACAAAATAATACTTTCAAAATTACTTCGAATAGTAGCCTATAAGGATCAAAGCAATCATTTTGAAAAATGGCATTAATTTGGAGTGATATGATGTGTGTTGGCATGAAATGATTCTCAGGTATATCATGTGCATAGGAATTTGGTAATCTATTATTTCCATTCATTATATCTAATTCCCTGACTTCTTGACAAGTCTTTATTTCATTCACTCACTCATCTATCCATCCATCCATCCATCCATCCACTTAACCATTCATTCCTTTATCCATCAAACATTCTCTGAACTATTACAATGTGTCAGGCTAAATTCAAGGCCAGAAGTTAAGTAAAACAAGGTCCCTGCTTCTCTTCTGTCTCCTTGGATTTTTCCCATAAATATTACAAATTCAACTCTCTGTTCTTAAATAAAAAATTGCTGAAAATAATTTGAATCTTAAGAAAAATATTTATTTTGTAACAAACTCTATTCTAAGAGAAAATATTCAGTGAATTTACTAACTTTGAGATCTTGTGTTTTCCCTGTTACTGTCAACAACTAGAGTAACCTGTCACTTGGTTCTGAAACTCAATAAATTTTTCCCAATGAACTCATTATCCATCAATTAGGCATAGAAATGACTTAATCACCCAGCATCTCATTAACTGAACTCTTAACCATATATTATTTTCTAAGCCTAATTTTAGAAGATAGCATATGATAAAACAAATTCATCTATCAGCTCATTTTAAGGAACACGTTCCAGATAATATTCTGGGATCAGTATCATTCAACCTAACACAACTCATTCAACACTCAAATATGAGTAATTGACAAGGTGAATAATTATGCAGAAACATGATGCTGACAGACTGCAAAGATCTGTAATCCTTATGGATGAAACATTATTCAGAATACAGTACTTGGACGAAAAGTATATTCTCCCCAGTGTTTTCAACAACAACAGATAACGGGAAAAATATTTTTAACCAGGATGTGCCTTTAGGCAAAGCTTCTCATCTCTGGGTATCCAAAAATTAAAGTTCAATACAAATAACCATTACATATAGAAAAGCACAAGCAGAATCTACTAATTACTGCCATATAGATCACTCCCTCGAACAATAGAAAAAAAAAATTAACATCTTAGCTTTCAGCTTTACATGCCACTATTTTCTGTTAGGAAATCATGAAATGATAAAACTGTCAAAGGTATTTTTTTTCTAGAAAGAGGTTAGTAAGTTTTAGTGATAATAAATGAATACATAAGAAATTACTTGAATGTAGTTAGACATGTTAAATTTTACAATATTCCTGAAGTCTTAATGTTCATAACATCTATAGTAGGAAAAATATATAGAAGAAAAAGAATCACTATCAGTCATCATATTTGCCGAGCTCCAAGCCTGATGTACTAAAAGAAGAATGGCCTAGTGACCAGGAGGATAGGGGAGGTTGGAGAAGCTTTAAAAGTGATGTTGCAACATTTACATTGCATTCTATATGCAACATTGGGCCATTAAATATTTATAATCAATGAAGTGACAGAATCAACTTTCTGTTATTAGAAAGATCACTCCATTGGCAGTGATCTTTCTTTTATTAGAAGTGATATTCTGTTATTACAAGATTGATTCAAGAGAAGGGACTGGACGAAGGAAGGTTAAAGATAAAGAAGGCCTGAAGTAAAATCATGATTACATAGAAAGGGAAGAAAGGTTGGATATAAGTGACACTTGAGTAATGTAGTGAGGTCCAACCCCACTGAAGTGTTTTCTTCTGTAGATTTTTATGGCCCAAACTGAACTGACCACACATCAACCTGCATGAGAAGAGTAGCTTAATACAAAAAATTCTAGACAGTAAAGATATGATATGTTTCAAAAGGAAGTTGTAAAAATTATTTTTCAGGGGATGACCTCATAGTACACTGCCTCTAGACACAAACAATAGCATGTGCACACACACTCCTCCCTTTACCTATGGAGCTTTAAAATTAACAGAGTACTATTATATATGTTATTTAATGATCACAACAACCTTAATGAAGTAGATATCATTATCCTCACTTTGCAGCTGAGCAAAGTGAACACAAAGACATGATTCTATTTGTTGGGGACATTCCACTGTGAAGTGGTGGGCTTAACTCCAGATGTTCCTACGCTGAGGTATTGTTATCCTAACACCAAGTTTTAGTCCTGCCTGAAAGGCAGTGGTAGACTTCTACACTTCCAAAGGGCCTTTTCCAGAGGGTCTTAAATCTCCCACTTATTGACCATATAACCTTGGACAAACAAGTTACTTCTTACTGAACTTCAGCTGTCGTGACAATAAAACAGAATAATAAAAGTGCCTTTGGCATTGTCCAGCAGTCTTATAAGTCCCACTCTCCATCAGATATTTGAAGATAGCTACTATATCAAGCAGAAATGTCACATAGGCCATGTTTCACAGATCAGCTTTGAAGTATACAGAGTTTGAAACTCTGAATATACCCATAGGATCTGTTTATTAGAGCAGAGAGTATAAGCATTGAGAAGGTCAGAGCCAAGGCCAGTATGTTTACTATTAATGAACATTAGCTAAAGAGACTAAATAATAATAGTTGGATAGAAATCAATTAAGAAATAATATTATAAAAAGTCAGGAGATGAGAGGTTCAAGTGGTTGGATACACCCAATAGAATCAAATGTTGCAAAGAGGAAAAGCAGAGTGACTACTAATAACATTTTCTTAAAGTAGACAATTTAAAAGTCATGGCTCATAATTTAAATTGTCATCCATAAAACTGATAAAGATTAACAAAGTTAATACACAGTTGTTAGTGAGGGTCCAGGGAAAAGGGAAATTCACACTCTGTTCTTCAGAATGTCCACTGGAGTCATGTAGTATCCAATAACAAAAGCCCCAAAGTGTGTACATACACTTTCCTAACAATTCCAAATTCAAGAAGTCTTCTCAAAAAAGTCAGAACTCTAGAAGCAACCTAAGGATACAAAAATATGGTTTTGAAGAAAAATTTATGGTTAATGGGAAAATTTAATAGAAATCATTGGTAAGGAGAATTCTGGGCAATGCTGAAGACATTTTATTCCCTCAAGAATACTGGCAGTAAACAGAAGGAAAGAGATCGGTAAAAGAGACATTAGAAAAATCTTGAGCCTGGATTGGTCACTGAATTTTTTTTTGACAGTAATTAAGTTTTAAAAATCCTACTAGGGTTCAAGAGTTTTGACATGTTTTCTCCATTGTGCTTTTATAGAAAGAGATACAATAGACCAGAGCCTCTTTAGCAAACAGATCAGGTACTCTAAAATCTCTAGCTAATCTAATGATAAACAAAGGTTGAGAATGCTTCTGGATTAATAAGCTAGTGCATATTATTTAAGTACACTTATCTAGTTTTATCCAAAGTCATCCTCATAATTAGACAAAAGTAATGACTCCTAAGTAAGTCTGATATCAGGGTTGATAGAGAAGACAGTGTTCAGTTGTTGAGAACTTTTGGTCCATAACTATTGGCACAGATTTTCCTCAAATGGATACATTAGTCTAAATGCCATAGAGTAAGGAGAAATAGTAATGAGGAAACTTAACAACTTATTTTCTCAAAGTAACTGTAAACCACCATATTCTGTATTTCTAATTAGGAAAAAACCGTGGCTTACAATTCCATCAGGGCAGAGCCACGATCGTGTGAATATTATCCTTTATCCTCTGGGAAAACAAACTATGGCTAACTTGGTCCATGTAAAGGACATATATTGTTTTGGGAAGGAATCCTTTTTTTACTCCCCTTTTCTCTCAAGGTTATGGGTTACCTATTTTGTCCTGTGGAATCTTTAACAACAAACATACCTGAAGACCCATTTTCAACAGGTTTTGTCAGTTTCAAAGAGCTAAGGAGTCACTGCCTGGTGGGTCATCCACTTCCGACAGAGAAGGGTGACCCAGATGATGGGCACTGATGCCCTCAGCCTTCTTCACTTCAGTAGAATTCATCTGGCCTTTTTTTGGTTTGTTTCCAATGTAGGTAAATGAGCTCTGCAAATATTAACCGGTGTCAGGCATGCTGTGAGCCTCTTCCTAACGAGGCCCTAAGGACGTAAGCTGGAGGAGCTATTTCAGCTGGTCTAAAGGCACTACCTAACAGTCAGACTTTTAATTTCACTTAAGTGCAAATCAGAGAAGGATAGTCCTGGAAGGCTTTTTAAATATGAAGGAATAAACTCAAATCATAGCATAATTCAGTTAATGACACAATAGGGCTTTCAGAAATGACCTAAGGCAAATGATAAAGCAATGATTAAAACAAAAAACAAATCCCAAACTAGTCACACAGCATTATGAAGGTCTGTTATTTTGAAGTGCTCCTTTGCAGACGTGTCTACATTTATCTTAATAAACAGTAGGCCTGATCCAGGATCTGGGAGGTAGCCATATGATAATGATCTTGGTGCCAGACCTATTTGAAGATACTGTATTAGAAAAGATCAAACTTCAGCAAAGTTCTTTTTGTCTACTCATCACACTCCTGCATTTTGGGCCTTCTAATTTTTAATTCCTTTTTTTTTTTTTTGATATTTATTCCGAGCTTTATTCTACAATCTCTGCCTTATAGATTCATGCCGCATTATCTGGCTTGGGTCATAAGCTCCTAGAATACGAGGATTCTATCAGTCTAAATGGCTTTAAAGAGTATGAAAACAGCATGGGGCATAGGACTTCAAAATGTTTTTCTGATGATGATTAATCTCTTCTGAAAAGTTAGCAGCAGCCAATCAAATGATAAAAATAATAATTTTTTCTTTAGCCTCTTGTTCAGTGCTTTTATCTGCTTTAAAAAGTATATGTATGGGTCTCTCTCTCTCTTTCTCTCTGTCTTTGCCCATTTCTTTATCTAGCTCCATATTTCTCTCTATATCCCCAGGCAGAGAAAAGCAGCAGAATGCCCTGGTTCTGCAATTTGTGAAAAAACAAAAAGGCAGACATCATTCAAATAATTTATCAAAATTATTTCAATAGAAGAGAAATTATACGGTATAAATTAAATAGTATAGTATATGATACAGGATACTTCAGTACTTTATTACAAAAATAATCATATATATTTGCCCATGGAACAAATAATCCTCTACTTATGGTCTCAGAGAATGATCTATAGTGAGGAAATATTCCATAAGTTTGTACCTTTCACTCCATTTTCTTCAACAAGTCCCCAGATACACAATAATACCGTTTTCTATGACACAGAACACACTGGCTGTTATGAGACAGAAGTAAAATACCCATCAGTAGAACTGTAGCTGATGTTTTATTGTTCAAACATACACATTTCAGAGTATATAAAGTTAAAGCTTTCTTCCTTAAATATTGTCATGTCTAAACATTACAATAATATATGCTTTCCTTTTTAATTAAGAAAGCTCCAACATACATATATATTTTATCTAATTTCTCACTCCTAGGCATGTAATATTCACTTTTGAAACAAAAATAATCATTTAACTTATTTACCAAGGAGAAAAATAGTAATGTTGTCTATTTAACTGTATGCCCTGTGAAATTCAGTTAAAGGAAAAAATTGTAAATTAGATTCACCTGTCCCAGTTGCTAATCACTCTGGTGTCCCTGAATGGAAACAAGTACTTAATTTATACCAAATCACTATCAATGAGCTAATTATCAAGTCACTACTTGTGTATAAGCATTCATGACAAGAAAGTGAAAACTGAGGAAATAGATTGGCAAATATTTAAGGGTTACTTTTCACTTGTGTTATCTAAATGCTTCCTACCTCAATATATTATTGCTTCATTCCCCTACTTTTCTGTTTTAAATTATGAATTGTGGGTAAAAAGTGGTTAATGTGTCATTTGTTTAAATGCTTTCAAAAAAAGAATTCTTCTTTATGACATATTTTCCTGTTATATTGAATGGAACTAATGGCAATTTGTTCTCATTATTTTACAAGAAGGTATCTTTGAAAGTAATATATTTTTTAAAAAGTCCAGAGTGTAAGAAAGCAATATAAAGTATGTTTAAAGGCATTTTTTTAGTATACAGGAAACTAAATATATTTCTAGATATCTTGCAAACACCTTTTCCTTGAATCATTTATTTACAATGGGTACATAAACACAGTAACATTCACATTTTCAAAGTGGTATTTCAAAAACTTTGTGCATATGCCTAGTTAACATTTGCCTTATTTCTGTGAGGTAAAATAATACCTATTATTAAATGTTTTGATATCATGTGTTCCCATGACAACATAATCAGTTTTTCAATATAACAAACATTTGCTGAGTGCCTAGTATGTATAAAGCATGGAATTATGGGCTATGGAGCTTATAAAATAAACACACACAGTTCCTGCCCTGAAGATGCTTAAAACTGAAGGATTATTTATTTGCATTTATGAATCCCACAAATGTTTCATAAACCATAAAAATTCCTATTTTATTTCTGAAATGATATTCTATATCAGACTATTCTAGATTATTTAGATTTACCAGTCCAATGGATTCAAATATTGCTTTTAGAAATTCAATGCCCTCATTTTCACTGTTTTTATTCTAATGGATCAAAATAACTATAAGTCAAAATGTATGTGACACTTCTATTGCATAGTTTTTGATTTGTGAAGGAGTACAAGATAACTGTATTTCTTACAGTCTGAAAGGAAGTATAGAGGCACATCAAAGGACAGGACTGAGAAGGGCATTCCAGGCATGCAGAAATACATAGGAAAAGATGTGTAGGTTGATATGGCTGGAGTTTGGCAGAGCCAACGGTGGGGAAGAGGGGAAGAGGAAGAAGAGAAAGAAAGGGCTGTAGAAGATCATCTTTAAAGGGTAGTAGTTATTAGTTTAACAAATCAAGACTTTTGAAGCCATGCTAAGGAGTTTATATTTAATCTAAAAATTAAGGCAGGTCACCAAAGGATGTGATGGAAAATAGATATATATATGAAATATGTGAGATTAGGGAAGATGTGACAAACATGTAGAGGATGTTTTGGAAAACAACCATACTAGAAGCAGCGATATGTTTAAAGAGATAGTACAATAACCCAGGAAAACATCATTAAGGTAAATGAACTGGGGTAGTGGAAGAAGAGACATAGAGGAGGAGCTGGGCTGGAAAGAAACGTAGAAAGGAGAAGGGAAAGAATACGATGACACTGGATGTGGGGAAGGGTGGTGGGTTGGGAATGACAAATGGGTTTTGGCTTGAGTGCCATTTGTAAGTAAGAGATGGAAAATACAAGAAGAGGAGTGACTTTTATGTGTTTCTTCATAGAAGAGGGAGAGAGTAGTGTGGAATCATGAATTGTTTGAGACATGCTATGTTTGAGTTGTCTGCGAGATATCCAAGTGAAGATGTTCAGCCAGCCAATGAATATACAGACCTCCCGTTCAAGAGAAAAGTGTGAGGTGGAAATATAAATGTGTGTGTCATTAGCATATACGTTGATAAATGAAATCTTGAATGTGAATGAGATTCTCAGGAAATATAGAGCAATACAAGAAACAGTGAGAGAGAGCGAGCATTAAAACAACTTTAGCCCCCCTAATTTCCCAAGCCTTACACTAATGATAAGATCACCTAAGTTTTGATGAGCAATTAACTCCATTCAGGTCGCCATTATCTATAGCACCTCTTCTTTCTCATTGATATTTGCCAGTGATTTCAAAACTCAGTCCTATTTTTGCTTATTTTAATTTTGTCCCATTTACTATCACCCAAAATCATGTTTTTAAGACTTACGCATGCTATTGCACATAAAGCTAATTCATTCATTTTAACGAACACGCATTGTTTGCATGCTCTTTGTTTACTCATTCCTCCCTTGGTAAATATTAGATGATTTCTACTTTTTTGCTACCAAAAACAGTGTTGTCTTTTTGTCACCTCTTTGAGCACATAAGCAAAGTGTTCTATGAGGAGGTATTTACTTGGAACTGGAATGATTCAGTGCTCAGAATGCCCATTTATATGATTTCAGGAGAAAAGGAGTGAGATGGAGGGTTAGTGAGTGAATACAAAAGAGGAAAATATGCTTTTGAAGGAAATAATATATATGAAAATATGTTTAAGCTGTAAAATGTCATTTGGATGCTAGCTATCATTAACATTATTTTCTTTCTTTCTAAACCAACTTTATTTTATTCAGTTCTTGTCTGTGTAATACGACAAGGACCAAAATGTTACTTATTTCCCAAATGACATTCTATCTTTAGGAGGATAACGATAGTTGTATGATTTTTTACAAGGAAATCATGGTGAAATAAATTTGGGATGTGATACATAATATGTGCATTTCCTGCAGTACTGAAATTTATACTAAATATATTAAAAGCTCCAAGGATTGTTATTTAAGTTTGTTTAACTCAGTATTTGACAAACTTATTTTACCTAGGAACCTCTTCCAAACACACCTATTAACAATTTATAGAACTAGTGGCCTGTGGAGCAGGTTGGAAGAGATAAGCTGAATTCAGAATTCACTGCTGAGCTGATAAAACCTTCAGAAGCAGCACTGTGATTTCTACTGGCCCTTCTGGACTTGCCCCTGGTAATGTGATGTTAATGTGTCCCCTTCCACTCTTTCTCCGGACTCTGCCACATTCTAAGAATTCTACTTGAGAATATATCACAAAGCAAAATGATTTCTGTCTCTCAATGCCAAATCTTAAATGAGTCTACAGAAGGTACACATTTTCTTTGTTTTACTAAAAACAGCAACGTATTATTCTAAACATTTATTTTGTTTCGATCTAGTCCAGCTATTGAGCTCTTTATTTTCTTAACAAACATGACATAGTGCTTACTATATGTCAATCACTATTTTCTTTACTTATATACATCCCCTCAACCGTCCTATAAGAGTCTAATTATCCCCAGTTTGCAGAAGGGCAAGGTGGGGCTGAGAGAGAGAAAGGGAAAGAGCCAGGGTGCAAACCCAGACATTTGCTGGTTCCTCAACGTTCTCACTGCCATCTGGCCCCCAAAGGCAAAGCACAGACTGCCATCTCTTAGAGGAAAGGATGTTCCTTGTTTTGGCATCACCTCAATTCTTTTTTTCTTTTCAAAGAAGGGAAGGCAAGGGGCTGAGGGGAGGGAAACAGGGATGCATTTCTGTTTTCTGGTATCATTATACATTATTTAAAATTTATGCATATTTTGGAAAACTAGTTGACCTGACAAGAATAAGACAGTCTAAACTTGTAGAGTTAAACAGTCCCTCCATGGTGAGATTTTAGACTGATTCAGAGTTGTGTTAACCTAATGACTGACACACTTTATTGTGGATTGTAGTAAATAACAACAAAGCTAGGTTTTATGATGCTTTTCTCCTACTAAATGTGTGTCACAGCCATTTACAAACCCATTTGGTGCAATTCTTATCCTTGAGGTTTATTTATTTGCTTTTTAAAATATATTGCATTGTCTTATTTTAAAAAAATCGTCAACAGAAATAATTGCAAGGAATTGTGGAAAAGATCAATGGCCTGTAATTTGTATTTCAATAGAGATACTAAAATAAGCTGCTTTTATTTTTTATTTATTTTAGAGGATGGTTTCAAAGCCTTCTTTTGACAGCTACCACAACCCTATACTGAAGCAGGAATGGCTTGGAAAAAATCTCACTCTCCCAAAATATCAATAAAATGAGCAAGAAAAATTAGCTTCACAGCAGGCCACTTTAATGAGACACAGAAGAAAATTGGACAAGGCAGATAATATGATGGCTTTTGGAATATAATAGAGAATAGAATTAGTAAGTATAAAAGAAGCCCCATCATTGTATAAACCAAACGCCCACGGTGGGAGGAAAATCTTACATATCTATGAAATGATGGGCAGGCGTGCATGTGCCTGTAGGTCAAAGGATACATTCTTTTGTATGTATTTCTGTATGTGGATGCAAATGTGTCCATATAGATTATTCCATGCAAAACCTAGTATGCTATCCCTATCACAACAACAAATAAACATTATTACTACAACCCAACTTTCCAAAAAAAAAATAATAATAAGATAGGGTAGGTGTAGCTCTTGAATGTAATGTAACATTTCCTAAGTAGAAAAATCAACTGCTTTCAGATGTGAAACTACATTGTAGAAGAAAGTGAAGTGATTCTTATAGTGAATAGCGACAACCACATAAAAATGAAGGATCTCTTAGGATTAAAAGGTCCTTCTCAAGTAAATAGAAGTCATTTTTATTATGACAGACATAAAGGTCACCAACTTTTGCTATATTCTCAGTGGAAGAAAATAAGGTACTGATTTATAAATGTATTATTTAAAATTTCACATGCCTAACAGACACATCTTATAGAAAACTTCATGAGATATTTTTAAAGTCTTCGGGAAAAGAAATTCACTTCAAATCATTATTGTCAAAATCCATTATCAACTCTCAAGCAGGTCATAAAGACTCTGAGCTATGTCTTCAAAAATTCAAGCTGTTATATAGTAAATTCTCACTCCAAATCAGTTCCTCAGAGATAGTGTTTTAAGTAAGTGATACTTCAAAAGAAACCACTATCCACAACTGTTTTACTCGGCCATGATCTTCATAGTGTTTACAGGGCATTAGCATCTTCCCACACAATGTGTTTTGGTTCCTGTCCTCGTTCATTCATCCAACATGTATTTTACATGTGTTGTCCAGCACTAGGCTAAAGATAGAAAATTAGACAAGAAATGAGAAGTATTAAAAGTGTAGTGGCTCTGGAATTAAAAGGACCTAGATTAGGATGCCACGTGCGATGCTGCATAATGGTAGCCTTGAGCAAATTATTCCCCTCAAAGATATCAGGGGTCTTCTAGCCGTTTGTTTATAAACTTTGTTTCACTACAGATACATAGTAAATGATGGATCTGACTGATCTAAGCTATGTCATGCCATCCTCGCCACCCCAATCTCAAGGCTGTCCAGCCTTATACTTGTCCAGCTATTTGGAGGGCTGGCGGAATGAATTCGTTAGGTGTATTGTTGCCTGAACCACAAAGGGCGTCCTGGGAGAAAGCAATAACGGAAGCTAATAAACTAAGTGTAAGGATAATGAATTTTTTTTCAGAGGAGAGTGGCACCTTTAAGTACAGCAGGTTTCATAGCTTAAGATTGTTTCCTGACCCCGCCGTTTTTCTCAGGGGCTCGTGTCAGAGTCCTTGGGAAAGGGAAAGACAAAAATGAAATAAAAGAGTGGTTTCACAGCGTTCAGGAGGAACATTGGAAAACACAAGGCAGCTCTCCTCTGCCATCCGCAAAATAGCAGGCAGCGCTAGTGCAAGGACAGGGAACTTGCGCCACATCTGCAAGGCAACTGTAGGGTGGCCGGTGACATTTCTGCATTAGTCAGTGCAAAGGAGGAGAATGGGGCAAATGCCACAGAACAAACCAGGCGCCATGCTTGTGAACACTCATGAGACCCAGAGTCCGGTAGGAAGAAGACAGGAGTAAGGGCAGAAGTCACTGCTCTTCTCGATAAGGAAAACCTGATTTTACCCTCAGACATACACAGAACCAGGAGAAGCAGACTTAAAATGTGCCCTTAGGACCTCTGTCACTTGTGTTCCACGTGTTTCTGATGGCATTTGCAGCCCACTGCACACCCCGTCGGCCCACACATGTACCTATTTGAATTTGAGTGATAAAACTTGAAAACCAATGAGATTTATAGTACTTGGTTTGCATTTAAACAAAAAGTCTCCATGATTTGTAATAGATAAATTATCAAGCGCATTATGAATACATATGGTACAAAATTATCTCCCCAATTGTCAGAAATAATGAAATTTGGCTTTCAGTAGTGTAGTCAAAGTGAAGCACTGGATTCAGAGGACACAGAATATTGCGGTGCCACTAATGAGACGCCTTGGCCAAGCCACTGCTGCACCTACCTACACTACTTCATCTACAACATCGTTATAAATTCATGTGGAATTGGGCAATAATTGCCCCTTCCCCAAACCACCATTACTAGAAATGTGGCTTAGCAAATAGCTATCCCACTGAAGCACCATTTCTAGCTCTTCTTGCTCTAGTGGGCTTCCAGAGTACAGTGGTCCTAGGTAGGCTTGGTAGTTAAACTAGGTGCTGTAGCAATGGGGCAAAATGGACACTTTGATTTATTCCCTACTTATTTTACTCTAAGCCTTTCCCTCTGCTCCCAAGATCTATTTTTTTTTTTTTTTTTTGCTAACTTCTAATAGTGATTTTAGTTTTTTCTTTTATTTCATTGGCCAACAGTTTTTTTTGTTTGTTTGTTTGTTTTTTTTTTTGGAGACAGAGTCTCGCTCTGTCACCCAGGCTGGAGTGCAGTGGCCCAATCTTGGCTCACTGCAACCTCCGCCTCCCAGGCTCAAGCAATTCTCCTGCCTCAGCCTCCCGGGTAGCTGGGACTACAGGCACATGCCACCGCACCCGGCTAATTTTTTGTATTTTTAGTAGAGACGAGGTTTCACCATGTTAGCCAGGATGGTCTCGATCTCCTGACTTCGTGATCCACCCGCCTCGGCTTCCCAAAGGGCTAGGATTACAGGCGTGAGCCACCATGCCTGGCCAGCCAACAGACAGTTTTTAAAGTGTTGACTATGATTTGCTCAGAATTTTATGAGGCAATGGAGAAAAACGAGACAGAAACGGCTTTCATATGCGCTTTCTGAAGGAAGCAATCCTAATGCAATGATAACACTGAATGTTTAGCATGGGAGTGTGAATAGGGGGCTAGAGAAGCATATAAAGAAGGGACCCTTTGGCCAGGTGCAGTGGCTCATGCCTGTAATCTCAGCACATTGGGAGATTGAGGCAGGAGGATTGCTGGAGCCCAGGAGTTCGAGGGCAGCCTGGGCAACACAGCAAGACCCTGTCTCTATTTTTAAAAAAAAGAAGAAGAAAGGACCCTGACGCACTCTGATTGAGGGGGAAAGTTTCCATTTTCACAGAGAAAGTGGCATTTAAGTTGAGTCTTGAAGTTAGGGTTAGAGTTTATGAGGTTTTCTACAGAGAAAGACAAAAACAAGCAAAAGGCAGAAAATGTGCATAGATGCTAGAGAATATGAGAACTTGCCACTTTGAGGAATGAGGGATAATGTACTATGGCTGGAGAACTGTGTGTGCGTGTGTGTGTGTGTGCGTGCGCGCGTGTGTGTCTGTGTGCTGTAAGCAGGCTTGGGGATTGGAAGTAGTGACAAATTCCGTAAACTAAATTTGCATTTAAATAAACCCTGGAGAGTCCCAGGACTTCAAGCAGGGGAGTCATAGAGTAACACTTCCTTTTAGAAAGTTTCAGTTTGGGCCGGGCGCAGTGAGTCACGCCTGTAATCCCAGCACTTTGGGAGGCTGAAGCAGGAGGATCCCTTGAGCCCAGTAGTTTGAGACCAGCCTAGGCAACATGGTGAAACCCTGTCTCTCCAAAAAAACTACAAAAATAAGCCGGGCATGGTGGTGCATGCCTGTGGTTCCAGCTACTCAGGAAGCTGAGGTGGGAAAATCACCTGAGCCCAGGAAGTCGAGGCTGCAGTGAGCTGTGTTCGTGTCATTGCACTCCAGCCTGGGTGACAGAGGGAGACCCTGTCTTAAGAAAAAAGAAAAGAAAAGAAAGATAAGAGAAAGAAAAAGGAAGTTTCAGTTTGGATCGGAGGAACTGAAAGAGGGAAATTAGTGAGAAGTGTTGTTCACAGCAACAGGCAAGGGATTCCCTCCTGGCAGAAAGAGAAAAATCTCTGAGGGAAAAGCAGAAAGATGCAGAAAGTTACTGTCCCCACTGTGAAGAGGATGTGAGATTTTAAACATCAGAAATTTCAACTCAAATAAGTTTGAAAGAAGCAAACAGGTCCAATAAAAGAGAGTCAATTAGGCTATGAAAGCAGAGTTTTCTCAAGAGAATGAGAAAGGTCATCAATTCCCCAGGGACAAGGATGCTAAATCTTTATTATTTTCCCCTCAATGAAACTTTATTATTAAAAGCACCCTAGGAACCTTTTCATAAATTAGGTGCTTCTGGTAGAAGTCTCACTTTTTATTTTAATTTCCTACAGCAGGAATTCCAGAAGTTAAAAATCATGTTTACTGGGAGGAAGGGGTAAAACCTAGAGAGATTAGGAAGTTGAATTCCAAAAGGGTGGTCCAGAGTATTCACAATCACACTCCCGTGCCATCTTCCTCTCCTTTCACCTCATCTAACCCATCGCATCGTCCCACCCTCTCGCACATGTGTACACTTGAGTTTTGAGCCATAAATCTTGCAAACTCTGTCAACTGACAGCCTAATAGCATGAAAGAAGTATCTGCAAACAAGATGGTTTCGAGCCATTGCTCATGACCCCGAACAAATCAGGGCCTGGTTCCCGTTGAAGTTTGGAGTCTCCCCTTTAATCACTTCACTGGACAGACTGATGTGACACTTAAGAAATAAACTAAAAGGTCTGTTTTCCAGCTATCTGCTGGTCTCATTGACTCTTTCCCTAACAGTTAAGTTGAGCTTGTCATATTTTGAGACCTAATCAATGTATAAATGAGGGGCAGCTGATACGCTGGCCTTTTCTGCTCATATTAGTTATTCACAAGGAATGCAGCCTTTTCCAGCTTTCTACCTGGTAATCAGTGAGGAGTATTCATATAGCAACATGGTGAGGTTAAGAGCTAAGGCCATGGTTATCAATCTTGGGTGCACAGAAAAAAATTGCCTGAGGAGTTCAGTAGTTGCTGGGGTCAGGGCGGGGGAAGTGATATTTTAATATTTTAATACAGATGCTGGGGCCTTAAACCAAACCTAATAAATTAGAATTTCTGGGTGTGAGGCTCAGGAATTTTTATGAACGTCCACTGTAAATTCTGATGTTCAGTCATAGTTAGGAATAAGAAGTTATCCCGGATATTCATCCAGTTACTACCAGCCGTGGAAAATGATGATCCACAAAGCAATGTTTCCCTGGGAGCAGCATGCAAAAGTGCAATTTCCTGGGAACCACTGAGCCCTACTGAATCAGAATCTTGGGCAGTGTGACCCAGAAATCTAAGGGTGCTTTTTTTGTTTGTTTTTTTGTTTTTTTTTTCTGAGACAGTCTCACTGTGTCACCCAGTCTGGAGTACAGTGGTATAATCTCGGCTCACTGCAACCTACGCCTCCTGGGTTCAAGTGATCCTCCAGCCTCAGCCTCCCAGGCAGCTGGGATTACTAGTGTGCCCCACCATACCTGGTTAATTTTTGTATTTTTAGTAGAGATGAGGTTTTGCCATGTTTGCCCAGGATGGTCTCGAACTCCTCAGCTCAAGTGATCTGCCCACCTTGGCTTCTCAAAGTGCCGGGATTACAGGTGTGAGCCACTGCACCCGGCAGAAATCTGAGTTTTGACAAACTTCTTAGATGAGTTTTAGATTCACCACCTTTGGAGAAACACTCTAAAGGACTTACAAATAGCTGCTTTGTTTTCTTACTATGCCATTTCTAGCAGATGTTATCATTACTTGGGGAGATAGAAGGAGTCTGGGAGAACTCAGTGAGACCAAACCAATTCTTGTTCCAGACATTAGTAAGAATACAGAATGAGTGGGGGGGGGAACCCACAAAACAAAAACAAGGCGGAAATAATTTTTCTGCCTTAAGAAAAGAGAACTTTGGGAGGCTGAGGTGGGCAGATCACCTGAGGTCAGGAGTTTGAGACCAGCCTGACTAACATGGTGAAACCCCACCTGTACTAAAAATACAAAATTAGCCAGGTGTGGTGGCTGGTGCCTGTAATCCCAGCTGCTCAGGAGGCTGAGGAAGGAGAATCGCTTGAACCAGGAGGCAAAGGTTGCAGTGAGCCAAGATTGTGCCGTTGCACTCCAGCCCGGGCCACAAGAGTGAACTTCCATCTCAAAAAAAAAAGAAAAGAAAAGGGACACTGCTTAATGGAGAAAATAATCACCAAGCACCCAATGAACAAGATTACAGAGCCACAAAAAGAAAAGTGCAGAAACAGGAAGGGGGTACCTTGCAGCCAGTCTTCTTGACAAGTCATACTTCTGGAAGTTCATGTACAGAGACTAAAAGCTATGTTTTGATTATGAGGCATCCCTTCACAGGGCCTTACCTCAAAGCTCAGAAGTGTATTCCAGAGTTGTCCGAAAACTACATGGAGCATGCAAATATTTTCAACATTTGTTAGTTATATTTGGAATCATACTGTACATGGCAATTAAAGTTAAATATTCCTTCGCTTCACCTCATATTTTGTCTTTTTGGCATCCATGTTATTCAGTCCTCTAACATCTTTCATGTAGTGGGAACAATTTTCCAGCAGTTTTGCACATAGTATTTTCAGTTCAACTATAAGGATTGTGTAATATCTAAGTGGGGAACCCCATAAAAGAGAAAAGCAACCCAAAACAAAAATAAAACTGGGACATACCAAAAAAGTACGATGGATATTTGGGGTGACAGTGTTTCTCTGGAAGCAGTACTCTACTCTCAGAAGCTCTGTTTCCACAAGGGTGGAGAAACTGTCAGCTTCCTGTGCAGTAAGCACAGTGCATGCACGCTGGGAGCAAAGATCTACAGTCTTACACAAATACACACAGACACACCCTCATCCCTTGTATCCTTAGGTTATAAAATGCCACTTATAATCTATAAAATAGACTACATATATATCATCTATGTCATATATATTTTATTTGTATGTGTGTGTATATCTGTAGATCTATATACCTCTATCCATATTCCTCACATTCATTCCCTGTCCATCTCCAGTGGGCTCTACACAAAGACACAAGATTTGTGGAGCCAACACGAGAGGGGCCAACTGCCTTAGACCAGAGTATGGACTGTAAGATACATCAAGAAAATAAGGAATGGGTATTATCATTATCTCCTGACTGTACTAAAAATAAAAATGGTTTTCACTAGAGAGGGCTTCCCTAATGCCACAGATTTTGTATCTAGGGGCCTCTCTTACAAAAGGGACCCGAACAGCCAACTGGGCAATGACTCCTCTATCATGAAGTGGGCTAGTTTCTCTTCTCAAGGCAAGGCCCATCAAGATCCATTAAAAAAAAAATGAAACTCTTGAGACAGCAAAAATTGAGATTAAAATCTAAACGATAAGGCTGGGTACAGTGACTCACACCTGTAATTCCAACACTTTGGGAGGCTGAGGTGAACAGATTACTTGAGTTCCAGAGTTCAAGACTAGCCCGGGCAGCATGATGAAATCCCATCTCTACAAAAACTATAAATTAGCTGGGTGTGGTGGTGCATGACTGTAGTCTCTGATACTTGGGAGGCTGAGGTGGGACAATCGCCTGAGCCCAGGAAGTTCAGACTGCAGTGAGCCATGATCATACCACTGCACTCCAGCCTGGGTAACAGGACGAGACCCTGTTTTGGGGAAGAAAAAAAAATAACAAAACAAAACAAAATTCAAAGATAAAAATGTCGGGGTGGGGGAGTACATTTACAGTATAAAGCACACACATTTAAGTTTTCAAAGATGAGTAGAGAAACAGTATATGTTAAATAATATTTAAATACATAGTACTTTGTCTTAAACTAAATCATTGGCCACATGTGAATGTCATTACAGCCTGCTGTGGTTTAAGAAGCCCGCTACAATGAGCAAATTGCCTACAATGTGATTGTATGGCTGGTGCAAATAATCATATGGTCTATGACCCATGGACTAAAGAGGGTTTGAGTTTAAATGAAGACAGTCCACTGCTACATCCAAGCTCCTCACTGCAGTGGGAGTCTGCTCCTGTTCCTGGTATTTTCTTACATACATTGCACTAGGGGCAAAGATGTGGTGGCGAAGTGGAAGTCCAAGAGAATCTTGAACTTAGATGTCCTGGATTTCCCATATTTTGAATTCCCCATCCCTCCTAACACTCTAGTCCCTGGATCTGCAGCTTCAGGTTATAGACAAACAGCTTATTTCTGATGATTACTTGTCCACCAATAGACCAAAGCATTGTTTTAGGATGTGGTAATTTGTAGTACTTCATACTATGTTCAGAGCAGTCAAGTTTTGTTTTTTGTTTTTTTTTTTTTTTTTTGTCATCAATTTAGTTTAGATTTGGTAACTGAATGGAATAATCACAGGTCACTTCTTTATTCAAATCCATGTTGTGTTTGAAATACATCTTAAACCAAGGTAAGAACAAAATAACAGCATTGCTTGGGCCTTTCTTATGGGCTAAGGGATTATTAACATTATCTCACTCATTCTTCTCACTCACATAATTAGGGAGGTGCTATTACTACCTGCATTTTTTAGCTGAGGAAACTGAAGAAATGTAGAGGGTAGAAAACTTGCTTAAGATCCCATAGCTGGCTTATACATGTCAGAGCCTGACTTCAAATATAAGCAATCTAATTCCAAAGACCCCTTTTAACCACCATATTTCTATGTCTCATCTAGAAAGTACACTCAGAAAAATCATCATAAATACCCTAGAAAATGCAAATGTGATGTTTAAATTCACTGTGATACTTTATGGGGTATTGTCTAAACAGAAAATCATAGGAGCCTGAGTGCCAGGATAATCTAGAAATAGATCTCAAGGTTTCTATCTCCATAATCGTCTCTCTACATTTTGGACTTAGAGCCATGCTACTATTTTCATATTTAAAGGGTTGTTTTTATATTAAAGTTATGACTGTACTCAACTCTTTCTCCCATAAGTATATTCTGTGGGAGACTCTTCAGATAGTGCTCATATAGATAATGGTATAAAATTTTAGCTTGAGAGCTAAACAATAGGTCCTATTTTCGTTATTCTCTTGGGATAATAAAATTAATAACACTCACAGGGTCACTAGGCTCTTGTCAAACCACTTGGGATAATAAAATTAATAACACTCACAGGGTCACTAGGCTCTTGTCAAACCAGTCATTGAGTCTTTCTCATTCAAAAGATGCATTGCGATAATTGACCCAGGACTTTGTTTTAGTGTGTGTGTTTCAATAGGATCCTTACCAAAACATCAGAATAATACCAATCCTGAATAGCTTTGCCATTTGTTTCAAGGATGAACATAGCACTTTAATTTTCCAAACAGTGTGTCATTGCTACCACTCTCCAGGGCAGTCCAGGACAAAGGCAGTGAAACTGAAAACACTTGAAAATTCACAGTCATCAGTCAACAGCATTAATTGAGTGTCCATGTGGTTTGGAACCACAGTAACAAAGTTTCTTTACAGAAGTCTCAGTTCCAAACACTCAGTGTCATCTTGAGATCCCATCGGCCAACTTTCAGTTTGGAAAGTACAAACACCTTAGAGTAACAAAACAAGAGCTTGACTTTTTTTTTTTTTTTTTTTTTCCCATTTAAGCACTGCAAGTATTTATTTTTACAGATTCTATTGTTCTTTGGTGAAAATATCATGAAATGAAGATTCATTAGGAAAAGGGTAACATAGTGAAGAAGTTCCAGGTGCAGAGGCCTAGAGAAGTCATTCAAAGCACTGCAGTGAGCTGTTTAGCAAATGCTGTGTCCAAAGCAGCAGCCAATACTCAGCTTCTGCCTGGAGTTCCAAGCAGAACTGGGGAAGCTCTGTGCCAGAAAATACACTTTTTCAAGATAAGTGAGAAATACAGATTTTTATGTGACAGTTACTGATGTTTAAAGTTGGCAATTACTTCAAATATGATTTTTACAAACATTATGTAGGCCAGATTTGGCCCTTTGGTTAAAAACCCTTGTGAAAAGTATTTTAGATAAAAAAAAATCTTGTTTTCCTCCTAAAAACCTTTTATAGAAAAGAAAGCTAAGTTGTCTGGCACCTGCTAAGTGCCAGGCATTGTTCTATATGCTACTGTATAAAGTAGAATGAATTATTTCTATTGCACAGATGGAGAAACTAAGACAGAGATCAAGCAATAGTCCTATGATCACTCAGCTAGTGTATTCATCTAAGTCTGCCTGTCTTCAAAGCCATGTTTTCCCCCATGATACCCATCTTTGACAAGTTCCAGATAGATAGAAACAGAATTGGAGGACGATTTCAGTATATATAACCATCTGAAATAGAATTTGATACAAAATCAAGGTAAAATATATGGGATTTACCATCTGCAGAAAAAATGACAGAGAAATGGTTGGTCACATAAAAATGATATCAGCGGGCTTGTTACCTCTAATTAGATATCTCAAATGTTATCAAGGAAACTAAAACATAACTAACTGAAGTTCTTTAAACTGTGAGCTAAATAAACATTTAACATTGTAGAGCACTCTTTAAATATTCGAACAGTATCTAGAAAACCAAAACGCAAAAGAACCAAAGGAGAAGAATCAATTTTTGTAACACTTTCCATGGAAAAGGTGCCCTGGTATGTTACCTTGACATTTCATTGCACACAGATGGTCCTGACTTAAAATAGTTCGACTTACAATTTTTTTGGCTTTACCACAGTACAAAATGATATGCATTCAATAGAAATCATACTTTGAATTCTGATCTTTTCCCAGGCTATCAATATGTAGTAGGATACTCCCTTGAGATGATAGGCAGTGGTAGTGAGCTGTAGCTCCTAGTCAACCACGCAACCATGAGGGTAAACAACTAAGACTCTGCAATGCACTGTGTTGCCAGAGCTTTTCGGATATTGTATTTTGTGTTTTTGCATCCCATCATGTATACAAAATGCCCATCTGTGTCTCCTGATTCTGGTACAGTATTCAGTAAATTAGATGAGATATTCAACACTTTATTTGAAAAGGCTTTGTGTTAGATAATTTTGCCCAGCTGTAGGCTAATGTAAGTGTTCTGAGCACATTTAAGGTAGGTGCGGCTAAGCTATGGTGTTCATAGGTTAGATGTATTAAATGCTTTTTCAATTCCTGACATTTTCCACTTAGGATAGGATGTGTTTATCAAAAGGTCAACCCACCCATTGTAAGTTGAGGAGCATCTGTATTCTGGTCTATTGTGAGTTAATGAATTAACTCTTCTGAGGGAGAGAAAGGCATATTAGGCCTTATAATCTTTTTTTTTATTAAAAAAAAAAAAGAAAAGAAAAGTTATGGGACCTCACTCCATTGCCCAGGTTATGCAGTGGTAGTATCATCGCTCACTGCATCCTCGACCTCCCAGGCTCAAGCAATCCTCCCACCTCAGCCTCCCAAGTAGCTGGGATTATAGGAATTATAGGATTATAGGAAAAGTTATGCCCAGGTAACTTTTAATGTTTTGTACAGATGGGGTCTTATTATGTTGCCCAGGCTGGTCTCAAATTCCTAGGCTCAAGGCTCAAGGGATCCTCTCGCCTTGGCTTCCCAAAGGAATAAGCTATCATGCCTGGTCATTAGTTAAAACCATTTTACGGCTTCTCCCTCCATGTTCATGAAACCATCTTCATAAACATAGCAACAAACAGCCCAAGGAGACCTTCCTACTGATGAGATTTCTAGTTATCTTGGTAATTAAATGTCTCAACTAAATATATATATGTCTTGTAAATTCAGTTAACATGAATTAGTCCCCAGAATCCTGTAACTCCTAAAATAACTACTGCAAATAAGCTTCTAAGTCCTAAGTCTAAGGACTTGTTGTGGCTGTACAGACCTTTCCCAGCATTCGTTTAGCCCAGTCTGGAAGTTTACAATCCCTTGACAGCAATGGGGTATGCAGTGCCCCTTTTATAACTGTCGTTACTATGCCACTTTACTTCATTCTCTCAGTTAACATACCATTGAGTTTCTTCTTCATCCTTTTCCCCTATCCAAGCATCAATTTAAGCTGCATAGAAATTAAAATACTGCTGTTATAAATCATAAACATCTATTTCACAAAATATATTCAAAATTATCTGACTGTACATTATACTTCAGTTTCACATCATACATGCATTTTTATGAGAATTTCAACTATTTTCATATAGGAAAAATAGGACAAAGTCTAAGTAGTTAATGTAACCCATATAATTCTACCACCATTCTACTCAACTCACCCATGGCTCACACAGGAGATGTGAATTTGTAGTTGAATTCGTCTCAGATCTCCTATGCATCTCATTGTATAAGCATCTCGCCATTAGAATGATTCTGGTGTTTAAAGAGAAGTATTTTTCATGTTGCTTCTTATTGCATGGTTCTCAACACAATCTGTCTACATCCCCTGCTTCTCATCTAAAGAGCAAGATATTCCATGGTTGGAGGAAAAACTAGCTGTATTGCATCTTACTGAGGAATGGTATACTGGTCTCAACTATAAGGCTTACTGGGGATTTTCAGGAATTCATCATTTCTAATATTCACCGTAAACACTGACTTTTTGACCTGGCTCCCCATTGGGGTCTGATTCCATGAAATGCAAATTAGATAATGCCTACTTAACTTTGGTTGGATTCTCTTCTCTACTCTCATAGGTTTGATCATCTTGCCCTGTTGCTCAATATTCTGTCAACCAATCCTGCCTCAATTTGCATTCACTAAGGATGACCAGGCTAAAATAAATACATCTAAATGAATGACTGAATGGTAAAACTATAGTTTACCAATAACATACAGAAATAGCCATAGATTCTCTTCTTTTGCCTGTTTATATTGTTTTAATGTATCTATCTCCACTTACTATCTGAGTCTGAGCAAGTTATTTGGACTTCTTGGGTCTCAATTTCCTCCTATGTATATGAGGATCATAATATACCCTGCTTTGTTGTGACAATTGAATGATTTAATACACAGGAAAAACCCAGAAGCATGCCTGGCACATGGTAAGCAATATTTTAGAATTAGCTAGTATTATTGTTATTGTTGTTTTTCTATTTTAAAAATATACTGAATCCTGTGTTAAGTTCTAGGAGGCAAAGATGCAAAAGGTAAGATAGTGATCATCCCTTTAATAAGGTAATAAGGATAGCTGAAATTTCAGTGGAAAAGAAAAGCAAAATCAATAACTATGATTCAAAAATGGCCCTCTATATATGCCTTCTTAGAATATGGTCTAGATTTTTCAAATAGGTATGCTTCCAAACCATTTTTCATCTCCATGTGTATACCATGTGAAACAAGTTTAACTTTTCCTTCATTTCTTTTATGCTACCAGATTTGTTTTCCATTAAGCACTTCTATGTAGAATTAAGTTAGAAGTAAGTTCACAGGTTATAAAACACAATAGGTTTCTCAAGTAATCTTCTTTGAATATGGTCCCCCAAATTTTTAGAGATAATAGTTATTAATAAAGGAAAACATATTTTAGAGGATGACAAGAGAAGGTGATAGTGAATAAATACTTTCCAAAAGGACAAAAAGACATTATTAGTAGGCCACAGCAAACAAAACTAAAAGGATACAGTATAGAATTTAAAGGGGATAAAATTTAAAGGGGAAAGGTCTTTTCATATGCTCTAAGCCAAGGGGGCCCATTTATAGCTTTGGGCTTAATTTAATAACTTTAAGCAAGAACACTTAACTACCTACACGAAGGACCAACAGCATAAATCAGATATCAGTCCACATATTTCAAGATCAAAGCTGTAAAGCAAAATGATTTGTAGGAGCACTCAAACAGCTCCAATATATTATAGGTCTTTTCAGAGAATACTTAAGCATATTAGTTATCCAGATTAGGATTTTGTTGTTGTTGATGGAACCAAAAAGAAAAATACATGCTATTGGGACTCTTTTTTTTTTTCCTTCTCACCTACAGGATACTTTCAGTGAATTAAAAGCTTTCTCCAACGTACTTTAAGGATAGATTACTCATATAAATCTAATTCACTGGAAAAGTCCTAAATATATAAATTATTAGGAAAAAATCCAAATTTCCAAATTGCTAATTCTTTGAGACAGAATCTCGCTCTGTCACCCAAGCTGGAGTGCAGTGGCACGACCTCAGCTCACTGCAACTTCCGCCTCACAGGTTCAAGCAATTCTCTTGCCTCAGCCTCCCGAATAGCTGGAATTACAGGTGCTCATCACCACGCCCAGCTAATTTTTGTATTTTTACTAGATATGGGGTTTCATCATGTTCACCAGGCTGATCTTGAACTCCTGGCCTCAGGTGATCCATCTGCCTTAGCCTCCCAAAGTGCTGGGATTACAAGCATGAGCCACCACGGCTGGCCCAAAATTGTTAATTCCTACTGAAATAGTGTCACTTTTACCAGCATTATAATTTGCATCAAGTCATGAGATTTCTCCCACAAAGAAGCTAAGAACCATATTCTAGTACCAAATACAAGACAACCACATACACATTTGTTATTAGTATGCGTTTTCTAGATTATGTATTCCTCTAAGGTCATGTTTAGGCAATCTTTTTAAGTTCCAATAAAACCATATACTACTCCACTATTGGAATTATCTTCCAAAACCTCATTTTCCTGCCATTTTACAAACCTCTGATGTTGCCACAATTTTTAAAAATTTATTGAAACAGCATTCGTGCACGAAGACACCATAATCAGCATGCCTGTGTTTTTTACATCCATGAATGACTGCAAAGGTTTTCCTGTCTTTCCCCACAGCTAAGTTTATTATTCATTTGCTATTATGTTGCCAGTGTACCATAAGGAATAGAACTAAGCTGTCCTGGCATATAATTTTTCTGAGGGTTTCCTCAACTAAGTTGATGTTATTCTCATAGACAGTAGATATCCACTAAAAGTCATTTTAAATATATGGTATATTAATTATTTTAGATTGAAAGCAACGTATTTTAAAAGTCCTCAATATATGGAAGGTTAGAAAAAAATCTAATATAAAAAAAATTTCCAAAACTTCTTCCTGAAAGTGCCACATTGTTTCAATTTTTATGTTGTTTTCCTATAGCACATACAAAATTAAGATTCCTGAATCAATATGGTTTGAGCACCAAAGTTGGAGCCAAACTGCGAGGGTTTAGTTCCTGACTCCACTTCTTTCTAACTATATGAACTTAGCAAGTAATTTAACTTCTGTGCTGAGTTTTCTTATCTACAAACTGTAGACATTGATAGTACCTACTCGCCTTCAATTAATTTGTGAGAACTGATGTATGTAAACACTCAGAAAGGTGTCTGACACAGAGTAACCACTCATTACATATTTTTGTTGTTATTTACTTTACTAACAATATATAATTTCATGCTATCTGTATTTCTTTTGTTCAAAAGCTTTAATTATACCTATCTGCAAATACCTTAGATTTGATTCTGGTTTTTCAGTAGAACTTTTAACAATAAGATGAAAAATTACAGTAGAGATAAATGGACAATTAGATAGCCTTACAGCTAATCAAATAACATCTGGCAGTCATTGACAACCAGAAAGAAATCTTTAGTAAAATAAATGCTCTAACTTTAATTCTACCTTATTTGATAGTATGATCAACAACAAAACTAAGGTTGTAAAAAGATTTTCCCAAGTACATACAAAACAAAAATCTTAGAGAAACAACTATTACACTAGATGATAGAATCACTATTCAAAAACATTTTAACCAAAATGATTACATTTAAATCAATACTGATAAATGTAAAGCTGCCAAATTCAAACAACCTATGGCATAAGCACAGGATAAAAGAGAAATGATTTCAAGCAGTTCAGATAAGATTTTGACAGAATATGAATTCAATATGAATAAACATCATGTTACTTTCAAAATACTAAATGTGATTTTGAGGTGTGTTAATTAGGACAGACACCCTAAATAACAATGCTAATAACCTCACTATTTCTGGACTAGGAAGAATACATGTAACGTTTTGACTCTGAGTGGTACAGCTAACAAAAGAGTGGGTCCTTCACAGTCTTGGTGAAACATTACCTGGCTGAAGGATCTAAAACAGAAATATTTCAAACAACTTCCTTCAATTGTTTGAGGAGTATCCCAGAACAGGATTTGTACTCATTCTTTACAGGTCCAGAAGGCAAAATTAAATAGAATTATAGGAAATCAGATTTTTGGCTCAAAATGAGAAAATATATTCTCATACATAAAGCTACTTAATGGACTATTTTGTGAAGAATAGAGTCTCTAGTTTCTGGAAATCTTAAAAAAAATCTCTATAATGATTTTTTAATTCAGTTAGTCAATCAACAAGTATTTATTGTTTTGCTACATTTTGCAGAGTAGTGTGTTAGATCCAGTGAATAAGATAATGAATAAAGAAAGACAACAGCATTGACAGTGCTCACTGCCAGCCTGACACTGCACTAGACACTCTGAAACACATTTTCTCACTTACCATTATAATGGGATATAGATATGGGTCTATCTATACCCTTACACAGATATATTACCATCCTTATTGAAAACTCTTCTGTATGCTTACAGAGGGATCTTTACAAACTAAACATACCCTTGAAATACCTGCTTTAAAAATATGTAATCACTTCCCATTGCTCCTAGAATAGATATCACTTAACATGGCCTATAGGATTCTGAGTTCCACCTCAGATGCACTCCAATCCTCTCCCTCAGCCCCACCATTCTCAGACACTGCTAACCTCCCAAGCTATTTAAAATCTATTATTTCTCATAGTGCTATACACTTCCTCTTCATAGCACTTACCACATTCTAATTTTATGTTTGTCCGTGTCACTATTTATTTAGTATATTTCTCCCCCACTAGCCTGAACATTCTAGAAAGGAGAGACTATGCGTGATTTTGTTTGTTCTAGGAGGCAATAAATCATCTTGACAATGAGGGCAGGTGAGAACAGACCACCTGGGTTTGAATTGTTGTTTTGCTACTTACTACCTGTGTGTCCTTCACAAGCGCTGAACTTTTCTGTTCCATAATTTCCTCAGCCCTAAAAGAAGGTTAGTAATAGAACCTGTTGTAAAGATTAAATGAGCCCACATGTGTAAAACACTTGAAACAGTGCCTCATACATAGACATTCCATAATAAATGTTATCCATGATTAATATTATTTGTTTGCCATTGTACTCCAAAGCTCCACACAGGGTCTGCAACATGGAAGGTACTTAATAACATTCGTTGAATGAATGAATGCTGAAGCTGACATGGAGAAATTATAGGAGATGAACTCTGGCTTCATACCTAAGACTATCAGAGTCCAAAGACTACAGGATATGCTTCTTATTATACTATGCTCTCAACTAGATAACATGAGAAAGACAACAACCACAGGTTACTGGGGCATAGAGTAGGGAGCAATTAATATGACTGGGAGAGTCAGTCAAGATAATCAGAAAGGAGAATTTAACCTTATCTTTAAGAATAAGTAGGATATTACCAGGCAGAAACAAAAATAAAAGGCATTATCAGCAAACAAACAAAACCAACAAAAAAACAACACTGGAAGGACATCAAGGTAGCAAAATATTTAGAGAATTCTGAGTAGTATGAGGTGAGTGAACATAGGTTAAATGGTTAAGTCATAAAGGTAGAACATGAGTAAATTAGAGAAGAACCTACACGAATGCTGAGAAATTGTTCTGAAGAAAATGGAAAGTCATCAAAGCCTTTACACAAGCCACAATCTTAAGAGGCGTTTGTTTTTGTATCTGCTGTTTAACTTATTCTACAAGGATTTGATAGTTCACTCAACACAAGCACTCATTTGAAGCAATATTGAAATAAATCATTTAAATAAGGTAAGATGAGGGCTTTATAATAACTCCAGGAATGGCAATGGGAATAGAAAGCAGAAAATAGAAAGCAAAACTAATTGCCCATAAACAAGGGATTGGATGCATTAACTCTGGTACATATAGAAGATACTGTGATATGAAAATCAAGTATAAAGAATATTTAACTATATAAAAAAAGTATATGCCCTTAAACAAAAAAGTAGGCTCTAAAACTATTACAGCATGAGTTTCTATTAAAAATATGTTATTAATAAACATTATATCTTACACAAATTTACCTTTTTTAAAACAAAGACTATATGCCAAAATCTTGCTGGTTATTTTCTTTGGTTGGCAGAATTAGCATATTTTAAAAATTATTTTCTTCTTTTTGCTCTTTTTCCCCTAGGATTTCTCCAATGAACACAAAATGCTTTTGTAAAAAAGAAAACATGATAAAACACATTAAAAAAAAGTAAAAGTAGGTGAAAATGTCAATGAAATTCTGGTTTGTAGAACCATCAAAACTTGGAAAAGTTTAATAAGACCACCAGGAAGAAGAAGAAGGGCAAGTTTCCAAACTGATTTCACAGGGCCAGGAGGGCAGGCCACTGAGATAGGTAAACCATGGAAGCACAATCAGTCCCATCTCATGGATATTCTACCTGGGGCTTTTACTTTGCGTGGCTCAGAAGCATCTGAGTATTAGACCAACAGAAAGATAACTCCAGAAGAAAGATGTAATAGTGTCATATTTGTGTAATTGATTGATCTAAGACTTGGTTGATGAAAAATCACCTGGGACAACAGCAAGAAGAGTTGCGTTCCAACCCACTGAAGTCCTGCTGCTTTCTGAGCTGCAAGTATCATATCTCTTGCTTTTGATTTTAAACTTAATTGTTAAATATCTGCAAAAATATTAAGATGCTGAAAGCAAGTTAACTTATAGAAAAGTACAAAGTATTACATCAAAGAAAAGCATCAATTTGAAAAGGCACAGACAGAAATACATTTGCTTCATAACTGCACTTTGAGTGTTTTTACAAAATTGGGCATTGTGACTTTTCATTACCATTTATCTACATATTAGTTTAAATTTACGTCTCTATCCCGGACCTCTCACCCTTTCTCTAGTTTCATTTTTCTCACTATCTACAGGACAATTATTTGGACACTCTTTCTCTGAATCTATTATCACCCCTTCCTAACATGTTCTTTGCCAACTATCCTCTGCATTACCACTTAACTTTGAGGTTGTCTGCTGTTTGTTAATGGAGTCTAGCATTGTCTTTCTGACATGAGAAAAAAAATCAACTGTGTCTCAGTCATTCGTCCAAAATTCAATCTCATAGAATATGGGAAGCTACTCCTTGTGCAGTCTTCCGTGGCTTAAGGACAAGCCAAGTTTGACTTTAAAATGGCCTATTAATATCACTACTTAGCAACGGAGTTTTAATGTAAAATCTTTTAGAAAAATCTTTACTACAGCAAAAGGGATATGTAACTTCTGCTGTTCTTATAGATTTTAATGGATTTTTAATCTACCAATAGTAGGCTGTAAATTCAAGCTCAAAGGAAACACAAGTGCAACTCAATGGGAAGTTTTATTGGATTGCTTACAGAGAATTATAGTTATGATCAAAAGCTGGGAGTGAACAAAGTCTGAATGCTTCTCTTTTCAAGTAATTTGAATGCTTCATTTCTTCCTGTGCACTTCCTAAGCTAAAATTTAAATGAACAAGGCAAAGAGCCAGAGTTAGGTAGCATGAGAACAAAGGAGGAAAAGCAAAGTTTTGGAAAATCCACAAGTGACAAAGAGCCCCCTGCATAATCAATTTCTGAAATATTTATACCCTAGTATTGTTGTTTATCCAATCTATTTTTATTCTTTATAATAGCAAATGATATATCTATTATGTATAGACTGTACAGAGGAACAAAATTTGTCAAGCAACAAGTATTTATTCAATACTTAAATGTGAAAAAGAAGGCATTATTTCCTAAAACAATGAGTGAAGATTTTAAAATGAAGTACATCTGAACTGAGTCTTAAAGGGTAACAGTAATGTAGAAATATGGACAATAGTAAGTCAACATAAAAATAACCTGGAAATCAAGTAGAAATAAAAAAAACAGTAGAAAAATGCAAAGTATGGATAAAGAGTAACATAGTTGACTACAGCATCAAGGAAAAGGCCAAAGCACAGAGTCTTAAACATCAGACTTATAAGTTTAGATGTCATTCAGTAGGTCATTCAGGGAACCATTTCTGAGCAGGGAGGTAACAAGACCAGAGCTGTGATTTAGGAAGATTAATCCATTTCTACTAATGAATTACAGTTAAGAACAGGCTGGGGGCAGGAAAATCAGGTGAAATGTAACGAAAATGCTCCAGATGAGATGATGATCTATATATTGTATCCTCTAATGAAGCAGTTGTGTAGTTATGGAAAGTGATTTCTAAAAATGATTTGTTGCAAAATAATATCCCATTACCTTCAGTGATCATGTCCAAGATATATTCCACCAGAAAACACTACCTACAAGGACTGAAATCCTAAACTGAATGCCCTATCTCAGTTACCATATCCCATCTCATTTTTGCTACAGTAACTTTTTCCCATGTGTGTCTGTCTGTCATTAGCAATTATTAGAAACTTCCTCAGTAGTCAGGGCTTTGTGACGGCTGTTAGAACTTGAATGTCTATTCAAGTACAGGCACTCAGCATCCAGAGTCTCTCCCTGCCTCCTCACTGGTGAAATACTGGCCGTTCTCCAATACCTGAAAGGCCTAAGAGCCAGGGATCCATCCGTATTAAATAAATCCTCATTCATCCTTTAATTTCTTAAGCTGGAAACTCTGGAATTCTTCATTTTTAAATAAGAGGGCTCTTTCTCATATTCCAGTAAGAAGTGATATTCAGGACACATGGTTTTCCTGGGGTACTGTTGATAGGTGATTTCAAATATCAACTCTAATACTGCATCAACCATGAATAGTACTAAATGAGTAGATAGTTTCCAAGCAGGCATCCCAAGTAAGTATGAGTATTCTTAAGTCTCATCTGGGAGGTCTCATCCTAACATCCAATTATTTCTCAGTGGAAGTTTGATACTGCCTTCAAAATGAGATCTTTGTATCTGGGGGAGGCAATATAGCAAGGCCCACAATTCCATAAATAGCTGTTGTTTTTTAGTTTGTCGATTCTAGTTCTTACCCTCAGATCCCTCATTTCATTTTCTCAGTAAAGTCATATTGTGTCTTCTTTCTCATTGGCTCTATGCACTATTTTTGTCCTATGAAAATTTGATATAAATCATTTTATGTATGTATGCTTTATAAAATCATGAAATCAAGACATTGTCCAAATATGAGGACATATTGAGACAAGTTCCAATATTGAGACACATTCCAAATTTTAAGCTTACCAATGGCAGATACCCTGCAGCTCTTACAATAGGGGAAGAAGGGCTTCTATGTGGCAGAATGAAAATATATGTTAATTCAAAGGAGGAAATTCCAGGAATGATATCATTACCTTGCAAGTATCTGTTTCATGTAGACAATGAGAAAAATAAAAAAAGTTTCATGTATTATTCACTGTCCCAGTTACAAATTTGTGCTTATTTTAGGCAAAGGTGAAAAATTTTATAGAATATAGTAACCAAAATAGCACAGAAAACACAAAGTTAAGCCTGAGTTTCACAATAGCAAGAATTATAAAAATACATGAATATTACCCAAAAGTTCTTATGCTGGAAATGGATCCGCTAGAGAAAGAAGACCCTGTGTCATTTCCAAACTCCAGAATGTCACTTTTGGACGCATACATATATATGTTTAAAGATGGAGGGATTATCTAAACTCTGTTCATAAAATCTTATCAAGGTAAAGGAGATATCAGATGCAATAGATGCATTCCTGCAATTTAAGACACAAAATATTTCTTAAAAACCTATACGGAGGTCTCCTCTCTTGGAAAGCCCTGTCCGATTGCTCTTTTCCTATATGATGGAACTGTGGCAAGATGTGGAAAAGGTGGCTTAGGAACTCAAGGGATTTTACTAACTACTGGGGCTCTATGAAGCCTCATGACATTCAGTGTCAGTGACTTCATGTGACACTATAGACATTCTCTGGTCTCCGTGATTCGGATCATATTTGGAGCCATTGTGGGTAGCAAAAGACTCTTAGATAAGCTTGGTATTTCATCCAAGATGCCATTAATTTGAGGACAACCCAATATTTCATGTGTCACCAGGAAAAAATACTATGGCAATTAAAATATGATAAACCATCAATTTAAGATGCATCCCAATCTTATGGGATAAAATGTGCTAAACATGTCTTAAATCAATGGATTATGGTATAACCTCTTTATATGAATTACAGCAACTCCAAGGGGAGAAAGTTTATAATTGGGAGAAAACAGAATCAAATAAGACAGGAAATAACCTTCTTTTAATTAAGATAAAATTTAAAAAAAAGAGAATGAGGATTATGTTCTCAAAAATTACATGAATTTCTTCTTCTTTTTTTAAGAGGTGGGGTCTTGCTATATCACCATGGCTGCAGCGATCCTGGACTCAAGGGAGTGGCTGGGACTAAAGGCGTGCACCACCGCACCTGGCTTTAAATTCTCCCTTTTCCTGCTTTGTGTGAGTGAGATAAGCAGTATGCATGAGAAGATCTTAGAGTAAGAAAGTCAAAGAAGACGACAGTGATTTGAGCTGCTTCATTGTTTGGCCCCAAAGCCAGGCAGACCTCATAGTTCTAGCAGCCAGGATCCTGGTGTTAATCAGTGTCAATAACTTAATTTTAGTGTTTTGCTCTTTTCCTGAGTCAGCAGTTAGTTTCCATGATTTTTACCTGAATTCTTTGGTTATCGGGTCTTTAATCTGCGTTGAGGATTTAGTGTGTTGGGAGAGTCTGCTGCTTGTGCCAAGGCTTCCTGCTGCTCCAGGCCAGTTTAGCAGTGTGACCACTGCTCACCATCAGCTGACGGAGCTTCCAGTCCCTGTGCTCCAGCCTTGTTCCCCGGACACCTGCTAAGGCCAACAGCTAGATATTCAGCACCTGTCTGACCAGATACGTTCCTACAGAGGTCATCTGCTACTTTGTATGCACAAGCTTCCACATGTTGCTATAATCTGCTCCAATGTCCTACTCCTTGTTGGTGATTTTCTCCAATTCTCAATGACCAGCCTTCCATTGTCCCAGTGACAACTGGGCCCTGATTCTGTCAGGTACAACAGGTATTTTCAGATAACTAGAGATGGCAGGAAAGGATTAAAGTATTTTGTTTGTTTAGCCTGTGTGTCCTAGATATGGTAAGATTATGAACTAGAGAAAGGCAAAACTATCCAGTATTGGGAAGAGAACATTTCAGAGGCAGTGATACTGCTCTGGGGAAGATCAAAGCTCTATCATACAGAATCGAGATCAGGTTTAATCTCAAACCAAGATTCCAGGAAAGCTATGAAGGGGAATTTCTAATTAAGGATTATATGTAAAACCAATATGATGAAAGACAAATTATTAGTGATAAAAGTACTATATTCTAGCTTAAAGTTTACTTTACAAGGTATAGTATTTGCTACCATTTAGTTAAAACTTTGTAAGCAGGTAAGTCAAATATATTAAGAATCATTCCTATTCACAATGCAGAAAACTGAGACAGGGAAGCTAAGCAACTTATTAGTTTGGAAATGATAGAGTTTGTATGAGCCAGAATTGAACAACAGTTCTTCCGACTCATGGGCTTTTCCTACTGCCACTAGCAGGGTAGGTTTTCAGATTAATGGACAAAATTTATGCTTAGAACTAAATTATTTTGAATTTCATTTTATCATTTTTCTTGTTGTATAAATAAAATAACAATAAAATGTTCTAAAAAATCTCTTTTAACCCTGTAGGAATATAATAGGATAACTACTTGGTGCAGTGTGTTTTCTGAACCAGATGAAGTATCTTCGAAAGTAATTCATCAAATGCAGTTCTTGTAATATGGTTGGCATACAATTAATGTTGGTTTTATACAATTTTATCTTTCTGTAGATTACAATAAATGATCATGAATGAAATATCGAATTCAAAACCTAGCCATCAAATTATGACATACCAAAATATTGCTTTTCAAAATCAAAGATACATCCTGCTGCCTTACAAATCCAAATTTAAAGTGCTTATCAATGGGAGAAAAGACAATTAACATGGAAACAAACCACGACATTCTTGGGCTCAGATAGAAATTTACCAGTTTTTCATTCTAAATGAACTCACACTGTATAGATTCCTATGATCCCCCTGCATGCTCAGCAACTGTCATTCATCTTCCCTGTCCTCCAGCCTCTTCCCCCAGGTAAAGGAGAGCAGGTATGTTTGAACCAGAGCCTACAGAGTAGCCCATATCTGCCACCATATCTGTTGCTCCTCTTGCCATTATTTCTTTTTATTTGTCTTTTATATGTGTCTCTTAAAGAAAAAAATTAAACTAAAACATAGAGTAAATGTATGGAACACAAATTATTAATGCAGGCTAAAATAATATGCATCTAATAATATGCATCTTCAGTTCTGTTCCAGTATAGTCTAAGGAAGTTTAAAAGCACATAACAGCTTAAAACCAGAGAGATGTACACACACGAAAAACTGTAGCGCCATATATCCCAGCAATGACAACGATAAAAACCCCAAACAAACAAATAAACAAAAACAGAACCTGCAGGAAGATATTAAGAGGCTGAATGTAATTACTCGATTTGGAAACTGACCAGAACACTACAGTTAAAATCCTCTTGCTAGAAAGGTTCTGAGGAATCCTTAATGACTACAAATGGCTAGAACCTCATGTCCACACCTCATCTGAAAGATGATGACAACCAGCAGTAAGTCCTCCCTGCCACTACCCAGGGACTGAAGTCAATCCTGACTCAGAGACTAAAGGGCCACCTACAGAAATTGACAGAAACATTTGCTATCCTTGGCTGCCTTTGCAAACTGGTTTACATGAAGCAAATTACTTAAATATCTCAAGTATCACTACCACATTTTAATAGAAAATGTAGTGATCTCATTCCTCATCTCTATAAAGGAATATAAATTAATGCTATGCACTCTCTTTGAGCACAAACTGTTCAATCCTTGTGTTTGGCTAATATTGAGTAATGAATTTGTACATATCAGTGAGGCATTAGATGGTTATTGTTTAATCTATGTATGCCCACTATCACACTAACTTATTTTAGCTTTTTATATTTTTCAAGAAACTGACTCAAGTGCAATAATTAAAATACATTACAGTAGTGCAAGTGAAATTTGGAACACTGCCAACGTTTTCAAGAACTTATAATTTTCTTTTTCAGAGAAAAAAGTAGTTTTGACATCTTTGTGCAAAACAGTCACTAACAGTCACTTACAATTTCAGGAAAATCACTGTTTTAATCATGACCTTTCAGCTGTCCTTGATTGAAAAAAAATTGGCCACCTACAGAAATAATTCTGTTGGGCCCTCATCCCTCTACTGATTGATGGCCTCATGTGGCTCTACATGTTCACAATTATAAATAAAACTATATAAAAGTGGCAGAGCTTAGCTTCCATCTAACCAGATAAGGATAAAACAGTTCTAATTGACAATAAAAGGAACTTTAAGTGACATCTTTCCCATGTACCTGTAACAAAGTCAAATGGTAGATTTTTCTCTGATTAAATGTGTATTCTTGTGGTCACCATTCACTACAACCATTAATTTGGCATCCATTTTGTAAAGGGCACTGTATCATACTCTGTGGGGGGTGATGGAAGGTGGATAAAACAGCTTCTGTATTTAGAGAACCTATTATCTGATGAAATACTCAACCAGCTAACATATAATAAATATGGAACCCATACACACAACATGCAGGTGTCTGTATCTATCTATCTATCTAGATAGGTAGGTAGGTAGGTAGGTAGGTATGTAGGTAGGTAGGTAGGTAGGTAGAGAGATATGTGTGTGTGTAAAAACTGGATTTGGTTCAATAGATTGATAAAAATGTATGCTTATACTTGGGAACAACATATCTATATATTTAAGCTTTTATAAATATATGTATATTTTGTCACATCAGGAAACTTTTTACTAAAACATTAGAAGTCATAAAATGTTAGTCCATGAGCTTTTCAATGGAAACGAAACAAAGACTCATCCTACTGTTAAAGGTTTCCCACCTACTGTATAAGCAACAAAAATAGAGCTGGCATTCAGGACTCCATTAGACATCTATTGAAGCTCTGTGGGGCTGGAAAGCTTTTAGGAGTTCAGCATAAATCATTTAATATGTCAAAAAAAGACTTAAAAAAAATTCTCCCTTTGTATTCAATTTATATGAATGATCTCCAATTTACAACCTTATGCTCAACCCAGAAATTGGATTAATCAATACAATTATCTTTTGGAAATCCCTTTTTTCAATTACCGTAGTTCATAAACTAGAAAAGAAGACTGAGATTCCTTAGATAGTAAGCTTGATGGCAAGATTCAGCTATATTGTGGGGCTGGCATTAGAAATGGTCATGGTAAAAGTTCCAATATTGTGTTTGAGGGATTACAATAATTAAGCGATTCTTTTCCCTAAAACATAAAGCAATTATCTACTAGTTGCAATCTAAAATAAATTGTTTGGGAAAAAAAAAAAACACGAGAAAAATATTTCTAGGATCAGATCATGAATACTAATGAAAAACATTATCACATGAAATTCTATACTGAGTCATCTATTTTAAACGAGTAAACTCATATTTCTGGAAATCACCAAATTTTTCATAATCATCAATTTTTTTAAATTCAGTCTATTTTCTGTTGTGGAAAAATTCTTAGTAATGTTCTAGAGACACAGTTTCAACATACAAAAGAGTCACAATTTCAACCTACAAACTACAAGAGAACCGAGGCAATTATTAAGCTAATTTAGGCCCAAAGAATACTTTCACATGAAGTAGTCAAATAATTAGGCAAAAGTTTTTTTGTATTGATCATCTTTATCATACATATTTCCGTTGTACATATAACAAGCTTTGGCAAATTTAACATTAAGAATGGAAAGAGAAGAACTCAATATATCTGCCTAACTAGAATTTTATAAGTTATAAATAAAAGAGGAAGTATTGGACCTATGTGGTCCAAACTGCATGTCCCTCCTGTCTACATATGCTGATTCCCCCCGCTCTTATGGAGCTAAGTCAAATTTGAGAAGAATATACAGAATTTTATGAATCTGAAAAGTCTATAAATCCTAAAATTCAACCAACATTTTGAATCAATTAAAAAAATACATTGATGTTAAGGATTAATTAAGAACAACTTAATACTCTTAAGAAACATCCTAATTGCTTATATAGTCTCCATACATAAACTCTGTGCATGTGTGTGTGTCTGTGTGTGTGTTTTGAAACAGGGTCTCATTCTGTTGCCCAGGCTGGAGTGCAGTGGAGTTATCTTGGCTCACTGCAACCTCTGCCTCCCAGGTTCAAGCGATTCTCCTGCCTCAGACGCTGGAGTAGCTGGAATCACATACGTGCGCCACCACGCCTAGCTAATTTTTGTATTTTTAGTAGAGATGGGGTTTTGCCATGTTGGACAGGCTGGTCTTGAGTTTCTGGCCTCATGTGATCCGCCTGCATCAGCCTCCCAAAGTGCTGGGATTATAGGCGTGAGCCACCACGCCTGGCCCATTAACTGTGAATAAGTATTTATTTGGTTTGTGCCCAGCTTTGTACTATCTGCTGTGAAGCACGTGATTCTGAAATAAAGTAGTTGAAGATCGGTTTGTAATTAAAAAATCATATGTAAATAACACTCACAATGACATGATAAAACAGTAACAATGTACAAAAAGAAAACAGTATTGAGTTAGTGCTGAGTTAGAATTCCTGTGAATTATCACACCATTGTAATGTATTTTACTGAAATAAACTCTATGGACAGGTCTTGTATATACAACAGCATTTTCTAAATGGAGAAACTGGAGTAGCAAAAAAGATAAAGTTAACTTTTTTAAGGGGGGGTCAACCAGATGAAGAAGCCACACACTTTATATTTTACTACAGTCTTTAACCAATCCATCTCACTGCTTAAAAGTACCTCTCTTGTTTATATTCAAACTTTAGGGCCAGGCACGGTGGCTCATGCCTATAATCCCAACACATTGGGAGGCCAATGAGGGCTGTTCACTTGAGCCCAGGAGTTCAAGAACAGCCTGGGCAATATGGCAAAACTCCATCTCAACAAAAATACAAAAATGAGCCAGGCGTGGTGGTGCAAGCCTAGAGTCCCAACTACTCAGGAGGCTGAGTTGGGAGGATTGCTTGAGCCGGGGAGGTGGAGGTTGCAGTGAGTCGAGATCATACCACTGCACTCCAGCCTGGGTAACAGAGCTAAACCCTGTCTTGAAAAACAAAAAACAAAAACAAAAACAAACATTAGGATACAAAAGAATAAATAAGTTCATGGAATTTTAGCCTCCTGAAGTTAAAAACATACTTCTTCCTGCAGATAACATTCTGATTGACAATTTTTGCTTCACCAGGCTTGAAGAGGAAAAATGTACAACTCAGAATGGCCTAGCCTATAGGAAAACATTTCTATCCTCATAACTAACTGTTTGTCAATTAGCATTTTGGAAGGCAGAAAGAAGCTTCAATTGGTTGACATTTTCTCTAATCTTGGGTGATGCCTCAGGTTTTCATTTCCAGATCAATTTAATAGCCCCTTAAAAGCAGATCTGTGCCAAATATTTGCTGAAGACTCTATATAAAATATTCCGTCAGAAGATGAGTGCCCTTCCAGTCAAGAGATATATGATGTGGGCCTATATGTGTGTATTCTAATAAGCTTAACTGTGAAGGAAACCCTAGACAAAGGAAAATTTATGGTTGACTTTAAATTAAAAAAATATATATTCTCTATCCCTATTTTTATACTAAGACTGGAAAAGGCAGTCATACAGGAGATTAGGAGCTGTGGCAGAGAACACTAACTGGCTACCCAATACCCCTTCCCTGGCTCCTGCTTGACAAACAGCACCCTGCTTACAGCAATGAGATGTAAATGGAAGTGGGGGCGGGATACAGTGAAAACCTTTTAGAAGGGGACAGCCCTGACTGTCTTGGCCTTCCTGCTCTGTGCTTTGTGCTTCTCCCACTTCCTTCCTAGACACGAGCTAACACTGGTCTGCTGCAGCCCTACCAGCCCTCTTGTGAGCATTAGCATGAAGATGTGCCCCCAGTGTGGAGGAAGAGAGAGTTAGAAGTCTGGGTCCCTGATAGCATGAGGAGACAGCTGGCTTGGACTGCATCCGCGTATCCACTGTCACTCGGGTTCCTGTTACTTGAAGCTGAATACAATTGCTAAGTGATAGGGACTCACAGTTTGGTGTCAAATAAAATCCTGGTCTGCCCACTTATCATTGTATGCTCTTAGACACACACTCTCTTTCTCTGCATGAACTTGCTCATCTGTAAAATGAGGATAATAGTGATACCCATCTCAAAGGGCTGCACTGAGAACTCTGATAATTAACAAACTCCATCTAACACACATAAAACAAGATCTAAGTGCTTCATAATTATTTATTATTATTAATCTTATTGTGCTACTCACACTATAAGAGAGCAGCCCATCCATCGTTCAAAACTAGGCAAAAGTTAGCAATGCATGTGGTATGCAGGGAACACAGACCTATTACCACAATCGCTATCCAAAATGAGAACAGAAACAATTGTAAAAAGAAAGGAGAGGGAGGGGTTGGGGAGGGGGAGGGAATAATGGTTTAAATTTATAGCATTCTTTTCCACTTGGATAATGATTTGCTATTTTTCAAACAGATATTTGGGAAGTGATACACACTTCAAAGTCCTCTTTTTCATACAACTTAAACATTTTATTTCGAGTTGTTTATCTGGATCTCTCTATTGAGCTGTTTGTGGGTATGCTTCTATCTATAGTTTTAGAGAATAACAAAAAAACAATAAATTCCATGTGAACTCACTGTAAGCCCAGGAGGGCAGGGTATGTGTCACGTCTACTTGCCACTGAGACCTCTGCATGATGATATACGAACTAATAACCCGATCCATTAACCCTCTTCGTTCCACAGACAGTCTTTCACATTTGGGTCACAAGCAACCACAGGAAAAAGAAGAAAACAAAACAAAACTCCTGTGCTTTTACATATGAGAAATTACTGTTTATGTGTAATAGCAAAAGACTGTTAATGTTTTTGGCACTTTTGATTTAGGGAGAAGAAAGATTCACCAGGAAAAAGTGACCTTACATGCTAGTATGAGGTCACTACACTTTTAATTCCTGCAGGGCAAATGTAGAGTATTCAGAGGTTTGGGTGGGATAGAAAAATAATAAAAACCCTTTTATACTTGGGCTCTGGGCAAAATGAGAACTGATGGCCTGCTCCCCGTGTGGCGCTCCAGTGAGACGGCAGCCTTGCAGATATCCCATGACAAACTAAGGCAGGGAGAAAAGAGTACAGACGTGGCTGCACAAATGATCAAGGTCCGAGAGGCTGGGATGTCCCCTTTTCATCCGAATGGTGTGAAAGTTAGTCGAGGGAGAGCACTGTCGGCCTGATGAGGTCTCACTGAGGATTGTGGTAAGGATGCAGACATGAGCCAAAGCACGGCCTCTGTGTCTGAGATCATGAGAGATGCCAGCAGGGATGGATGCCCATGATTAAAGACCATGACAGGACAACGGTACAATGCGTCTGTTCCAGAATAAGATAGGTGAGGGCTGGAAAGTAGACATCACTTCTCACCATTTTGCTCACCCCTGTACTGTTAAATGTATCAATATCTAAGTCCCAGCACCAAAATGTCGCAGTAATTACTTCCTGACCCACAATTAAAGCATGCTGCATTTTTCAGTCATAACAGCCAATTCTTTCTGAGTCATACATTGAACCAATTAAACTTAGAATCTCTATGTCTGAACGGATGACTTCTAATGAAAAGGGTGAAAGCTTCTAACCTCAACATCCAATCATATCTCTGTTTGGTAAATCAGGGGGAGAAGTTCAACTGAATGGCTTGGAATAGAGCCCATCCCAGCAGATTGTGCTGGGTAGAAATAACACTAGTCTGTCTAGGTAAGATCAGTGCCAATGGTTCCAACTAAAATTAGAAAAAAGGAGACAGTACCTTGGCTCATGCTTATGTTGGAGACAAGACTCTAACTCCTGCTAAAGCCAAATGATGGCAATTCAATTCCTGCCTGCCAGTTGCAAATCCCTACACTACCACTGCAGTATTATCAAAAGACGTTTGCAATCCAGTGCACCTAACAAGAGAGGTGATTTCTTAGATTAGTCACTTAGTGGGTTAGCAACTCAAGAGTTAGTAACTCAAATGTGTGCATACATTTATTCTGACAGAAGTAAGTAAGTTCCAAAACTATAGGCAGATTGCTGAAAAGAAAAAAAAAATCAGTAGAATCTTACTAATTTGAAATAGATAAAGGATATTATTCATTTATTAGTTTTAAAGTGTAAAACTGGGGGAAAAATATCAAGGATTGAATGAACCCACTCCTTCCACACAACATCATCAAAAGACCCACAACACTTCTCATGCATTTCAACAAATACAATTTTGCTCTAATCTCATATGTGTCATAAGGCACTATGCCATAGTGAAAAGAAAACTGGGCTAGGAATCAGGAAATCTGGGTACTTTTTCTGGCTCTGTCACTTATTAACTGTGTAAAATGATGCAAAATTTAACCTCTCTGAGCTTCAGTTCCTTGTCCACAAAAGCAGTGACTTAGATAAGGTTAGCCAGCTCTTAGAGTCCTTACTACTCTCTCAATCATTGGTGATTAGATTAAATTTTAAGTTCTGTAAGATCTTTATAATACATCTTAAGTCTTTTATAAATCTTGGGTTTGAAAGTCAAATATACATATACTTACTATGTGTGCATATACATGAATGATAAGGAACTCTGATTGTAATAGTAAAGTGTTACTTTTTTTTTTTTAATTTGATCTACGCTGCCGTGAAAACACGCACACTCATATATAGGGACAACATTTGGGTGTCTGTGGATACTGTAACCTTTTTGGCAAATGTCAAAGCTATATAGAAACTCAAATCTCATTCAAAGTATTCTTCAAAGAAGTACAATATCTCTGGACAGAAGGATCTTCTCTAATGCCCCAGAGTAATTTAGGAAGCTAAAACTCTGGCAGGTATTGCAGGTGCCAGATGAGACAACACAATCAGAATGCTCACCCTAAGGCCTCTGCCATTATTTAAAAGACATTTTCCTTCCACACAGGTAAGATAATTCTACCATACTTCCTAATTCCACCTAGAGAATTCTCAAACAATCCACAGAATTTTATTCAAATTGCCCTTATGCTCAAAATGCTAATTGATGTCTCAGCAGAGCACTGGAATTCAGTTGCTGCTCAAGGTTCCTTTGGATCTGACGTCCTCCACTGGTACCAGACCTGGGAACCAGACCTCCACCTCCCTGGTCAGGGAGGAACTATCACAGAACTATACACCCAACAATTCATAACATGGTCAATAGGAAAACCAATTCCCTGAAATTGTGGACAGCTAGAGTTCTGGTTTTACTTAGGCACTAACTCTTGTGATTCTGGGCAAGTCCCAGAATCTCTCTGTTAAATCATTTACTTTCATACTGATGCTTCTTATATGTACTGTAAGAGTTATATACTCCCAAGTCCAGCAAAAGTATTTCCACTCCATGTTGTGCGCTCATGTGGAAAGAAAATTTTATATTTTGTTATGTTTTAGGTCACAGACTCCTTTGAAAATCTGATAAAATCACATGATTTGTATCCTTTTCTCAGGAAAAAAAAAAATGCACCTGCATAGTCTTATACACAAACATTTCATGTACTTCTAGGGAGTTTCCTGATGCTAAAAGGTTCAAGGACTCAAATGAATACCCTGGTCTACAGTGCAAGTCCATTCTCTACTAGCAGTATAATTTGAGAAACTCTGAATTTCAGTTTCCTCATCTATAAAATATAGTTAATGATGTCAATCTCTCTGCTGACATCTTGTAACTATTTTGAACACAAAAAAACTTTAACATCAATGTGTGTGAAAACAAGCTGGTGTTGCACAGAACTCTGCTAACTCTCAAGTTGCTATCGATCCTTTACCCTAGTCCTTTAATGTTGTCACAGAGTATTAGTGAGTACTACCCCCATCTCACTGGCACCATCAAGCTTTGGGAGGTGTGAGTCATCAGACATTGTTTTTAACTTAACCTGGGCCCTTGGAGACTGACTGGATGGCTGCACCGATACTGTGCCCCTTACTTCCTTTCCAGCTTTTGTTTGATTACTGATCTCTTAACACACATCGATGGAACTTAATGTACTAGCTCTGCTTTCCCTCTATGAAAACATTTGTATAGCTGGAGTTTTACATCTACCAGAATACACTTGGCTCTTCATTGGCATTAAACCTTGATCTTCACTTGAGTGCTTCTTAAAATTATTGTTTGTGGGCTCCATACTTGACATCTCTGCTCTCCTCCATTGGTGTGAATAATTACAAACAGTCTTGCTAGATCATTATTTCTATGTTATTGGCAAATAGACTAGCAAAATATAAAAGTATAGAAAGTATCCCCGGGGTTTACACAGTGGGTGACAGAGCAAGTTAACAAAATAGGACCCAGTTCACAGTGTAACATACCTATCACTCTATTACAATTCTCCTTTCTTCCTAGAGTCTATTGAAGTCATCCTTTTATATAGCAATGGATAATAAAGATGAATGGATAATACATACATACATTTTATTTAAGGCACACAATTTTTATCTTCCAATTTAACTTTTCATTCTGAAATAATTTCAGGCTTAAAAAATGCAAAAATAGTACAGAGTGTCCATATATTCTTTACTCAGGTTCCCACAAATTAACATATTATAGAACCAATAATACAATCATCAAAACCAAAAGATTAACATTGATACATTCATACATGATTTGATGATCTATGGCCCTCATTGAAATATCAACAATTGACCCACTAATGTGTTTTTCTTGGACTATGAGCCAATATTTAGTTGTCATGTTTTCTTCATCTCTTTCCATCTGGGACAGTTCTTCAATCTTTCTTTGTTTTTAATGACCTTCACACTTTTTAAGGGTCCTGCCAGGTTATTTTGTAGTATGTCCCTTTTGGGTTGTCTGATATTTCTTCGTGATTAAATTCATGTTATGCACTTTTGGCAAGAACATGACAGAAATTACTTTTTGTGCCTTTCTCAGTGAATCATATGAGAGGCACATGATGGTGATATATCTCATTACTGGTGATGTTAACTTTGATCATTTGTTTTAGGTGGTGTCTGCCAGGTTTTTCCACTGTAAAGTTACTACTTTCCTTTTATAATTAATAAGTATTTTGAGAGGAGATATGTTGATACTCTGTAAATATCCTATTTATCATTATATTTTCACCCACAAATTTAGCATCCATTTGATGATTCTTGCCTGAAACTATTATGACTGTGGTGTTTACCAAATGGTGACTTTCTATTTCCATCATTCCTCTTAATTGGCATTCTTACTGTTAAGAAAGAGCTTTCTTTTCTCCCTCACTTATTTATTTGTTCAATACTTTCTTACAACCTTATGGACTATATTGAGAATATCCTATTACTTTCATTATTTTCTTGCTCAAATGTCCCGAATTTGGAAATAGGGAGCTACTTCAGGGTGGATCCTGCGTTATTTCAATGTTTTCATCATTGTTTACTCCTTCCCTACTTTCTGGGACCAAAAGATGTTCCAGACTTTTATGACATGTTTCTGGTTCTGGCCCTGGAATCATCCATTTCTACAAGGATTCTTGGTTTCTTTTGCTAGAGAATGATATTTAGAAACCAAGAACTAGGTACCAAATGTGCTCACCACCACTGGGGTGTTAATGCTTCTAGGCCCTCTCAGCAGATAGAGCTGGGAATATTTAAATGAACACACGCATATACTCCCATTTCATTATTTGTATATCTGTGATACATATTTTTCTTGATATCTAAGATAAAAATCTAATAACCAGGCTTCATTCTAGCCCTCTTCCTTTCTTTGACAGAGAGAAAATAGCCCTCATCCACAATCCTAGGAGACATTTGAATCAGTTTTGGAAATGCTTAATCTCACCCCTGTAAAAAATTGAATCACTCACCCATATCTTGTGAAATACAAATATTCTGATAAGAGTACAACAGTTCTTTTTTGTTCATTTTTAAAAAATTTTAGAGTATAAACGCCAATTACTGTTTGGCAGTTACTTAGATTAGCTCTTTTTTATCCACTTCCTTCATCTGTAATTCCTAAGAATATGGTTAAGTTTTCTTGCTATTTTTTAATATTTCATGTGGGGTACCCTGAATACTCTAATTCACTTCAATTATTTACGTTTTGAGTATGTGAAATATTAACACAGTTCCAAAAATCAGAACTACACCAAAAAAGTCCATTCAGATAAATGTCACTCCCTATCACCTCTTCACTCTTGCTCCCTATTCCCATTCTCTCTATCCCCTTCCCCTGGGCCCAACTAGTGTAATTAATCAGTTTCATTAATTTCTGGTTTGTCCTTCCTATTCTTGGTTCCAATTAGCAGATACATACATACTTTCTTATTTTACTTCCATTCCAGATGATGTTCTTCATTCTGTTTTCTTCAACTAGCCTCCTCTGCATGAACATTTAGATAGTTTTTAATATGTTACAATTATAAACAATGTCATGATGAATAATCTTGGGTATATAGTTTTATTTTTCCATTATTATTATTATTATTAATTATTATTATTATTATTTGAGATGGACTTCCACTCTGTCGCCCAGGCTGGAGTGCAGTGGCACAATTCCGGCTCACTGCAACCTCCACCTCTTGGGTTCAAGTGATTTTCATGCCTCGGCTTCCTGAGTAACTGGGATTATGGGTGGCCACTACCATGTCTGACTAATTTTTGTATTTTTAGTAGAGACAAGGTTTTACCATGTTAGCCAGGCTGGTCTCAAACTCCTGCCCTCAAGTGATCCACCTGCCTCAGCCTCCCAAAGTGTTAAGATTACAGGCGTGAGCTACCACCCCCAACCCAGGCTAGTTTTAATATTGTTGATATTGTGTCTTCAGGATTAATTCCGAAAAGTGGCATTGCTGGGTCAAAAGGTTCAGTGTGTATGTAGATTTGTTTAGACATCACCAACTTCTCTCCCAAAGGCTTGTATCACTTTGCATTCCCATCAGCAATGTATGAGAATAAAGCCTGTGTTTCTAACTCTCCCTGAAATCATTTTAGCAAGATGCTGAGCAGCATGTGAATGGTTAATTCATGTTTACCTCCTCTCACTGCCTATAGATATCATCTAACCATGGTGCTAACAATTAAGGAAAAGGTTTACATAAATGTAAAGGAAGAAGAACAGAAAAAACAAGGAGCTGGGAAAAAAATCACTCTTGGAAAAAAAATAGTTGGCTTTGATCACAACAGCTCAGGATGAAACTATACAGCTTAGCGTCTTCTCTTTGAAAGCTTAACAAATCAAGAAGATTTTGCAGTAATTTTTCCCATGGCCAAGATTAAGCCGTGCCTTCTTTATGTCCCCAAGATCTATACTCACATTACAACAAGTGGCATACAGTACTTAAGTTATCTGCTTAAATGCCTGTCTTGCATTAGGCTTTACACTTTTGAAGTAGACACCATATATTACTCAATATACTTATCCCAACTCCTAGCACAATGTTCAACATTGTGCTTTCCCTGATAAAATTTTGTTAATAGCTCATTCAAATATAAATGAGCATTTCCTGAGTGCTGCTTCTGTGCCAGACACCACCCCAAATATTTTACATGTATCATCTCATTACATCCTCAAAACAATCATACAAGGCTCGTGTTATTCTTATACTAATTTTATAGATGAGGAAACAAAGGCTTGACAAAGATGACAAATAACTCGTCTAAGGTGATAGATCATGATAAAAGGGAGTTGAGTGGAATGTGAACTGATGTCTGTCTCATTCCAAAGAGCAGCAGAGAGAAATAGGAACCTTCCTCATACCCATTGCATCCCACTTAGATAAGCAAGTTCTCACTCTGCCTCCTGTAAGGACAGAGCTAATTCTATATTAATTTAAGGATTTCATGCTAGTAGGAAGGCAAGAAAAGGCGGTGGCTTCAATGGTTTCCAAATAGACTCTTAAGAAAGCTTTCTGAGCTTTTTACCTTTTGGTGAACAAAGCCCTGGCTCCTCGGATACATGCACACATTTATTATACCCTTGTGACTGTGGTTTACGTACAAGCATCCTATTAAAAGAGCTTTTAAAAGACTGAAATTTGATTTCCTTTTGGACAGCAAAGGGAAAAATAAAAAGATGTTCTTTGCCCTCCTGCTCTAATCTGTGTTTGCAAGTCAAGTCTGTAGTTCTCAGAGCTCTCTCACCAGCTTGCTACATTTCCATAAATCTGTCCAAGAATACAACATTGTTCACCCAAAAATGTAATATCAACTGTAAAACACATGCACATGATACCTGGGTCCAATCTGCCCTCATTTTGTATATAAGTAAAAATAAGCGCTGCTTTAACTCTTAGAAATGACAATATCATATTATTTAGATAAGAGCCAAAAAATCATTATTGAAATTCTGATAGCATTTGCCTTACTGGTAGAAGAAAATTACCTGTAATACATAGTTTAAATAATTACTTTTAAACAAAAGCTTCTTTTCTGCATTGCGTATTTATCTTTTGAGACCAACTCAGCAGGACTATGTATTTTATTAAAATTGCCTTCAGACTGCTAATGGCAGGGCGTCTGTTAGCACAGGAAAAGTGATGGCAGTTTGACTCCTATTCCTAATATTGGGAGTTAGTCCAGACACTTAAGAGCCAGAACTCTGCTGTGCATTTGACTATGTTATCAACACTTTACTTGCTAATGATACTAGTGACAGCATTTCAGTATGATGGGTCAGACTTCAACAGGAAAGCTTGTAATTACGCTTACGGAACCAAAGAAACCCCCCAAAAAACATCAACCGCCTCCCCCCAAGAATCCTTTTTATCAGCAGATCCACTGGTGTACAGCTTCGTGACTGGGAATTATTTGGTAAGCTTCTGTTCAATACTGGTTTCCTTCTCCACCTTCCACCTTGGATGGGGAGCCTCCATCAGCACCTGATCTCTCCCCATTCAGAAAATGACAACTGAAAGCTTTCCTGTGCAACTGTGTGCCAACTACCCAGCAGAAGGTCACACTGATGACTTCCCTGTGGCTTGTATTTTCCCCAGGGAAATCCACAGCCAGAGCTGACTGCTTGCCAAATAAGCTGAGTGCCACAAACCAGTAGTGCTAAGATCCTCCCATCCTTCTTGATGGGAAGCAGTAAGCAACTGTGCCGAACACCTGTGTCAGCTCCTATTTCTGGGGACACCCCAGGCAAGCACTCATTCAGCATTCAGGGAATAGGGCTCCCCTCTTCTAACGAGCACTTCTGTCCAAAAACTTCTCAGTAGTCATATGATAATAGTTATGTTTGGCAGATCTCTGTAACATCAGTGTGTTTAACTACTGTTAAAGAGGATGATTTAAATCATTTGTGAGTTAAATATTTTACTGTAAGCGTCTAAATGAAATCAGCAGAAAGATCCTTTTCTGTTATTGTAAAAGTAAAGGCAACATTCGCCATCACTTCCTTTTGGAGCTATCTCAACCAACTTGAGGAAATGTAGTCTGAGATGTAAATGGCATGACTCTATAGATGGATGGGATCTAAATCAATCAATATTTTTCCTATAACCGAGAACAATATCGCCACGTTCAACCAATGAAAATACTAGCCAAGAAATGAGATGGAGGAGAAGTCAGGCAATATAATAAGGGTGCCTGTCACAGAGTAAGACTCAGTAAGAATATATGAATGAATAAATGAATGAATACACAAACAACTTTTGATACTTCAAAAAAATCCATAATGTAGAAATGATTATATCCTAGTGAGCCAATAAAGCCTGCATTTAGTGCTTACTGTTTGCAGACCACTCAGGAGGGCCCTGGGCAGATATTAAAGATAAATAAATGAATAAACAAACCAAATGCTACTTCAAGACCATATAGTTTGTAAAGCAGCAAAGCTACAACTCAAACTTGAGAGTTTCTTCTATTTCCACTATTCCATGCGATCTTCAAAATTCTACATGGCATTCAGCACCCTCGTCTTGCAGGCTATCCCCTCAGTCTAGATTGCCCTTCTTCCACTAAGGAGGCAACTTTCAGCATCAAGTTTAAATTCATATAGCTGCATCGTCAACTCTCGTGCCATGTTCCAGAATCTCCAATGTGGAATACTTACTTCCTCAATATATCAGTATTGGTAACTCAAATATAAAGACTCTCAAAACAATTCATGCCCTCTGACAAAAATTTTTAAAAAAGAATAAATCAGTAAAAACAAACTGCTTTTTGTGATTTCCTATATCTGTGAATTGCAAGGCCTTTATTTCCATTATTCAAAGTTGAAATTGATCCCTTAGCACTCTAGGAGGACATCAAACCCTATGGATTCCATCTTCAGATTTCTGCTTGTATCTGCACCCTGGTGTTACCACTCACGCCTGACTTTCCTGAACTCTTACTTCATGATTGCATTAGTATTCTATCTTCCTTCTTATAGCCATACAGTTTATAAATCAGTCAGCCTCAGAGTGACATCATAAGAATTAATTAATCCAAGGCACAGCCCTAATCATCACCCTACTTTCCCAAGACAAACAAAAAGTTTTAATGACTCCCCAAGTCCTGTGGAGTTAGGACAAACCACTTAGCATAAGATTCAAAGTCTTCTTATTATTTGAACCCAACTTACCTTTATAGTCACTATTTTCCTTTTGTATCCCCTGTGTTGCATCCAAACTCAAGCCCAAGAGGAACATAAGACACCAGAGCTTTAAATATATCCTTGGCAATCTTCCCACTGTCCAACATCTCTGCTGGGCAAAATCATATGCATCCTTTAAAGCCCAGCTCAAATACTGCCTTGTCTATGGAACTTTCTCTTTTCTATGAAGCCTTATACACTGTCACCTTGTAGATCTTTTGCAGCCTTTATGGCATTGGATTTCACATCGTATTCATTTGGCTACAGCTCTTCACGCCAAATTTATTCAACACATGCTATTAGAAAGCACTTTAAATAGTGTGTTAGGGATGAAGTGGAGAACAAGACAGGTTTACTTCCAAGTGAAAAGCAGAGGGAAGATAGTCCTTCAAAAACAACCAAAAAAATGGGGTGAGGGTTGGAAAGTCATTCATGCAGCTGAATGAAACTGAGGATGAAATAAGACAATGACTAAAAAATACCTTTTGGATTTAGCATGATAACGGTTATTGATGATCTTAGCAAGATTTGGCATGACAGAAGCGGAAGAGTGTAGAGGATTGAGGAGGAGAAAAGAAAATGACTGCAATTTAAGATAAGGCTTTAGGGAAATTTGTACATGAAGGGAGTGGTAGCTAAAGGAAAAAGTAAAATTTAAAAAAAGTTTTTATTTGTTTTTAGATGAGAAATTTGAGCATTTAAATATTTTGCTTCTAGTAATGCAGAAGAAGTTGAAGGTACTGGAGAAGGGAATCAAAGTTTGTTGAACAGGCAATGGGTAAGCATAGGTGGAGGAACTAACTCTTATGGGAGTGGAGAATTTCCTCCACTGTCTGTGGCAGAAAGTGACAGGAATCACTGCAGACTCAAAAACAATCTTAGATGAATATGTGAAGTGGAAGTAGGCATGCCCTCTCCAAAAAATAATGTCAAAGAATAATTTCCTTATTTATCAGTTGAATGATAAAAATGATTCTTATTCTTATGACTGAAAAGGAAAGAATTTAGAATAATATTTTTTAGGAAAATAATATTAAATATTCATAAGCAGGTATGTATGTATGTATTTTTGTTGCATGAATATTCTGATAGGCAAATCATGAAAATCTAAGCCTAGATAACTTAGGTAGAGTTTTAAAATAGTTTCTAATGCATTAATTAGAAATGTGAAAACTTTTTGGTAAATACTTATTTGGCAATTGAAAACTGCTGCCACAAGATTGCTAGTAGAAGGCACTCCCCACCTCCCAAATTACTTTTTAAATATTTATTTTGATTCTTCACATGATAGAAATGACACTTTTAGAAATAATCCTTCCGGCCGGGCGCGGTGGCTCACGCCTGTAATCCCAGCACTTTGGGAGGCCGAGGCGGGCGGATCACGAGGTCAGGAGATCGAGACCATCCTGGCTAAAACGGTGAAACCCCGTCTCTACTAAAAATACAAAAAATTAGCCGGGCGTAGTGGCGGGCGCCTGTAGTCCCAGCTACTTGGGAGGCTGAGACAGGAGAATGGCATGAACCCGGGAGGCGGAGCTTGCAGTGAGCCGAGATCCCGCCACTGCACTCCAGCCTGGGCGACAGAGCGAGACTCCGTCTCAAAAAAAAAAAAAAAAAAAAAAAAAAAAAGAAATAATCCTTCCTTCCAAGTATCAATAATATCTACTTTAACCTAATAATTTTCTGAAAATATATATGGATGTTATCCTCTGTTATTTATATGAAACCATATCCCTTATTTTCTCATTTTGTATTATAAATGGTTACTTCTAATGTAAGTAACTCTTTATTCACCCATTTTCTCTTTATTACCTAATATGTGTACAATGGCTTGACAAATGTGAAGGAACTGCAGCAATAACAACACTGCACTTCTCCCATAGGTCATGGAGGAGGCAAACAGAGGTCAAAGATGGCAAGTCACCCAGCTAGTAAGTTTCAGAGCTGCCTCCAGAATTCATGCCTGCTAATTCATACTAAATTGATTTGTTTCAACTACTCTGTCTTTCCTGCTCATAAATAGTCTCATGGATTGGGATAATTATAATAAAAGAGTTACATAATTTTCAAACATCTTCTCTTTCAAATAGGAGATAAAATTCAGGACTTCTTTCTGGACTTACAGAAAGTTATGTGGTTAGGGTTGAAATGATAAATGGCAAACAAATGAGAAATTCAGCTGTGCCAAGTAACTAACTGAATGCACACAATTTTTAAATATTATATATCATTATCATTAAGGTCCCTATTATAAAACAATGTTATTATACAAAGCCAAAAACCGTAATTCAAACTCAAGAGAATTCTGTGAATTAAAGACATGGAAAAGAAAAAGGATAGCTGTATTATCTAACATTAGCCCCTTGAACACAATCATCAGTCAATATCCTGGTTAGACAATGTTGCCCTAATCATTATTAAATCTATTTTTACTCATAATTTAGATTCTGTCTATAAAGGGACATTTTTTAAATGATGTACACAACTTGTAAGTGAGACTGATCCTTAAAACATATGAACCATAACATGCTCCTCATCTGCTAAGATTCCTTTAATGATCTCCATCTCCCTCAGAATAATAGTCAAGGTCCTATTATGGTCTACCAGGCTGTAAATGATGAACACCACTCACCCTCCATAGCGTCATCTCTCACTTGTCTGCTCCTGTCTTCCTGCCACTGCCCTTGCCATTCCTTCAACACACCAAGCACACTCTTCATACTGACTCTTCCTGTTGAATGTACCTCTCTTCCCCCACATTTTGAAATTGTTCTCTTACTCCATTCAGTCCTCTATTCCATTCTCTCCTTATCAAAGAGCCTTTCCCTAGACAGTGTATCTGAGGAGGTATTTCAGTGTTCTCTAGTATCTCTGCTTTATTTTTCTTCTTAGTACTTATCCCCACTGACATACACATCAAAATCTTCACTTTATGTTTTCTTCCATAGGAATGAAAGCTCTGGGAGAGTAGGAATTTTCCTTGTATGAATAAATGAATTAATGAATGGATAATCATCTTTTTATTTCATCTAGCTAAACAGAAAACTTCTCCAGGGAAATGACTCTATCAAAAACATTTTTAAGTTCTTGATTTCTTTGAATATTAGTATAATCCAAAGTGAAGTGTTAGTACCAATAGCATTCTTTATCAAATGATAAGTTGGCAAAATGGCAAATATGATGGTATTTTTATGTGTGTGCACAATGTAGTATACAGAATGATTTGTGTTCCATAACCTGTGAGGTAGCATAATGTAGTAGACCTGCATCATGCCAAGAAACATAGATTTAGTTCTGTTACTAATGTTCCATGTGACAGAGGAGAGTTATTTAGACTTGTGAAATAAGTTGATTGGACCAAGTTTCTTTCTGTCTCATAAGACTACAGGGATCTATGAGATGTTTGTCCCTTCCTTCTTTATTTTGCTTCCAAACATGTGAAAGCCAAACAACAAGTGTATTCAATTTAAGGCCAATATTTATATAATTGTTGGATGACAAGAACATCCACAACGTTTAGCTTCAACTTATTTGGTTTTAATGTTTATTTCCATAATATTTGCAAACTAAAAATTTGGGAATGTTTATTATCAGAATACTCTTTATCAAAGTATCATTGAAGAGTGGTTCTTAACTCTGCAAGAATCAGTGCAGACACACTTACTTTGGCGTATCATTTTAAATACAGCTTTTTGCAGGACTCTTACCATTTAGCTAAAAGCAGAGAGTTAAGCATATGCATTGCATGAAGATATAGTCGAAATTTATCTTCCCTTTAAGCGGGTAAGGAGTGTTCTCTCAAGGTACATGCCAATAAAAATGTGTCCAATCCCTAATGTCCTAATGTTCATGCTAAAACATAACAAAATCTCTGAGGCATCCAGATAGAATAACTTTAAGCTTAGTTCCTTTAGGAGTAAGTCATTTTAATTGAAGAGATCTGATCACACTGAAGGACAAAGACATTTATCTCTCTGTATAATGAAAACTGAAAAAGCCACTGGTAGTTGTTCTACAGAAGACCTGGATGTGTAGGAGCTAAGACACACTCCAGGGGAGCTGTGGAAGCAGTAACACGGGAGGGGTTACAAGGAAGGAAGGATTACAAGGAAGGAGGGGACCACCAAGTCTTCACTCATAACTAAGCAATAATAGTGAGAGTTGTGAGCATTGTTGAAACAACCAAGACACTTCCCTGGACCCAGGAATGAACACACAGCCATTAGCCACAATCATGGCAATGGGGACTTCAAAGGCCAGTGTGGCTCTAGCTTACTGAGAAACGTGACTAAAACTAACCTTGCACAATGACTGCTGAATGCTCCCAGGAGACTCTTTGACTATTGAGATCTTTTATTTACATAGAAATTGATTTAATTAACTCTCATTTCATACATGGTAGTCAATATTCTCTGGTTACTATTAGCGTTGGCAAACAGATTGACTCTGAAGAGTGTCAAGAGCTTTTAGAGGTGGACACCAGCACAGAGTACATGGCAGAGAAGAGAAGAAACTCGATTTTCATGACCTGGGTGCTCCTCCCTACAATTACATATTTATTAACATTCTACATGTTTTAAGAATTTGATTCTTAAAAGTCATTAAGGGAAAGTCATTAAGAAGTTTCACTTCAAAACAGTTTATACAAGGAAAAAAATATAGAAAAAATATAAATTCAGGCATCTATGTAACTTATGTAAGATTTTGTTTCTATTCTTGATAGTTTTTAAATTATTTTCATCTTCAAACTATAAAAGGAAGATGCCCAAATGCTCAACTTCTTACATTATTAGAGTATTATTCATAATTTGCAAACCAAGAACAACTCAAGCACATGGAAGAAATAAGCAAGTGGCAAGAGATTTGAGAATTGTAAAACTGATGGCAAAAGAATGACCAGCAAATGGTAATGTAAATGTCCTGACCTGCTGAGTCTCCCAGTCCAATCTCTCCCACTCCCGGTGTCCTGATGTCCTTGATATTATCTATTTCTTGAAATGCTAAAAAAAAAAAAAAAAAAAAGAAAAAGAAAAAGGAAGAAAAATTGAAACAAAGAAAGAAAATATTAAGTGAGAAATCAGAGTAATTCCAAATAAATAAAAAAATTGAAAATGATAAAGATAGTTAAATGAGATTTCTATTGCAAAATGTTGGAAAAAATATTAAGTACTTTCATTATAATAATTTTTTTTTTTTCTAGACCAGATTCATAGCCATAAAACAACATCAGACTCATACGACTGTGCTAGTTAGTGGCTAATGAATGAAAAATCAATGAAAAACTAAACAATTTTTATTAATGACATTTCAAGATACAGCGACAACTGAAATGTAAAAATATGAACTAATTATTTTGGAGCCATATTAATTAAATCACTTAAAAGTCATCATATGATTAATTCAGCCATGTGAGCATGCATGTGTGATGCACAAACTCACTCACACAAGTGTGTGTGTATAGCCTGAAGTGATCCTAAGCCTAGTTTTACTGAGACAATTACAACCATTTTTTATAGTCCATGATAGTTTAAAATATATATATATATAATGTAATATTACTTAGAGCTACAATACTTTACGCAAAACATTCTAACGGGCACTGAAATGTATGGAATACATATGTGTATAAATTTATAGAATAAAACTTATGGAATACATGTATATGTATAAATTTATGAAATAAAATTTATAGAATACATAAGCACTTAGCAAAGCACGGTGCTACATTGTACTAGGACACTAAGTTATAGAAGAATAAATACTTCATAAACCCATTGAATAATTTCCAGGCAAAAATACCAACAATAGAAAGAACAAAATAAAAACAGAAACACTCTATAAGTAGTCACTTTATCAGAGACAGACTGCAGGGTCATAAAAGCAGAATTTAATTATTGATTTCTGGGAATGTTTTTGCAAATTTATCTAACCTCTTGGAGGCTTATTTTCCCAATCTACAAAATGGCTTCATAAGCTTGTCATGAACCCCAAATCTAAGTTTTCAATACATACAGCTATTTTATTATGATTTTATTATTTATTTGTGATTGTGGAATATTTTTTATATGGGGAAGTTCATCAGCTATTGTCTGCTTTTTAAGGTTTGGCCACCAAAATGACTACATTATATGACTTCAAGATGTTTATGCATTTATTAATTATATGTGGGATCTTGCAACAAGCTTATTAAAATTGTATAAATAAAAAGCTTATCAATTTTTTGTCTTAGGTTGGTCCTATATTATCAACCAGATTATGCAGGTCAGTATTTTAATGACAATACTTCAAACTGTACTTACAGGAAAACAGAATTCCACTTCTGAAATACTGGTCTAACATACCAGAGCTACAGACTTAGAGGTAATCTAAGACCAGGTGACTTGTGCAACTTTTATTTATTAATTTATATTCTTTTTCATTTTAAAAAGCCTAAATAATTTTGGAATATTTAGATCATTTTAGAGTACATAAAATGGCAAGAAGAATTACACTCTATAACCAAGTAGGATTTATCCCAGGAATGCAAAGTTGATTTACCATATAAATATCAAATAACATACCATACCATATTAATAAAGGGAAAAATCATACAATATCTCTATAGATGCTGAAAAGCATCTGACAAAATCCAACACCCTGCTTTAAAACCATCAAAACATTAAACAAACTAGCAATAGAAGGAAACTTCCTCAACCTAGTAAAGACCATCTATGAAAAATCTACAACTATAATACTTAATGGCAAAACATTAACTGTTTTCTCCTTAAACTAAGGAACAAGAATGTTTGCTCATACCACTTTTATTCAACATTTTATTAGAGATTTCATACAGGTTCACTAAATAAGAAACAGAAAGAAAAGGCATCCAGGCTGGAAAGAAAGAAGTATGATTATCGCTATTTGTAGATAACGTTATCATTTTTACTTAGAAAATCTTAAGGAAGTAATTAAAAAACTATAAGAGCTAAAGAACAAGTTCAGTAAGGTTGCAGGATAGTTGATCAATATATAAAAATCAATTGTATTTCTACAAACTAGTAATGAACATTCTGAAAATGATATCAAGGAAACAATTCCATTTATAATAGCATGGAAAGAATAAAATACTTCGGAATAAATTTAACATTAGAAGTCTAAGGCTTGTGAATCACAAACTATAAACATCTTTGAAAAAAATTAAAGAATATCTAAAAAATGAAAAGACAACCCACATTCATGGATGAGAAAACTTAATATTCTTAAAATGATAATACTTGCCAATTAATCTACAGATTGAACACAATTCTTATCAAAATCCCAGTTGGCTTTTTTACAGAAACTGTCAAGCTGATCCTAAAATTCATATGGACATACAAAAAGTCCAAAATAGCTACATCGATCCTGAAAAAAAAAAAAGAAAGAAAAAGGGGATGTATCCTTCCCAACTTCAAAATTTATGACAAAGCTACAATAATTAAGACATTAGTGGTACTGGTATAAGGATGCACATATAGATCTAATGGCACAGAATTGAGAGTACAGAAATAAACCGATACATTTGTAGCTAGTTGATTTTTGATAAGGTTGCCCAGACAAGTCAATGGAAGGAAGAATAGTTGTCATATAAGTATTAATATATTTTTAAAAATCTGGTCTTTGTCCCTGGTTCCTGGCACAGAGTTTCAGAAATTCTTGAAATTCCCTGAGTGATAGATGTGCCTTTGTTATGCTAATGAGGTGGCACAGGGTTGTTGCCACAGATAGCCTACAGGATGGGGGAGGTTGTCAAAAGAATAAAAAATCCCGGCCGGGCGCGGTGGCTTACGCCTGTAATCCCAGCACTTTGGGAGGCCGAGGCGGACGGATCACGAGGTCAGGAGATCAAGACCATCCTGGCTAACACGGTGAAACCCCGTGTCTACTAAAAATACAAAACATTTAGCCGGGCGTGGTGGCGGGCGGCTGTAGTCCCAGCTACTCCGGAGGCTGGGGCAGGAGAATGGCGTGAACCCGGGAGGCGGGGCTTGCAGTGAGCCGAGGTCACGCCACCGCACTACAGCCTGGGTGACAGAGCGCGACTCCGCCTCGGAAAAAAAAAATAAAAAATCCCATGTAATTAGAGTGATGGCGTTTCCAGTCCCCTCCTACCTCTGGGGAAAGAAGAAGATCTGAAGATTGAGTTTAGTCACATGGCCAATTATATGCTTATGTAATAAATACCTTGAATAAAAACTATGGACATGAGCTCGGGTGCGGTGGCCCATGCCTGTAATCCCAGCACTTTGGGAGACCAAGAAGGAGGGCGGATACCTTGAGGTTCAGGAGTTTAAGACCAGCCCTGGCCAACATGGCAAAACCCCATCTCTACCAAAAATACAAAAATTAGCTGGGCAGGGTGGTGCACGCCTATAATCCCAGCTACTCGGGAGGCTGAGGCCGGGGAATCACTTTTAGCTGGGCAGCAGAGGTTGCAGTGAGCCGAGATCACACCACTGCACTCCGGCCTGAGCAACAGAGCAAGACTCCATCTTAAAAATCAAATAAAACTACGAACATGAGGCTTGAATTGCTTCCAGGATAGTGAACATACTGATGTACCAGGAGGGTGTTGCAACCAACGCCATGAAGACAGAAACTTGTGCTCCAGATTATTCCAGACATATCCTGTGTACCCCTTTATCCAGCTACTCATTTAAATCCTTTATAATAAAATGGCAATTGTTAAGTATAGCACTTTTTGTGAGATAGCTAAGTTGTTCTAGTGAACTATCAAACCTTAAAGGGGTTCTTAGGAACTCCCAATTTTGTAGCCAATTCTGCCAAGCAGAAATAAGGGTAGCTTGGAGACCCCACTTGCAGTTGACCTTTGAAATAAGGACAGTCTAATTGAGGACCTTGTCCTTGAATCTGTAGGATCTGATGTTAACTGCAAATAGTTAGCGTCAGATTGAATTGAACTACAGGACACCCAGCTGACGTAAGAGAATTAGTGTTAGAACGTAATACAATCTTCAATAAATTATTCTGGGATAACAAAATATTCACATGCAAAAGAATTAAACTGGACCCTTATCTCATATATAAATAAGAATTAACTCAAAATGGATGACATACACCTACATGTAGAAACTAAACTATAAAAGTCTTAGAAGAAAATGTAAATATTCATGACCTTGGGTTTAGCAATGGGTTGTCAGACACAATACCAATAGATATGTCAAGCAACAAAAGAAATAAACAGATAAATTGGACATGAAAATTAAAAACATTTCTCCTTCTAAGGACACTATCGAGAGAGTGAAAAGACAACCTACAGAATGGGAGAAAATATTTGCAAATGATACACTTGACCAGGGACTGACTTACATCCACAATGTATAAAGAACTCTTAGAACTCTATAATGAAAAGTCAAATAACTAATTTAAAAATGAGCAAAAGATCTGATAGACATTTCACTAGAGAAGATGTACAAAGATGATGCTCAATATCATTATCCATTAGAGAAATGTAAACCAAAGCCACAATGACATGCCACTATATATCCACTAGGATGGCTATAAAAACAAGACAGATAATTACAAGCACTGGTGAGGCTATAGAGACGTGGGAACGCTCATAGATTGCTGGTGGAAATATGAAATGCTGCAGCTGCTATGGAAAGTGGTTTGCAATTCCTAGAAGTTTACAAATAGAGTTACCAAAATGACCCAGCCATTCTACTCCTAAGTGTATACCCAAGAGAAATAAAAACCTATGTCCAAACAAAAATGTGTATACATATGTTCAAAGCAGCATTATTTATAATGGTCAAAAGTTACCAATAATCTAAATGTTTTTTTAACTAGCTGACAAATGAATAAACAAAATTTGGTACATCCATTACAGTGAAATATTATTCAGCCTTAAAAAGGAATACAATACATATTACAGCACAGATGAATCTTAAAAACATTTTATCAAGTGAAAGAAGTCAGTGACAAAAGACCATATATTGTATAATTCTAAGTATAAGAAATGTCCAAAATAGGCTAATCTATAGAGACAGAGAGCAGATCAACGGCTACCTAGAGTTATGGGGGAACACTGGAGGAGTAATGGAGAGTGAAAATGAGTGCAAAGCTTCTTTTTGTCAGATGGAAATATTTTAAAATTGGGTAGTGGTGACACTGAATAATCCATGAACTCACTAAAAAACATTGACATGAACACTTGGAATGAATGAATTGTATGGTACATAAATTATAACTCAACAAACAAGTCTTTTAAAAATTACATACTATGAAACAAAAACACATCAACTTAGTCTCATTATCTTTTTTTAAAAAAGTATATACATCTACCTTGAAAAATCTAACAATGTTAAGATAATACAAAATAAATGCAGATTACTCCCTGATACATAACATTAATGGCATACCATGGCTAAAAACTAATAATAAAATGTGTAATAGGAAGATGTTCTACTTTTAAATTAGTCTTCAGAGATTAGTCTTTCAACAGTACTCAAGTATTGTAATACAATCCAAGTGTCACTGTCTCTTTATCAAGGCTTAGACTGTAGAAATATTTTTTAACTCAAAGTATGGCAACTTTTAGAATACAGTTTGTTAATAGTTGGAAATCATAGACATTTTAGAATTTTGTAAAACCATAGAGATTTTTGAATTATCAATTTGAGAGTGACTGTTATAAAAGAAAATTTTAGCTGCAAAACCAAAATAGATAAATAAATGAGAAAACACCTGCTTTAAAAACATCAAATTTTGAAAGAGGGGGAATAAGAAGGGGATGATTAATAGGGTTCAAAAATACAGTTAGAAAGAATAAGATCTAGTGTTTGGTAGCACAATAGGGTGACTACAGCTCACAATAATTTATTATATATTTCATGATAACTAAAGGAGTGGAATTGAAATGTTCCTAACACAAAGAAACGATAATTGCTTGAGTTGATGGATATCCCAATGACCCTGATGTGATTATTACACATTGTGTGCTCAAATAAACATATCACATGTGCCTTAAAAACATATACAACTATTTTGTCTCCACAATAATTCAAACTTCTAAAAACATCAAATTTCAGCGACATAAAATTGAAGTTCCCCACTTCTATCTATTTAATCTTTAATTTTAATAAGAATGCATTTAATGAAATACTCAAGAGGCTACATAACCTAAGAGACTCACATTTATCCAATTTCATGATCATAAGAGTTATATGATTAAACAGCCTCAATTCCAGTTATACCACCTAAGTGTCTAACCTCTCTGTTTAGTTAAAACATATTTTACTATTCAAGTGTATTTTCTGCCACTGAAATTTAAATAAGGCTCCAATCCCTCATGCACATTGCTTTGAGTTAAATTGGGGATTTGTTGAACAGAAACCATCCAACCATTCATCTGTTCATTTACTCAACAAAAAGTTCTCAAGCACTTATTATAAGATATTGCATATAAGATAAGGCAGAATGGAGAGATAAAAATAACATGTACTTTGGGATCACACAGATGTAAGCTTGAGTTCAGGCCTCAACTTATTATAGGTGGTAAAACCTTTCTGAGCCTTAGTTTCCTCATCTTTAAAGTGATGATTAATTGAACTAATGGCTTACATAACTCGGTAATTAATGTTAATAGCTTTTTTTTCCTGCCTATTTGAAAGTTAAGTAGATTAATCAGACAAGAATTCTGTGTTAGGAGGTAACAGCAGATATTGTAATGTATATAAATAAATAATGTGAAAAATTACAAGGTAGAAATTTCCAGTGATAAAATAAGTGAGATGATTTATACTAGATATAGAAGATAGTATCATCATTATCATCAAGTAGATATAGCATTTATATAGTTAACCACTGAGATAAATAATTATCAAATAACATTAATTTTCTTCCAAAACATTAATGTTCCAAAGTATTAACTTTGGGAAATAATCAGAGGATTTGTACTTTATGTAACTAATGATGCACACACATTCACACGATATAAAAATGATTCAAAGTATAAATATGCAACGTTACAGTGCTAATTCAGAATTACAGGAATTTTTTACTTTCTTGTTTTGCTAAACTATATTTTCTAAATATTTCTCCAAGAAATTTTATAACTTTCCTAATAATAAAAGGGCTATTAAATAAAGTGACAAAACATACATAGGTTATATGTTATTATTTAAACGGGGCAAAAAAATGTTTTCCAAAGGTTCTAAGTTGGCACCTAGTCCCCTCATACCCAGTCTTCCACCACAGCACACAGATCTCTACTGGTGCACCCCATCCAATTGGAAGTATCTAATTGCATCCCTGCTAGAACTTTTTCTAGCATTCTGCCTGCTCTTAAGAATAGAAAAGCAACATTTTGAACGGCAGTGCTCATCATATAAACATGAAGTTTCCTCCAAACAGTATTGAATAACCAAACTCATAGAGTCAGAAAACTATCATTATCTTTGGATTTATATCACATTTTACTCCACTTCCTATGTAGTAGCCGAAAGTCTGAAGAAAACATGTATTGACTTATTGTGTTTCGTGTTAGACACCTTATCTACACTGGTTTTTGATTTCACAACTACCCCATGAAGTGCCCATGGTTAACTCCACTTAACAAATGAGGATACTGGGTTGGACTTAGTTGTCTATGGTCCCATGTGACAGAGCTGAGATTTTAACTCAGGATGGCCTGATGTCAAAATCCATTTTCTTCCCAATATATCACATAACCTCTTCAAACTATGCCTGTGTATCAATTCCCCATTTTGTTTTCAAGTGTTTGCTAATGCATTAAATAAAGTAATTGTTACTAATATGGAAATGAGCTAGTCAGGTTATAGTGAAAAAAATACAAGACATGAAGGCCTCCTCCACCCTATCCATCACTCCTCCTTCTTCCTTTCCTTTCTTTCCTATATAGCACTTGCCATCTCTAAAATTAATTTGTTTTATAACCATGTCTATTTTGTTCATTGGTTTACCTCCAGCACTTAAAACAGAGCCCGACTTCAAATAAGAGTTTAATAAATACTTAGTAGATGAATAAATGTATTCATGAGAACATGTGTAAATTCTTCTTTTTACTAGTTAAGTGTCTCTTGACAAATCTACTGGCCTCTTTCAGCTTTTAAATCTCCATTTCTTAATGCAATACTACCTAAGGTTGTTATAAGTTTAAATTTATTCACTCAAAAACTGCCCACTGAGCACCTACTACCTGCCAGATACTATTCTAAGCAATGTGATCACAGCAGGGAACAAAATGGACAAAAATCTCTCATGCAGCTTACAGTCTGGTGAGTAAAGAAAGACAAGAATACAACACAATGTATTAAATAGCAACAAGTGCTTTGGAGACAAAAACAGTTTGTAGACAAGAATCTGAGAGCAGGATCTGCAATTTTAAGCAGGGTGACTAGAAAAGAAGATATATGAGTAAGGAGGTGAGGGATGTGTAAATTGGGGAAAGAACTTTTCATACAGAGTAAATAGCACGATGGCATACTGTATTTTCAGAGTGGCTGCAATGGAGTGAGTGAATGCAAGAGTAATAGGAAGTGAGGTCAGATAAGCCAGGGGAAGGCAAGGGTTGTGTAAGGCCTTGTAGGCCATAGTTAGGATACTGGCTTCTGTTCTTAGAAAAATTAAAAGCCAATGTGGAGGTTTGAGCATAAGTGGAAAATCAGGTGACTTAGGTTTTAATTGGTTCAATATTTCTCAGTGAGGTTGTTATTGGCATTCTGAGTGGACAGCTCCTCTTTTCCCCCCCACCACCAAGCACATGGCAGGCCATTTAGTGTCTCTAAACTGGGCCCATGAAATGCCAGTAGAACTGCCCTGGTCTTTTGACCACCAAAAATGTCCCTATTTATTTCCAGGGCTATGTTAAGAATAAGCTTAAAGTAGGTCAGGGTAGAGTCTATTTTAATATTCCAGGCAATGGTTTATTTTGTCTTGGGCCAGAGTAGCAGTGGTGAATGTGGAATTTTTTTTTCTGCACGGAGGTTTTGCCAGTGGACTGGACAGGGGTATGAGTGAAAGCTAGGAGTCAAGGATGACTCCTACATGCTTAAAACGAGCAAATAGAAGGATGGAATTACTATTCGCTGAAATTGTGAAGACTGAATGTGGGTGGAGCAGATTTAATGGAAAAAGCAGGCGTTCATCAAGGCACGTTACAAACTACCATGTAAAAGCGATATATCTAGGTTTTATGCAAGAATTTCGCAAAATGAGGGAATGGGAACTAGTTCTGAACTGAAGGATTTTGTTAGAGCATGTTTTGGGAGGGGATAGGATTAATAGAAATAAGTAAATGAATAAATGATTACTGATAACTAGTTGTAATATATTAGCTCTTCCAAGCAATTAGATTATGCTAAGAAACATTTAAAAAATATATAGCCCAAAGGACTGAATCTAATTGTGGGATTTCAAACAATACATGGTATGGTGGTAGGCAAGCTTTTAACATTGTTAAAATCACACTGTGCCCATATTGCTTGGAATAGACACCCTACAGTGAGACTAAGGCTGAACCTTGGGAAAACAGTGGGTGATACAACTGTCCGGCACCCCATACTGACTAAGCATCACCACTTTCAAAACTGCAGAGTCAACTGGTCAATACATGTGACCTTTTCTCTATTCATGGGTAATTCGAGGATTTCAAATGAAAAGCCATGTCCAGATATTATTTAGATGTTTCTTCATGTGTAGAGTTGAGTCATCCTTCCAGACAGATGAAATTATTTGAATGAACACAATAAACTGATTGATACAAACACACAATTTAGAGTTGCTAGGAGGAAGTGGCTGATTGCATCACTGTTAGAACATTTTCCAGCATTCTATCTGCACTTAAGAATAGAAAAGCAGCATTCTGAACAGCAATGCTCATCACATAAACATGAAGTTTCCTCCAAAAGGTATTGAATAACCAAAGTCAAAGAGTCAGAAAATATTCATTGTCTTTGGATTTACATCACATTCATGAACACTGTATCTCAAGATTTCTTATTAATATTCCCCATGATTAGATACAAGTGAGGTATTTACATTCCAAAAGAAGTCCCAGGCCTGGCACAGTGGCTCACACCTGTAATCCCAGTACTTTGTGAGTCCAAGGCAGGAGGATTGCTTGAGGCCAGCATTTTGAGACCAGCCTGAGCAATGTAGCAAGGCCATCTTTATACTGAAAAATTTTTAAATTAGCCAGGCATGTTGGCATGTGCCTGTAGTCCCAGCTACTCTGGAGGCTGAAGTGGGAGGATCGCTTGAGCCCAGAAGGTTGAGGCTGCAGTGAGCTATGATCACACCACTGCACTCTAGCTCAGGCAATAGAGTGAGACCCTATCTCAAACAAAAACAAAAACAAAAACAAAAAACAACAAACAAACAAACAAACAAAAAAACATACACACACGAATGAGTTTTGCTTCCGTTAGAAAATGTCATCACGTTTCAGACTGACTCGACCTATTGTTAGAGATGCTTTTTCTGTGACACTAGTGGAAGAGAACTGGACGCAATTCTTCAGGCAGGTGGCATCTCCAATCACCAGTTAGCTAAAGAATTTAGAAGCGTTATGCAAAGGTGGTCGCATGAACTAAAGTGGAAAGGAAAGAGATCAAGAAGCAGCAGTGGTAGACAGATGCCCCACTGGCTTCGCATTGTTGTTTCGCTGGAAGGACATAGTGTGTCATAACGAATTACCATTAATTTGAGCCAGCAGTACTATTAGATTGAGCCCGGCAACCCAGGATGACAAACAGTGCCTGCAAGATCATCTAATGAGGGACAAGGCTGCTTCAGTTGTGCCGCTTCACTCAATTAGTGGACGAGGCTTTTAATGCTGCTCTGCACAACTAAAGCAATTTTGATTACTTAGAGCTAAGTCTCCATTTAGAATGTTTCGGAAGCTGACACAGTTTTTTTCTTTTTTTCTTTCTTTTTTTTTTCGCCTTTTTAAATATAAATTATCTAGAGAGTATTTGAATGGTAATAAGCTATTTGAAAGCCAATCACATTATTCCTTATTTTTGCTTAATATTGAAATATATTTTTTAAAAGTTCAAATGATAGAATTTACTCTAGCAAATGAAATGTAAATAAGATAGCAAATGATTAAGAATATTCTGAGGATGTATGTGTGTGTGTGTGGGTGTGTGTGTGTATGCAGGCACTATGTGTGTCTCTCTGTGCCAGAATTACAGTTGGTGAATTTCACTTCATCAGCCAACATTATCAGGAGGGTTGCATATTTATTCTATATATCCACATTTTTAAAAAATTTCAGATCTTGCCTTCTTTGGCTGGGAGTATTTATATCTCATAGCTTTTGATACAGGGAACTGATGTTTCTACTTCATTATTTTTTTCACTATGTCACTGCATGAGCACTGATAAGTGCAATGGTATGACTTATTTAATATTGTGATCATTGATTTATCTCATAACTAAAACCTTACCCACACAGAGGCTACATAGGCTGAATAAATTCCTTCCATTCTCTTTAGAAACACACAGGGTGCTCACTCTCTCTTTACACAGCATTCTCCCATCTTCTAGTTTTCTATTTAGTGTGTTGAATTCTCAGACTGCCGCCCCTGGGTGAAATTTTGCTTATTTAATTATATGGCCATTGGATAAAAGAAATTACTTAAGTGCTAGACACACAGTAGGTATCCATACATTTTGGTTATATCGAACACAAATTCTACCCAGATCAAAAGTATAAACCTCATTGTGACACGAACATACCCTCCGCTTTCTTTCCTTCGCTCAGGTGGAAAGGAATGTCAGGACCAAAATTTGAGAACATGAATCTCTAGTTATACCTAACCCATCACCAAAATCAGCTTGCCTACCAGTAATTTTCTTTAAAAGCTCAGTGCTTAAAGGAGGTCCAATACAAGCCAGTTTTTCAATGATACACATAGTCACATCTTTGTTTCACAAAAGCACTGTAACAACCCAAAAAATAAAGTCATTTAGGGAAGAAAATTGGAAAAAGCTTTGAAACTTTAAAACTTTTGGGCATCAGGAAAAGCCATTAGTTGAGTAAATTAACAATTATCAGAGGTTTTTTTTTTTTTTCCCCACTTAGAGTTACATTTCATTTTCTTAAAATAATTTCAACAATGGCTAATTTCTTGTCTCCAAAATAGTTAACACCAAAAGCACATGCTACACACTCAGGAGAGTTGGTTACACATTAGTAGAAAACTGTACTTCATTGTCATTGTTGATGTTGTAAATAAAAATTAAAGCAGAAAGACAATATGGTTCATTAGGAAGCAAGTAATATTTCCTATGATGGTGTTATATTTTTAATGATTGTAATGACTTACAAACTGGCAAATAATTTGCATAGATACTATATCCCCTCTTCCCAGAATATATAAGAAATCACATCACTGACTCAAATTATAATTGTAAAAGTAGAAAAAATGATTAATAGTTCCATTTATTCTCGTCTCTCGCCAAAAGGGATGGTAGGAGAAAAGGAGAAGGAATTCCTGTTAGTTGTAGGAATCAAAGAAACGTAAAGTTTAAGTATTAAATATAGTGGGATAGTACCAGTAATATGTACAAGTCAGTAGGAATCAATCTCTTAAGTGCTTCCCCCTTCACTTCTCTTTGTTCTTTAGGAGAGTATTGGCCTGAAGTACCATTAACAATGATTACCATTGGGCTTTCCATCCAAGTTAATATCTAACATCTCAGATATGTTCTCATCTTCGATCAAAATTTACTTTTAAAACATATATAATATTCTCATGGTTCAAAAAAAAACTATGTAAGATAACTCTGGACTCACTTCCATCCCCATCCCTTTTATTCATTCACACCCACACAATATACATTATTATTTTCTTGATTAAGGCTTATACTTCCTGTATTATTGCAGGAACAAGCAAATGTATGTATTTATTCTTATGTGCCCTTCTTTCTTATGCAAAAGACAGCATTCCATATATACTTTTGAAGTTTTCTTTAAAATTTCCACCTAAGAATCTTTCTTGGAAATGTCTTCCATATTACTGCATAGAGATCTTCCTCATTATTTTATTTATTTATTTATTTATTTTGAGATAGAATCTCACTCTATCCCCCAGGCTGGAGTGCAACGGCACGATCTCGGCTTACTGCAACCTCTTTCTCCTGGGTTCAAGCAATTCTCCTGCCTCAACCTCTGGAGTAACTGGGATTACACGCACCCGCCACCACGCCCAGCTAATTTTTGTATTTTTAGTAGAGTTGGGGTTTCATCACATTGGCCAGGCTGGTCTTCAACTCCTGACCTCAGGTGATCCACCCGCCTTGGCCTCTCAAAGGGCTAGGATTACAGGCGTGAGCCACCACGCCCGGCCTGTACAAATACTTCTGTAGCAAGAAACAACTCTAAACTTTCTTTAAATTTAGAACTTATATTAGGGGTTTCAAAACAGTGATTGAATGAATGAATGAATGAATGAATGAATGAATAAATCTACTGGATCCAACAGCAGTCTGACACAAGAGCTTGGGGATAGTTCTCAGCAAATATAAGCCTGATTTAGAGTTCTGAAGGCAGGCAGGTGTATTTAGCAAGAGCTTTTTCCTACTCTTCGGAAAATGAGACAGCCTGGAGATGAGGTAAAGACCACCTTTCCTGCAGTTCCTACGTAATGGACGTAATGGACAGGGTGCATCCTGGTTTGTGGCTTGAGGCTGCTGTTTGTCCAAGTAACACATTCATTCTGTTGTTGTAACCCTTACAGGAATGATGACTAATGCTTTGAGGAAACAGCAGACGTCAGACAGCAAGCCCAGAAAAACCTGCCAGCACCAAGAGGGTGTCCTCAACAGGCGCCTGGGGGACATATTATTCTAACTAAAGAGACCAGAGCTTCCCCAGGAAGGGAAGAGGAGAGAAATGAAGAACGTCTGTGTTCATGTTTGCCAAAAACAAAAGTCTGAGAAATCTCTGAGAGACTCTACATGGGAGGTGAAATTTACCTTTTCTAAGACCATTGTTGATTTTCCTTTTACCCTTGAAGTGGACTGAAATATCACTAATGGTGAGAGGAAAGCTCAGAGGTTCTATTAAAGAATGTGAAATAGGTTAATGCTTCTGCACCAAGATTTGATTGACTGTTAATACCAGGTTTTAAAATTCACTTGTATCATTTATAATACAAATACCTGATTCACCTGCATTCTTTTGGTGGGGGGCGGTGAGGGAACCTGGGGTGTGAATGGCCTCCTAAGCAGCAAAATCATTGCTAATATCAGCATTTTGCTGTCTCATCATCTAATTATCACATACAGGGCACTAATCGAAGCACCTCATTTAAAGTGAGAAAAGCTTTGCTAAGGGCAGATGATTCAGCACGGTATCCTTCGATGAGTACTGTCATCTCAAATCCTTTTTAAGAAGTAGGTATTGTGTAACTAATAAGTAAAATGAAAGCATAGAGTTTACTAATAAGTTACATGTTCCATTTTTTAAAGTCTCTGTAGTCACGATCATCCATTTTCCCCAAAACTGCCCTGTCACATAATAATATGCATACATACAAAACTTATTTCATGTTTAAAAGGCATCCCAGAGAGATGAGATGTGGATGGGTGTGAAGAGTGGATCTGGGGAACCGAATGGGTGCAGATGTCTCCACTGACAAAGAGAAAGGCATATGGCTTCCTTCCTCCCTGGTGTGCCCGGGTCTCAGAGAGAGCTCTAGATTTCCCTGTGATAAGCTTCTGCTTTCGAGCTCCACTGGGAAGATATTTTGTATGCCACAGAAAACCAAGATGTTTGCATTCCCACCAATCCAGGGATAAAGCATTTTCCTCATACAGACACAAAACATACAGTATATGAATGTTTAATGGAGGCTAAAACTGGGAGAGGAACAGAAAACAAGAACAGAGCAGGTTAAAAAAATATCTGGTTTCTCTCTATCAAAATACTAATTAAAATTCATGTTCATGGGGATGATTATACATATGTTTTTGAACTAAAAGTCTAACCTGGCACTATTTTTTGGCCTTATTTTTGTGACAACATTTTTGTCCATATGGCATGAAGTGAATCATTTTACATCTTTTTTTAAGCTCTATGTGTTTTTCTTGTTGTCTATTCCCTCTTCTCCCACCACACACACACTGGCAGCCGCTACCAAGTTACCAAATGCCAACTCAACCCTGCAAGCTGGCTGCATGGAGCTATATAGTACTGGCATCTTCCTTTCTTTGCAGAAATATTCTGTGTGTGTGTGCGTGTGTGTGCGTGTGTGTGTCTGTCTCTCTCACACATGCATGCATGCACACACCCCACATACATACCATTGAAGCACCCTGAATATTTCTCCTTCATTTCCATGCTAATCTTTCAACTCCTCGGGATTCTGCCCAGCTTCCAGTGTGTGTGCGGCACTGGCTGCTGGCCTGCTGCAGAAGGCCACACCAGCTTATTTGGTGCCTCTCACCCCTGGCCTTCCTTCTCCATGGCATTCTGACAATTAGTGGTTCACTTAAGAACTGCTATAAATTAATGGTTAATCGAGCCCATATAATTAGTTTATTCACAACAAAGTGCAAGACCCATGATTGTCCAGTGGTTCTCCCCCAACCCCAATTTCTCGTTTTAAAACTTACAACAATCCATATCCCCACTTTGGCAGACAGGAGAACGCCCCTTATCTGTAGTGCAGCCACACCACCTGACCGCTTGGGTTGTGGATGGCACACGTTTTGTACACGTGCTGCCTCCACCAGCATCAGGCACCGCCGAGTTTGTGTGGAAGGGCAGCAACTCCACCTAACAAATGTAACTTTAACAACAGTAAAACAACCTAATAGCTTAGCATGCCAGGGGGCTAATGTGGCGGGCCATTTACTGCTGCACTAAATAGCCCCGGTTTGATTCTCATTGCCAAGTGTCGAACTGAGAATTGCAAGGCAGGAGTAGCTCCTAATTCATTAGATAAAGGGGGTCATTGCTCATAGGGCTGGGGAAACTGTAGAAGCATAAGAAAAAAAAAATAAACAAGGCATTCCCTTTTCAAAGGCCATCAAAACCCAGGCTAACCATGGTCAGGAAAAGCAGAGGCTGCTTTCTTGGCACTCATATGCTAACTTCTAACTTTGGGTAAATGTGCTTTGTTTTGCAATGTTCATCTGGAAAGAGACTAGAAGAGGAAGGGATCCTAATATTGAGCCATGTCATTTATTATTTGTAAATCACTTTGACACCCTTGGAACAAAAGCAGCAACACAAGAACAAAGTATATAATTCAGCCTTGGCTGTAAAATGAGCCACTGACATGTCCCTGCCAGCTATTACGCCTTGTGTGCCCTGAAAAAGTTGCTATGGATGGTTGTGACCCGGCTAATAGGCTGGGCAGGAAAAAGACCGCTAGCAATAAAAGGGGGAACAAAATTCTTGTTAATATTGCCACATCTGATAATATTGTCTTTCTTTTTCATTTTTATTTTTATTCCAGGCAGTTATAAAGAGTTCTAAGTTCAAACTGCCCTCACTGGTCATCATAAGGTTATGTGGACAAAACAGTTCCCCTATCTTGTTTTTTAATAGAAAAGAGAAATCATCAAAAATTTCAAATGAGATCCCTAAAATGGGACATCTTTCTTTCCTGAACGTTAGCCCTAAAACAACTGATTTCTCTCATTCCTGCCATCACTCAGATTGGCCTTGAATTACCTCCCAATAGGCCTCCCATGTGCTTCTAGATGAGAGTGTGTAATGGGGGATCTGTTAATTAACTAGAAGCAAAGTTGCACGGTAGGGATCAAACACTGGAGACGTCCTAAAACTCCCACAGAGAAGATGAAATGCAGCGCAAACTTTAAAGACTTCCCGTCATTAGCTGAGACCTTGCTGCTCCTGGCCCAGACCCCTCCTGTTTCTGAGAACAATGAGGACAATGATGGCAGAAATGAAATAGTGCAGCCAGGAACAAAGGAACCAGCTATTTACCGGTAGAAAAAGAAAAAAAGCTGGGGGAGGGGTAGAAAAACGGATAACTTTCTTTTTCCGTGGTTCCTGTCTACTTTTAATTAATTTATGACTGCCAGGGAATTGCAGAGAGCACACCCAAGCACATTGTACCCCAGCTTAGTGTTAATATATGTAACATCTTCTGTTTACTCCCAGGAAAAGTGCAACCCACTGGAGAAAGAGAGGGACTCCGAGGAAGGAGAGAGAGAAGAGGTTGGAATGAAAGAAAATGGACAATCTGTCAGGCTGAACTTTTACACTTAAGATCAGGGTTCAAACTAGAAGATGATAAAAACAAAGGAAAACAAAGCCGACACCGTCCCAGGAGTAACATACCCTCTTAGATCACTGTAAAATGCAAGAATCATGCCCTGACACAAAGCTCAAATTTTGCAATTTTCAGAGGTTTCCTGGTAACTTTCATATAAATGTACATAAATATCATGTCAAAGCAAAAGCACACAGTCATGATATTGACTTCTTATTCTTCCCTGCTTCTTGACAAGATAAATCTAAAAAGTGGCACTGAAAATTGAGAGAACAGCTGAATAACAAAACCTGACTAGTAAAGTACTTGGTCCTCATTTTGCATTCCCCGTTTTTGAAGAATTCAAATCAGGAAATTTCCGTTATCTAAATCACAGGTTTCAATAGGATTAAGAGAAGAAATAAGAGAAGCAACAAGGTGCACAGAAAGCCAGCTCTGACCTTTGTTATTTCATATTGAAGCTCTTACTTTGAGATGGACCAGTAGATGAAGAGAGCCATTATTCAGAGGAGCTGCTCTTGCTCTTCAAATTTCAGTTAATATGACCACATTAGAATTATTTTATTTTTAAACTTCAGTAACAAGGCTCTCTTTCCTGTTTTCAACACACATGTTTAGAATAATCAGTGGAAACTCTGCAAATGGATGAAACAAGCAAATCCCCCAGGACTGTTTTGTGACTGATTTTCTTACTTCTCACCTATCTAATATGAACGGTTTAGATTTTGCTAAGCTCAATCATAAACTCAACTCTAGGGGGAAGAAAGTCTCAAGCATATGGTTCAACCAACTGAAAATGCTATACAATCAAAAGGAAGTATAGGCTAGAGGTTTACCATTGGCTGCTTGTACATTCTAACCAGTATTAAAGATTAACTCCACAACAAAGTGAAAGATACACTGTCGGTTACTCAGAAACTTATCTAATGTCTCTACACATATACTCACAAAGAGTAAGGGATTCCTCACCACGTTTTGTGATTGATACGACTATGCCGGTTACCACTGCTGATATGGTAGAATGGCATAAAAGAGTAGGCATGAAAGGGCCCACAGTTATATTCCTTCCACCTAAAAACTAACTGTGTGTCTTCGAAAGCATTATGTACTCTACTTGGTCTAAGTTTCCTTGAGGATGATAATTCTTCTGATCACTTCATAGGGCTGTTTTGAGTGTTGAATGATATATATCAAAGTATTTTTTAAAAATCCATTTACTTTCAGTTTGACTGTCCTGAACTGTTCCTAGAACAGTGCTGGATCCAAAACAAAAGGTATTCAGAAACTAGGAATCTACTTTAGGGTTACCAATTTCTTTGTGATTTTATAATTATCTTCAAACGTTCTGAACAAATTTGTAACTCAATCTAGGAACAATCACTTTCTAAAATCCACTTCAGATGATTCCATCTTGCCTTTCATTCACCTGTGTTTTTTCTTTTTTTTCCCTGTCCACCTACCATGGTATCTTGTGAGCAGGCTTACAATATTTTCTCCAAAGACAGTAATGGCTTACCTATTTTTGACTTCATTCATCAATTTTCATCTTCCTGTTTATGTAACATTCTATTCACACAATATTCTCTAAAATTCTTAATATACTTTGCTAACCTTTCAGAGCTTCTGAAATATGGGGATAACTCCAGAAATTTCCTTACATTTAACAAGAGTTCTATAGGTAGCAGCAAAATCAAAATAACAAAGAACAATGACAGAGCCACACTTATGGCTGTAAAGATGTAAGAACAATTTCTTGACACAAAGAGAAGCATACTAATACTTAATACTTTCAGGATTCAATTAACCAACAATAAGAAAGTAAATCTATTCCTGAGACAAGGAAGAATCCTTCAAGGGAATAATCCTGATCATTAAGATCAAAGTTGCTAGAGACATGCCCCAGGACAGGAAGGCAGGCCAAATATTGCTGATTTCTGGCTCTAAGAATGACTTGATATGAGTCAAACCTCCTGATTTAATGAATAATTCTATTGGTTAGATATCTTGGCAAAGGAAAAATGTATGTAACCTGGCTTTCATGGCCACTGCAATAGCTTTGAGAAGTACCTGCATACCACTCACTGTGTTGGTATTCTGTCCGGCCTATGTAGTGTTCACATTTTTAAAAAAGTATTTTCCACTATTGAGAAATTGAGACATTCCATATAATATCCATATTTCCGACACTTAAAAAAAAACTTGGATGATCTGTCAATGCTATGCCCACCCTTCCACATGGCAGCAATCTACTGGTATTAAATGGAAGCCACCATGTGATAAAAACACATAGCCCTTGGGTTCATCCCAGTCCTCACCAGTCTGTCTGGCTCCTGTATAAGTTGAGTTGTTGACACCTGAAGTTTTTGAGTAGGCTTTAGGGGATTGAAGTAGTAAAATATTCAGAAACTGTTCTCAGAGCATAGATTTCACAGCTGTTCCCTCTTATGCCTAACTTCATGATGAAAGACAAAAATGTGAAAACCGATAGAAAATACAAGATAATAGTCACACAAACGAAATGAGAAAATGGATAATGTTTAAATAAATGCAAGAAAAATAGGATAAGGGTTAAAAACTTTAGAGAACATCCTAACCAATATAATAATATGAATAACAATGAAAATTTAAAAAGCACACCAAGAAAAGCTAATCAATACAAATTATAAAATTGTAGATGATTATGAAGACGAAACAAATATAAAGAAAAATTTACAAGCAAAAAGTATGCCACAGAAACACAGAAACCATAGCTTAATACAATGAACTAAAATTATGTTAAGGAAACAGAGGCACAATTACAGAATTGAGGATCAAAGAATATTGTGAAAATGTGGAAAAGGGAAAAAGTTAAATTTAAGTGGCAAGTCAGACTTCAAAGTTGCACATACCTTTGTGTAAGCGAACTTTAAGTTAGCTTTGGACAATCTACCCACACAGTTGTCTTTCCAAATGAGGGTTTTCTAGAAGGCAACACCTAGTTGGTAAGGTTTGTGAGTTCTCTGAATTTGGGACATTCAAAATAAGACTGCAGTGAATGAAATTGTCAACGTTGCTATTTGTCCCTATTGGGATATGATGCAGCCAGCACAAGGAAGACCTATGTGCATATTTGGCATTAAGTAACCAGACAGGTTTTTTAATAGATCCCAGGAGAGAACAAGCTGGATAATAGAATCATGTGTCTTCAACATGCTCGAGGATGAACAGATCAAAGATCAGAACTTGTACCATGACTTTTATCTAGGAAAATGTACTCAAAATAATAAACGAAAGGCACAACTTGCTTTCCAAACTATCAAGAACAATCTTTAGGGAAACTTTGTTTCATGCTCTTGGTTCATATCCAATTTGGTCTGTCCAAATCTACACACGGAATCCGAGGCCAACTTCCTCATACTTCCTATTGTGCTAGGGCAGTTTCTGCCTACTGTTCTATAATGTGTGCTTGGGAAAAGAAAGATAATTTTAGTATCAGTTGAAAGGGTCATGCCAGAGGACCTATAATATTTCACAGCATAATTGAGAAGGCAAATATTTTGCAAAATCATATTCGATCATTTATTTTTTCAGTGTCACAAGAATCTAAAGGATTCTGTGTGCCAGAATTTCTGAAATTACTGACATTTACCATATAAACAATACAATTTTTAAAAAATTTCAATCAGTAGAATGTAAAGCTTCCTAAAATACACCACATATTTACCTATCATGTTAAAGAGAGAGGGCTAAAGATAACAATGTTTGTCACCAAGCCTGGAGTGCAGTGGCACAATCTCGGTTCACTGCAACCTCCACCTCCCAGATTCAAGCAATTTTCCTGCCTCAGCCTCCCGAGTAGCTGGGATTACAGGTGTGCACCACCACGCCTGGCTAATTTTTGTATTTTTAGTAGAGACAGGGTTTCACCATGTTGGCCAGGCTGGTCTCGAATTCCTGACCTCTGGTGATCCATCCACCTCAGCCTCCCAAAGTGCTGGAATTACCAAAGTGCTGGTGAGCCACCACGCCGGCCAAAATAACACCTTTTGATGGCTTATAGTTATGCTAAGAAATATCACAATTATATTTTGAAGGATTCTTAATGTTTATAGAGTTGTTAAATGCTACAGTGATGGTTCTCATTAGGGGTCGATTTTGCCCCTGCCCAGGGGACCTTTAGCAAAGTCTGGAGACAATTTTGCTTGTCCCAAGTGAGGTGGGAGTGAGAGGGGGTGCTCGTAGCATCTAGTGGGCACAAGCCAAGATTGCGGCTAAACATCCTAAAACACACAGGTCAACTTCTTCCCCATAAGAATTATCTAACCCAAATGTCAACAGTGCTGAGGATGACAGAACCCTGCACTACAATAAACTGGATCAGTCTATTACGCCTGCAGTATTTGCATGAGATTTTTGTTTTGTTTGTTTTGCTTTTTAAAATCTCCTCTGTACTGTCTCACACTAAAAAGACTTCGGGATGGCCCTTCATCTTTCCGATTTGCTACATTATTCTGCTGTGGCTCGGAAAACATTTGTTTCAAGCTTCAGGCATTCATATAGCCTATGAAAGATGACATTAGAGCTATCTTATGAGTAAAGCTTAGCAGCTCAGAGGCATAGAGTAATAAAATAATTTAATATTTTCTAAGCTTACTTTGGTTCATATCTATTCAATTAGCAGAGGTAAATAAAATAATATTTTCTAAGCTTATTTTTGGTTCATATCTATTCCAATTACTAGAGGTCACTGGACTTCAAATATGTGAAGAAAAGTTTCTGGTTTATTCAAAACTAAAGAACCAACTAACAAATGAAAACTCATAAAACAAAATAATAGAAACCCTACATTAATTTGTACTCTACTAATATGACTAATAACATCTTGAAAAAGGTTGAGCTAAAATGTGCCTTCTACTATGAGTAATTATCATAGCCAAATTCATATCATAAATAAGACCCAGAGGAAGGGCAAAACGTTTATCTTCTTAAGAAAGTATGCTTTATTATATGAACTTAATTTTTTATGAATTTCATTATAACTAGTGATTTCATATGTTAATGATACTTAAGTCTCATCTATCTCTAATTTTCCATAGTCAACTTTATCTAGTTTATGCTTTTGAGACTAATACAATTAAAATTTTTTTAAATAAAGCTACTTATATCCAAGACTTTCCTTTTAATTAGTCAGAAGTCGGGAATTTGTAACTAATAGACAACTTTGCATGATCCATTCTGGCAGTAATAAAGAAGTAACAGGCTGGGTGTGGTGGCTCACGCCTGTAATCCCAGCACTTTGGGAGGCCAAGGTGGGCAGATCACAAGGTCAGGAAATCAAGACAATCCTGGTTAACATGGTAAAACCCCACCTCTACTAAAAAAACACAAAAAAATTAGCCGGGCGTGGTGGCGGGCACCTGTAGTCCCAGCTACTTGGGAGGCTGAGGCAGGAGAATGGCGTGAACCCGGGAAGTGGGTTCACTGCTTGCAGTGAGCCTAGATCACACCACTGCACTCCAGCCTGGGCAACACAGTGAGACTCAGTCTCAAAAATAAATAAATAGATAAATAAAATAAAATAAAATAAAGAAGTAACAGTGACGAATCAGGTGAAAGAACTTGTGTCATTCTTCTCATATCTGTTAGTCTATGTACCTAGTGCTGAGAGGTGTTGCTTGATGTTCTAATCCACTACATTCATCAATCAGACTACACATTAAATTCATTAACTTAATGATATAGAGTTACCACCTGTAAATTTGAGAAACTGTGAAGATGAAATTTAGAATTTCCATAGGAAAAAGTTTTCAATTCCAGATTGTTGCAAGCTAGCATGGAAGAAATTGGCCAGGAAGCACAAACAGCTAATTTCTGATTCACTGCAATTGCCACCACAAAGGCCAGTCTTGGGCTGACTGATGTACACAGGACTATTTGGTTACAGTTTCCTTATCTTCTAATTAAAGACTCTGAAATGCAGTTGTGGAAACCAGGGAAAGATTATAAGCAAGAAGCAGAGTTGAATTCAAATTTGCAAAGCACTTGGTTGGCAATAAGACACCAATTCTTTGTTGAAGTGAATTCAGTTCTTGTTTCCAGTTCTTCAGCCTTTAACCACAGGGATTCTAGCCTGTATTTCTGTAATGATTCACAGTAGAGGAGCTTGAAGGCATGAGTGCAGGTGAAAGTAATAAACACGTGGGGGCACTGAGTGAAAGGTCAATCCCAGCCCCTCAAAAATAGGTCAGTATCCACAACTCAAAAAAAAAAAAATGTAGATCTGGATTACTCAGTGAATCCTCTAGAAGCCTAAAACAGGGCATCAGTTGGGAAAAGATCAAGAAACTTTGCCACGGTCTTTTGATCTTTAAAGGTGTACATGTCTACTAGAAAATGAGAAGCTGCCAAGAAATTGATAATTTTTGATGTAACGACTCCAGAATACAACTCCCAGCAGCTTACGTATGCTCTGAATTTACCATGTTAGTGGGTATGAATAAATGTTATTGGGCATAAATACATTTCAGACCCCTACTGGAAGTCAGGGAAGCTAAACCATTTGATTGGTATCTTAAGAAGGATCCCTTAATACTTCCTGAGACCGAGTTTCCCAGAGATGCCCTGAGTCCTGCTCTTCTAAGGTTTGGGGCACTAGGATACTCCAATATCCTACAACTTTTTGAAAAACACCTGGCTAGTTCACTGTCATATGGAACCAAATGAACCTTAGTTGATTAATTGAACTTTAATTGGTCAATATGAAAGTCGTTAATAATGTAAGCTTTATTCATGTATGTAGATTATTGGATACTAATAATAAACATTCTAAAAACCAGAAGTTAAAGTCTAATTTTTAATTTTCTTCAAAAGTTTAATTTGTAATTTCCTTCAATCTAACCTAAAATGTGAATAAACTCCAAGCCTGGAAGTCGTAAGACTTTTTTTTTTTTTCATAAGCAACCTGATAAGGAAAAAGGTAACAATTATGAAATATTTGAACTAGTCAAGTTGTATTTTTCTAAACATACATAAAGAACTTATTTTGTTTGCTATTGATAATATACTATTTTATTTAATTACTTATTTCATGTGTATTATCTTGTTTACATATATAGCCTATGGAAGTAATTATGGATTAACTTTGCCTGATATTTCCAATGAATTCTCCATAGCATCAAGCACAAATGATGATCTCCTAGGACAGTGGCAGCTTCTGAGAATGCACAGGAAAGTGACCAGGGAAAGAATGATTCCATCTCCAGGAATCCCTGGTGATCTTCAGAGCCCAGACAGGACCCTGCTGGGCCATGGTAACTGAGAAACTGAGAAGCAGATACAGTGGTCCCTATGTTGGCAACCTCAGCTGAAGAGGAACAACTCTCTCTATAATCAAGGTACCAAGAATAAAGAGCAAGTGCAAATTATTTATTTTCTTACTTTTAGACTCCTTCTAGGATAACAAAGAAAGAATTTTGTATAATAAAGGGCCATGACACAACTACATAAATTTCCAAGAAAACATAAAGTTGCTGAAAGAAAGGATTACAGATGAAGACCCCTTAAGAGTAAAATAGAACATCTTTTCTCTCCATGGTGGATAGCAGAGAGGCAGAGAGAAAGAGAGGGAAGGAAGTAAAAAGGAAGAGGAGGCAGAACTAAGACTCATCTATAGGGAGCCATGCTCTGCACTAGGCACTTCACAAGAGTAGTTTTTTGAGTTTTTTGTTGTTGTTTGTTTATTGCCCAGGCTGAAATACAGGGGCATGACCTCAGGTCACTGTAGCCTCAACCCCCCAGGCTCAGGTGATCCTCCCACCTCAACCTCCAGAGTAGGTGGGACTAAAAGCACATGCCGCCAATGTCCAGCTTATTTTTTGTTGTATTCTTTTTAGAGATGGGGTTTTGCCATGTTGCCCAGGTTGGTCTTAAACTCCTGAGCTCAAGTCATCAGTCTTCCTCAGCTTCCCAAAGTGCTGGGATTACAGGAGTGAGCCACAGTGCCCGGCCACAGAGTAGTCTTACTGCCGTTAGTTGACTTCTTATGCTGCTTGAACCCCACTGCCTGGGCTCTCAATTTCTACCTTCTTTTCTGACCTCTTAGATCCTACATAGCTTACATAATCCAAATAATGCACCTTGCTTTCAACACAATAGCAACCTAATTCCCATTTTGCACATGGCATGTTAAAGTGTACTCCAAAGCAGGACTTCTGCCCATCTCTCACATTCAATGTCACAATAGAAAGGCTTAATCACATATAAACTGCCTCTCCCAACGTTGTTTTATTTCCCAATTGTTCATTACCGGGTAGGCCACAAGAGCTAACAAAGGTTTGACAAATGAATAGATCTGCCTTTTATTTATAAGCATCTGTTGATATATTAACTACAATAGAAATACCACATTTTGGTCAGGGTGAGACAAAAAGGTAACAACCTTCAGAATCCCAACATATCATCATTCAATATTGCATTACAATTGCTGTTCAGAAGAGGTTCTGAGTGGAATAAATATGAGAAGTGGATTACTGCACTCTACTCAGAGGAAGCATTCTTACCAAATAATAATTGCAGTAATTGATATAACTATTTACAAACGCTTAGAGTATAGATGCTTGGGCAGTAGCTCCCTGAATCAAAAAAAGAAGATATAGTCTTCAAACTCACTAAATTTCCTTAGAGATGACAAGGAATAAAGTAGAACTGCATGCCACAAACATATCAAATTTTATCTTTGGCAAAAGATTTAAGGTTTTACATTATTGTCTGAAACTGCATATTCCGATATTTTTTTCCCCCAGACTTAATCTTGGCCTGGTGTGCCTCATTTTTATAGGACTTCTGAAACCAGAAATCACCAGCGTGGGGAGAGAACATTAAAGGCAGAGGTGTCTCTTATAAGCACAACGTGTGACCAGGTAATACTGTCTGGATTAGCAGCTGTACAGCCTAACTAAGCCCTGGAGCTACAATTATCTGGTCGCATTAAACTGAAATCACCTGAAAAACTTCACACTGAACAAGCCTTTGGAAATGTCTAATCTGCCAGTTTACACCCAGAAGTGAAAGTGGAATTCACTTGTTAAAGACAAGAAAACAAAAGTTTTCTGCCAGGAAGAGTCTCATCTTAGAACCAGTATAGGGTCTGAAGACATTTCTGCAATTTATGTTTATGCCATTCTTTCACTTTTATTTAAAAAGGAGATTTAACCTGACCATTCTCTTTGAAGCCGATGTCCCAAGTATATATGTTTGATGAGGGTACAGAAGACATAAGGAATAAAACTGCATTGCCACAGAGGGAATACACGGCTCCAGATACAAGGCTTTATGCTAATTTTAGCAAAATGTATGTATCTTTTTACATACATAAAGTTATGGCACTATATAAAGAGATCCTTAAATGTGACATACACTGAAGTCCTATTTACTGCCTGAGTATTCCTTTTAAAAAATAAAAACTACAAGTAGTGGTTGTATTAATATTAAACTATCTCCAAAATTCACTTTAGTTCTTTAACTTGTAAGATATAGCCAAATCATATGCTCAAAATTAAAACCCTGATTTTAGTACCAGATTACAGTTATTTAATGGTAGATCAAAAGCAGCTAATCTTTGGCTCCAAATTAGGACCTCTCTACTCTGTCTGTTGTAACGCCTCACTTGCCTCTGTTTCCTGTTCTTCATTTGTCAATACTGATGCTGAAAATTCATTGTGTCAGGTTGCAATATATTCTGTAAAACCACATTTCCCAAAACAACAACTACTTTTCCGTACAAAGATGCAATTTATGGCAATTTGGCTATGCTGTATCTTGAAGTCGAATATCAAGATTTCCAGAAAACAAAATTAAATTCTTAAACATGTACAAGTATTAAAATTCTTTATCTTACACATCATTGTCTTATTGGACAAATTCCTATTTGGGCAAGAATTGAGGTACCCTTTTCCCTCCTCAAATCAGTAAGAAAGAAATAAAAACACTTCATTTTCTATCCCAAACTAATTTTTAATACTATCACAAGACTGGCAAGATTGACAGCTGAAATTTACTCCAGGACACTTCCCTTGGTGGCAACTAGAGGAAATTCACTGCAAAGTTACATGATCCTATCAAGTGGCTGTTACTATCAAACAATATCTACGGTGAACCTATTGTTTTCCATACAGCCATTCTATTTTTCCATACCAATTAATATGCAGTGTAACATTTCAACTTGAGACACTTATTAGTGTACAGATTTTTCTTAATGACATCATTTTAAAATAATGTGTAACTCAAATATTCACAGAGAACAGGTTCCTAAATCTTTTCATGATGACAAGAGTTTCATTTAAGTGTGATGGTTTATATGTGGTGCCATGAAATAGAAAGATTGGTTTGATGTACTATGAATTCCCTCTCTCAGTTTTTATAACTCTAGAAGAGTAGAGAAGGCCTAAGCTTGTGTGGACATTCTTCTCAAGAATTTAAGGTTCATAGTCAAAATTTCCACAATTTATAAGTCAGTCATATTGTCTTGCAATTAAAAAGAAAGTGTGATACCAGGATATATCAATACATCCAAAACCACAAGATTTTTTCTTACTAGTTAAGATGAATCTAGATTTGGGCACAACTTAAAATAGTTTTGATATAGATAATGAGATTTTAAATACATGAGTGGCTCTGCCTGATTTCATTACAAAAGCCTCTTTGTTTCTATTCTGTGATCTTTCAGTGAGAATTTAGAACAGAATACTTTCTCTAAATAAGAACAAAATTTGAGACAATTTAAAACAGTCTTTCACTCTTCCTGGCCAGGAGTATGTCAAGAGGGTTCCTTAAATCAGAACTAAGGTTCACACCCAGAGAATATATCAAATGAATTTCCATGAAAAACAAAAACCATCCTCTGTTTTTACTATTGCTGTACAAGGTATGCTCTGCAAATCAAAACTCCATTCCTAGTTTGCAGCGTTCAGGTGACTAAAGCTACCTCTGGAGAAGACACTGAAAAATGTACTTCACTTTCCCCCTCAACAGAACATTCAAGCTCATTAGGCTGCTATTCAAAAATGGTATAGTTAAGATCCCCAGCATGCAGCTCTGGCAAACAAGCAAAGTTGCCATTTGTAGAATATCGATATTCTGGATTTCCCTTCCATTTATGTTTCTAAAATACAATAAGTATTGGTTGGTTCATGAAAATTAATCAGCCACTTAAATTTGTGACTGTAATTAAAGCTACTGGGAAAAAAATAAGTTTTCTTACTGTCTACAGTTTTAATTTTTAAGTGAATTTAGGCACTTAGAAACTAAAAAAATAAAAATAAAAATACCAGAAGCATCTGTTTTAATCATTTTTCACTATCCAGCTCTATGAAATGAAATAATTCCTGTTGTTAAGACTGCAACTTTTTCTTTGGGCTATTCAGCTGGCCATCGAAAGTTATTTTTTGTCTGTTTTGTAAAGTTATGTGAAGAACCTCAAAGATTTGCACAGAATAATAAACATCATAAAGATGGGAGGAGTATTAATAACATTTGAAAACCTTAAACTGAACTAATTGAGTTGCAGCTATACACTGGTTAGAAGCTATTTTTTGATATAGAAGTGGAGAAAAATGTTTAACTTGGTTATGGCTATAAATACTGCACCTCTTCTGAATTAAATCAATTTTCCTGATGAAACTAATTTCTTGCCTGAAAGGTATTAAAATAATTTCATTATAAAGAAAGTTTTGCTACAGTTCTGTTCATTTCCCCACTAAAGCAAATGTTTCAATGTATGTGTCATGACATGTAAACCACTTTTACAAAAAATGAGGACATTCTGAAAACACTGGAAGATAAGAAATAGACTAATATAAAAGATTCATTTTCAACTTTCTAAATCAACCTGATCTTTATTCCCACTGAGTTTATTTTCTCTTCTTAAACTATCCTATCCTATTCCAAACACGTATAGTCACTAATAATCAAAGAAATGCAAATGAAAACTCCAATAAGATATCACTTTTCAACTACCCAACTGATACAATTTTAAAAGAAGATCATTCTGAGTGCTAATAACTGCAGGGGGCGGTGGGGGTGGGTGCAGGGGGAAGCAGATCCTCATGTATAGTTAGCGAGAGTGTAAACTTGTACACTTTCTGAGGGCAATTTGGCAAAATGGGTGAATATTTTAACTGTGCAAGATTTTTAGCCCAGCAATTCTACTTCTAGTAATTTATCTTATATAAGTAACACTTAAGTGTATATGTACAAAAATACTCATTTGAAGTATCATTTTCCAAAGCAAATAACAGAACACAATCCTAATGTCCATCAGGGGAATTAAGGGTATATAACAACAATTTTAAGTGAGTGAAGGAGTGTCTTTATACATAGCAAGAGGATATTAAACAAACTGTTAAAGTGTTTATCTCTGGGAAAAAATGGGATTATGAAGGTTTTTGCTTTCTCCTGAATATTTTAAAAAATAGATTTATATTTTATAATCAGAAGAAGGTAACAAGAATTTAAAAAGAACCCCATGAACCTGGAACCCTAGCTCATTTACCTGATCCTACAACACATATTATTTAGATAAATACATGATATACCAGAGACATGGTATAACAATTTTAACAATCAAAATTCAATTTCTCTATTTCCAGTTTATAATCTGTAAAGTTGCATTTGTTTCATAGTGTGTATAGTGTTTAAAGTGTGTTTTTCTGTACATTATGAATGTATAAATAACATTCCAATTAGGGTAATGACAGTATTTTCTGTCTTGTATTTGTCTTAACTGCAACCAAGTCATTAAAAGTAGAAAGCTCAATAGCAGCTTTTTAGTAATTCAAAGAGAAAAAGAATTAACACTGAAGATGCTATTCCAAATATAAACTATATTTTAACCTTGTCCTATTCTTTTCATATAATCAGTCCATGTAAGTATTACTTTTAATGTATTGTTTAGATATAAAGTCATTCTAAAACCGTACATTGCCTTATAGAATAGTGGTATTATAGAATGATTTAACTAACCACTTATGAAAAGAAAAACAGGATTTTCATTCATTAAGTATACATGTGATTATGTACTTTTAAATTTTATATGTATTTATTATTATAATGATACAGACTGAAAGTCCCTTAGCCCAATCCCAGTGAGTCAAGTCCCAATACTAATTCAATAAAGTTTCTCCACCTAACTACATGTGGAACTTCCACCTGAATAGAAATATTCTTAATTTTCAAATAGCCAAAAATAGCAATGATTCTTCCCGGACATGATCTAATGTAACCTTACATTACAGTTCTGCAGTTATTCTGAATTCAAGCTATCTAATTTACCAATTTGCAAGTGGAACAAGGTAACCACTGATCACGTTAGGAAGATTTAAATTTTGAATGTAGGCATATTGATAAAAAAAAAAAAAAAAAAGAAAAGGTTGGACATTTTACACCAAATCATAATTTCCACATTCAAGAGCAGAAAGAAAAGGCTGGGGAAGAAGAAAACTTTACCACTTTGCTTATCGTACTGAACTTCTATAACTTTGAGCCTATCTGGTTTTCCATGTAATTTAGAGTAGATCCGCTTAAACAACATCCACGGGCGATCGGCTACACCTTGAATAAAGATGATTTCCTTTGAGTTGAACTAACACATTTGGGAAGCAATGGGGTCTGGAGATGCATGTAATGCAAATGCAGGCAGTTATGTACCCTGGTGGCTTCCTCTGTCCTTTATAATCCCACTGGTCTTCTTTCAGCCCCTCCTACTGACTGTGCTGCATATGTCCCCCCAGGGCCTATGCACCAGCTGCAGTCCCTGGAAAATTCTTTCCCCACTCCTCACATAGGCAGGAAAAAGGTGAATGGTTAAACACTTGGGTGCTAGCACAGGCCCCTAGGTAGGAATACTCTCAGTTTCCGGTTTCCCTCTGCCAACTGTGGTGAGGCACTATTGTGCCATCCTCCCTGGAAATTTGGAGAGATTAGATACATCAACACAGGTGAAACACTCATCACAGTGCCTGGGGCAGTGTAAGAGATCGATAAATATTAGCTATTATTATCAGTAATGTCTTTTCTTTTTCTCTTGTTGCCCAGGCTAGAGTGCAATGGCATGATCTTGGCTCACTGCAACCTCCGCCTCCTGAGTTCAAGCAATTCTCCTGCCTCAGCCTCCCAAGTGGTGGGATTACAGGCATGCACCACCACACCTGGCTAATTTTGTATTTTTAGTAGAGACGGGGTTTCATTCTGTTGGTCAGGCTAGTCTCAAACTCCTGACTTCAGGTGATTCAACCGCCTCCCAAAGTGCTGGGATTACAGGCGTGAGTCACTGCACCTGGCCAGTACTACCACTTTTATTATTCACCTAGTTATATCTGACTCATGTTTCAGGGAAGCCTTCCCTAAACATCCTGATTAGGTGAAATCCTCCCATTAGAGGGCTCATCACAGTGTTTACTCTTCCTTTGTAGCATTCATCATAGTCACAATTTTATATGGCTTTATGTAATTGTTTAATTGACACTAATTTTTCTTACCAATAGACTATGAGCTGCATGATGGCTAAGAGCATCATTTGTGTTTGGAGAGATTTGTGTGTGTGTGTGTGTGTGTGTGTGTGTGTGTGTGTGTGCCTTCTACTTACTATAGTAATCCCAACAACTAGGATAGTGCCTAGCAAATAACAGGACTTAGAGAAATATTTCTGAATGAGTTAATAAATTAATGAATAAAACTAAAAATAGGAAACAATTTTTAAAAAGAAGAAAGAAACTAAGGCAACACACTTTAAAAAACTTATAAACTGGACAACCTGACTTCCCTGAAATTAAGCTGGCAAACTAATTTGATCTGCCTATAACTTGATCTTAAATTTGTCCTAAATCCTGGGCACCTTAACACAAATAGGCAGACGGGGTAACACACTTGGTGGATTAAAATCTGATTTGGGGTCTTTGCCAGCTTGGGGGTAGGGGAGAAGAGCTGTGAATATGTACACGCACATATGTGTATATTATTATGGCCCATGTCTAGAATTGGTTTACGTGAAAATTAGCTAATTTTTAACAAGGTTTAAAACCCAACCAGCAACAATAACAAAATTTGGCTAGGTAATAACATAAAAGAAAGAGATATATCACATAGAGAATATAGAGCAGCTAAGGAAAAGAGCTGTGTGAATGCAGAACTCAAATTTAATAAATAAGGAGTACAGAAACAGTAAAGAAAAAAACTTGTTAGTGATAAAGAGAAGAAAATAACCATTTTAGGAATTTGTGTCTTAACTTGTGGAAATTTTTACTTATCCAAGGCAGAAAATGGCTTTAGTGTAGAACTGTATGTTTATTAAGTGTTTCTGTGTTCTGCTAAACACCAATATCACTGATTAATATCAAGTGTTCATTTCACATATGGACAAAGTTCAGTCTTTGGCCATAAAATCTAGACCTTCGACATTACACCACTGGTGTATACATATTTAAAATTTTGGTTTTAGTCTTGTTGAACTTTTTTTTTAAATAATGTTTTCTTATAAAATGTCTTAGTTGTCACATCACATTGACTATTTTACAAATTGCTTGCTTCAGTTTTTTGCCTAATTTTTTTTTCCTGTTGATGTTCTCAAATTACAGACACAGATTTTTTTTTTTTTAAAAGATTGTTGGAAGTAAAAGATTTTATGATGGTTATATCAGTCATTGTCCGTCATATTAAACCTAATGTTTCAAACTTAAAAAAAAATTCAAGGAAATTACAATAATAATTCAACACCAATGATTATCAACCTAGCATCATACCACCTGAGAGAAACTGTAAGAGACTAAGAGCCAGGAATACATTCTCATGTTATCAACTTTTTTTTTTTAATTCTGAAATTTTGGCTCTTTTTGCCTCAGTTCCTTCATATTATAAACACTGGCACATTGGCAGCAAATCAAGTAATGACTGGAAAGTGCTTAAAGCTTAAATATTCTTGGAAGAGAAGTAGTGTACAGGTGCAAAGTAAAAGAATTTTTAAAAATGTTTCCCACAAATTGAGAAAAAAGAATCATCACATTCTTTTTGGGCCATGTTTACACAAAGACAAAGTATTTTCAACACCATTATAATTGTAGGGAAATGGGCTTTCCTGGGGTTGATACTGCTCTCAATTATTTATTATTGGATACCCTAGTACTTCCAGAAAGCCTTGAGACAGCTTATAATGAAATACAAAATAAAAAGACAAGAGGTAAATGATAAAGGGAGAGGGGATTTATGAAACAGTCATACAAAAAACCTAAGAGAACAAAAAATGCAAGGTTTCTACCCATCACTTTCAAAGGAAAAAGATGACGGCATGTAAAAATCACATTTTAAAAAAAGAAACAAAAGCAAGCCTGTTTCTTAAGAGAAGAAAACTGTACCAGTCCTCAACGACAAGAGTGATTTATTTTTGGAGATGTCACAGAAGGGGCATTCATTCACACGAAATATATTTCCTGAGTGCCTCCGATGCCGTGCCAAATACTGTGCTGTGGGTAGGGACATCAACAGGGGGAATAAAAGGCCTGATCCTTGCTGGGAGCTGTTAGTTTAGAAGGGAGATAAACATTAATCGACCAATGAAAAAAAAAATGACTATGTGATTCTAGACTGAGATACTTCTTGGAAGAAAGGAACACAGTAGGAGGTTGGATAATAAAGAACCCTATCTAGACTGCAGAGTGAGGGAAGGTTTCCTTGAAGAAGTGTGGCTTAAAATGAAATCAGTTCGAGGACTAGGAGTTCTTGCAGCACAGGGTAGGTTTGGTTAGAGAGAGAGTTGAGTTTATGCTAAGGCCCAGGAATAGGAGAGAACTTGGGGCCTTTGAGGACTAAAAGGAAAGGCCCAAGTGGTAAAGAACAGAGCCTGGTGTGGTAAGGCTGGGGGAGTTGTACAGGGGTTGGATAAGCAGAGCCTTGTGGGCACGTTACATCTTTACCCCAAAGCAATGCAATGATCCCTGATTTATTTATTTACTTTTTTTTTTTTTTTTTTTTTTTGAGGCGGAGTTTTGCTCTGTCACCCAGGCTGGAGTGCAGGGGTGCAGTCTCAGCTCACTGAAACCTCTGCTTCCTGGGTTCAAGCAATTCCCGTGCCTCAGCCTCTGGAGTAGCTGGGACTACAGGTGCCCGCTACTACACCTGGCTAATTTTTTTTGTATTTTTAGTAGAGACGGGGTTTCACCATGTTGCCCAGGCTGGTCTTGAACCCCTGACCTCAAGTGATCTGCCTGCCTCGGCCTCCCAAAGTGCTGGGATTACAGGCGTGAGCCACGGCACCCAGCCAGCAATGGTCTCTTGATGGCTACTTTTTAAAAACACCAGAGACATTTTCTTTTAAGCTACTTCTTATACTGTCTCAAAGTTTAGAGTCTGGGTGGAGCCTTTGCGGAGCTTATCATTCAAGATGAAGTTTTACTGAACTTGTCAGAAAATAAATGATTGAGAAGGTTCTGGATTGAGTCTCTCTATTAAGGGAGACAGAAACAGCAAGAACAGGATTTTCTAGAAATACACTGTTGGGGAATTGAATGGGAAGCTTGCAGAAGAGAGCCTGATTTGGGGCATGTAGTAATTTGCCTTTGGAGGGAAAATTCATAGGGTGGCTTCCCAAGACCACCACACTCAGAGAGCCAATATTCCTGAAGGAAGCAGATTATAGTCTTCAGGAAGCTGGGCTGCCAAAAATTGGAAATCACTACTTTAATGAGTTTGAAGAAAGAAACAAGACGTGTCTTTCTTTTCTTCTTCTTCTTCAAGACTAGCTCTATTGCCCAAGGCTAAAGTGCAGTGGCGCAATCTCAGTTCCTGGGTTCAAGTGATTCTCCTGCCTCAGCCTCCCAAGTAGCTGGGATTACAGGCGAGTGCTACCACGCTCGGCTAATTTTTATATTTTTAGTAGAGACGGAGTTTTACCATGTTGGCCAGGCTGGTCTCTAAATCCTGACTTCAAGTGATCCGCCTGACTTGGCCTCCCAAAGTGCTGAGATTACGGGTGTAAGTCACTGCGCCTGGCCCTTCTTTTCCTTTTTTTAAGCTTTGTTAGGTCCACATTCTCACTCTCTCTCCTTCATGTTCATCCTTGGACTGTAGTTTCTTTGTTGCTCTCTCTCTCTGTATAAGCCTTTCTTTCTAACTTTGGTAAGGTTACTTGTTTATGTTTTTAAGGATATTTTGTTCTAGGTGAGTGTTGTAATAATCACAAAAGGAATGATAAACAGGAGAAGATCTTGCCGTTCAATTGACTGAAAGAAGGTAGTATATAGAGAAAGGCTAAATAATCATACGATGGTAACCATTAGTCAAGTCACTGATTAAAAGCACGTCCTTTAGTAGAAAAAGTGCTAAAGAATGGCTTGCACGGATATATCGATACATCATGCCCACACCACTGATCAGCTCTCTGAACTGACAATAATATTTATCCTGAAGCAGTCATTTCACACTTGCCCATCACATTACCTGGCATAGAGTAGTGCTGTGTAAACGATCAGTGTTGAAACAAATGTATTCCCAGTACTGGGGAGGGAGAGTAAATGTGAAGAGGCCTTTCATAGGCTTGCACTTGCCCTCCTAACCTAACTCCTTTCCATTTGAAGGTTCCCCTGTGCAATCACTGGTTCTAGTCTTTAATTTGTAAGGTTGCTAAGACTTTTCCCATTCAATTGAGAGACAATGTTGGCATGCAGGATTTATCTATCTAGAGAGGAATGGGTTCAAAACAGAAATATGGGTGCATAAATGATACATAGCACAAGCCCTTTAAAAAAAATCATACCTGCTCTAGACCTTTCAGGGCAGGTTTTCGTGGTGTATCTTTTTTCTAATCTTACATCTAATCAGACAGCAGCCTGTAATTTTACTCATCATTACATATGGCCTATTGACAGTTGACAACAACTTTACTCATCATTACATATGGCCATTTACAGTTGACAGCTGTCACCCAGGCAAGTTCACATACGTTGCCTCACAATCACATGGCATCACAAAGAGGGTGAGATCCCAGGCCAACATGCCATTGATCAGCCAGTAATGAACCATTGCAGCTGGAAACCACCTCACTGAAATAAAACAGATCATCCCACAGACAGTACATATAACCTAAGCATGCTGCCATTAAAATGGTACCAACACATTCAAATTAAATGGTCTTTTATATTTCACTCAATACTTTAAGATCACCTTTGTTCTGGTACTTACTTCTGGCACTAGTGCTTTTTTTTCCTTTCCTATTCAAGTTGATTTCCTGCAGAAGGAAGGGAAATAGTATCACGATATTTAAACCACAAGAAAGCCCTGCTTTGAAAGATAGGGAAGCAGGCATATCTTCACATTGAGCCTCACCAAGCACTGCCATTACATTCAGTGAATGAGAGAAATCATAATACTAAGGAAACAATAGTTATATCACAAAGATGTAAGATTCTAGAAATCCATCTAAACTGCGTATTCCCAAAATCACCTCTGGTTTGAAATACAGTAGAAAAGAGTTGCTACTACTACAATGAACCAAAAGTTTATGATGGTAAAGTTTTTGTTCTGTTTAAATTTTTAAAAAGGAATATAAATTCAAGAAGCATAATCATCCTCGATATAATTTATTCACCTAGCACATTTTATATCATTGCTGTATTTATGCCAACCTATTCCAAGCAGGTCTTATGGAAGGGATTTTAGTCAGTACACAAATCCCTTTGCAGCTAGTGAATTCTAACCTTATTACCCCAGCAAGAGATAGACACTTTTTGAGACGCAGCCTAAACAAGTCAAAAGGTTGGTGTTCCATTAATACCAGCAGGAGGAGAAAATGACACTGCAGTTGTCCTTGGAACAGAGAAGCTGACAGATTTGCTGAAAGGTTCAGCCATTGTAGGATTTTGTTAAAAATCTAAAGGCAACAGCATTTCGCTTTGAAGTTCTGAAACATCTTCGAAATCAAAAAGCTCAACAAAGAATAACGTGGACAATTGAGTTTTTCAAAACTCTATTTTTATTTAACTTTTAAAACATTTTGCCTAGTAATTTATGGTGTCAACTCAATCAAAGGTACAAAGTAAGTTCATTAAGAAAGATCACTGAAGGTACCCAAACAGACTTCCAGTTCAGAAGACAGATGCCAAGGTCTAATAAGTTAAAATTAAACGCCCTACCTTCCCCATGGGCTTTCCCAACAACTCTAATTGAAAGGCACTTAACAGAGGCAGGCCCACAATTCTGTGTATTGTATACTGGCTCTCATACTGAAGCTCCCTCCCATGCAGAATGTGAAAAATCAGATTCCAGGTCCCTTGCCCTTTAATTCCTATAATCTTTTGCAGTTAAACTTAAAATCTGAGTTTTATAGTAAAGACCAACATCCAAGACTAAATTTCGTGGAGTTGGCAAATATGTTATTCTACATGGAAAGTGTTTGCGTAGCAGCAACAGGCTGAGTGAGACAGCTGAGACTAACAAAAAAACTTACTTCTACTAAGATTTATATAATTACTGTACTTCTACATAAATACAGATCTTCATTATTTTTCTCATAAACCTGGTATTTAGGAATTTAACTTGGTTCATTCTTATCCTAATCATTTATAGACTTGATCCAATTTTAGGGTTTGTCTAATTAACTGCCAAAAGTATGTTAAGGTTGAACAACTATAGTCTCAAAATACATTTTACTGATAAGATTCAGCATGGCAGGAAGTTCCTTCATTCCCTCCATTAACGTTTTGATGACCTTCTTGAATTCCCAAAATGAAATACTTCTTACATTTAATAAAATAGGTCCCATTTGCCTTATTTCTTAGGGTCAGACAGTCTATATTATAGCCTAGCTCTAAATATGAGTGAAAGTTCCAGACCCTTTTGAGGAGATATCCTTGTCCTATTGAACTAGGATGGTTAGGGTTTTTTGTTTTTTTTTTTTTCTTCAGATGAAGTCTCACTTTTGTCGCCCAGGCTGGAGTGCAATGGCGTGATCTCGACTCACTGCAACCTCTGCCTCCTGGGTTCAAGCGATTCTCCTGCCTCAGCCTCCCAAGTAGCTGGGATTACAGGCGCCTGCCACCACGCCCAGCTAATTTTTGTATTTTTAGTAGAGACAAGTTTTCACCATGTTGGCCAGGCTGGTCTCAAACTCCCAACCTCAGGTGATCTGCCCACCTCAGCCTCCCAAAGTGCTGGGATTACAGGCATGAGCTACTGTGCCTGGCCAGATTTTTTAAAAATAAATTAATAAGACAGTATATTTTATCACAGCCCAATACACCTCAGCATCACAAACCCAGTTATTAAAAAAAAAAAAAATTCCTGCTAAAAACAGAAGTGCAGATTTTCGTTAAATTTGCCAGCTTAAGTTTAATATTTTTCATTCTGCAAATCTTAATCATTTTTGCTTTTGCCAACATTACCAAATGAACAAATCTCAACAGTGAAGAAATGGTGGGAAAAGAAAGACATCTCCTATATACTTTTACACAAATGAGCACATTCCTTAGAAAACAGACCCATTTCCTCTCATTCTTTAGAGGAAAAAATGTCTTTTACATAGATCCCAACTGTATCAGTTCTATGGAAAATTAGGAACATAATGAAACAAGTTAATTTCCTAATGTCAGACATATAAGAATCATAGCAAAGACCTACGAAATTTTACCTCTAGTATTTAAGCAAAACCAATTGCTGTCACAATTTGCCTCACCTGCCTTCGTTTTTACATAGAGAATGTGTTTGGTTTCACAGGTAATTGGTAGCCTTAAGCACATGTAACTTACAATCACTGAATGAAAAGATTCGCTTTGGTGAATTAAAATGGAAAAATTTCTCCAAAATAAAGGGGGAAAGGCCAAAAAAAAAAAGTTAAGGGGATTAATAGGCAAGTGTTTCATCTATTTGCATTTAATTTGATGTCATGAAAGCTTCGGGCATCTAAAAATATACCTCTTTTATTCTTGTAAGTCTGCAAGATTTGGCTTTTGGAATAGAAACTGTTTAGGTGGGGAGGAAATTGTTGAATTCTGTGTCTATGCTTTAAAAAAAAAAAAAAAAAGAGGGTTGACCATAACCCGAGGCCCCAGCTCCTGCAGAGTGCCTGTTGTTATGAAAGCAAGGTGCTCCACACGATCTAATCATAGCACTAAACCTTGTTACAAGCCCTTTTACAGCTCCAATATCTAGGTTACATGGAAACACGCTGGAGAGCCTCCTTGTACTATGAAATAAATGTCATTCTGACTGGCATCCTCTCTTCCAGCAAGTAATTTCCCTCTGCTGATAAATCGATACAGCAAAAACAAATGAGAGCACACAATGGGCACAGTGAGGATTACATTTTTATTCATTTCAGAGCCCCTGCAGCCAAGTTTTTTAAGCACAATAGCAGAAAATGATGCACTTCAGCTAGGAAACAAGAGATACAGAGACATTGAGATAAGAAAAGAAAGACAAAAAAAGAAAAGAGGGAAAAAGTGGGAACAAAGAGAAAGCCAAGAGAAAGGAGGCAAGCGTATTCCTGCCAAGCTGCTCAGACATAAACTTTTGTTTGAGAAAAAGATTAATATTTGAATTCTTGTTCAGCTCCTCATAAAAATCATCAGAGAAGCACGTGCACATCTTTTTTTTTTTTTTTTTACTTCTTTATCCTGTAAGTTTGCAGATAATTTGAAAGGGATCTAAGATTCAACTTTTATTGATTATTGATACTAACATAGATACAACATAGGATCTTATCTAGAAAATGAAGACTAATCTAGAAAATCCAAAACTAGAAATAGTAGAAAAGACACCATTGATCCTTATTCATCTTTGGGAGTCCCCTCAAGTCATTTATATTTTTCAGTGTCTTTAAAGCAAAGATGGAAACGGCAAAACAAAAGGAAAACAAGAGCATAGTTACTATTTGTAAGAGGTGTGGGAAACCCCCATATAAATATCTTTTAAGATACTAATTTTCTAAGTCTCAATATAATTGAATGGGCTATCATGCAGAAGGAATGTGGCGCACATTGTAAAGTGAAAATTTTAAGACATTCTGTCTTTTGAAGGCAAAATGGAAAAGACCATCTCATAAAACCTTGAAAACCCCAAATTTCCTGTGAAAGGATGGCGTTAGGTTTCCTGTTATTTACTATGGCATTTAACTCTTCTTAAGGCAATGGAAGTGAAAATGAGAGAATTCTAAAGTCTTAATAAGGCTTTATAGACAATATGTTCTTGTAATCCTTCAGTTCCAAAATAATTCTTAGGCAAGTTACTTAACTATCTGTGTCTCAATTTCCTCATCTATAAAAATGTAGATGATGGTAATAGTAAGTACCTCACTGTTTTGGAAAGAATTGAGTGAATTAGTGTAAGGGCTTAGAACAGTTCCTGACTCACAGTGAGTGCCACATAAGTAATGACCATCAACATCATCATCATCATCCATTGCTTCGAAAGCTACAGTTTAGGTGTTGTCAACATTTTCTGTTTGATCTACAAGGTAACAATGCATTCAGAGAATACATTCTTAGTACCACTGCACAATACTGAACTAGATGGATTATGGGTCTCATCGGGACATAATTTTTAAATATTCTTAACTGTTCTGTGATATCCCAGAGTCAATATACTCTCTTGGTGGTCACAGGAAAGGCAAGTTAGAAAATGTATCTCTATTGCAATCCATTAGCACAGATGCTCCTTGATTTGTGAGGGGCTTATGTCCTCACAAACCCATTGTAAGTTGTAAAAAAAAAAGTCAAAAAAAAATACATCTAATACATCTAATCTACCAAACACCATAGCTTAGCCTCACCTTCCTTACCCATGCTCCAAACACCTATATTAGCCTACAGTAGGGAAAAAAAATCATCTAATACAAAGTCTTTCATAATAAAGTGCTGAATATTTCATGTAATTTATTGAAAATTGTACTGAAAGTGAAGAACAGAAGGTAGCATGGGTACTTGAAGTACAGTTTCCATTGAATATGTATCACTTGGGTTATCAAGTGGAAAAATTTTAAGTTGAACTATTATAAGTTGGGGACTGTCCATATTCTTTTTTCTTTGGGCTGCTCAAATATATATATATATATATATTTCCTATGACTTTTTCAATGATAATTCAAAGACAGTGTTTAACATATTTTAATGTTATTTATGATCTTTCTCATTTGGGCTTTAATTTTATATTCTTCTTTCTGTCTTTTAAGAACTTGGATTACTGTCAGCTTCTAGTGTCTCCATCATTCATAATTGCACTGTGTTGGTCCACCCACTTTACTCCTAAAGAAGAGGTAAGAAACAGAAGAGGAGATCACAGTGGCTCTTCAACTATTAATATACCACAGACTTCAATAACAAATGAAGAGAAACAAGAAAAGAAAGCAATGCAAAAAGAACGGTACTGCCCTCTTTCTCTCCTGAACCATCAATAAATCAAGGGTAGATAATAGCCTAAATCAGTATTTCTCCAGTTTTTTCACTAGCATCTTCCCCAGTGAACCATTTTAAATAGTTTTTCCTAATTGTCCAAATATGAAATGTTAATGCACTAGATATACTGTATATGTATATGTGTCTTTGCTGTCTACATAAAAAGAGTAAGCTTTTGTTGTCTCCCAAGAAGCAATTGTTGCCCCTAAAGTGGCAATATTGCCTTTAGACAATATATGGATTAATTCTTAGGAAAATAGCTTTCCCATTATTAGAAATATTGGGTCCAACATAATTGAGAATGTAGGCTGAAATTCACTGTTATAGTTGCATGGTTTACACGTTTTTAGCAAACCTTTAAGTACTACTCTATGGCTGTATAATTTATCTTACCCCAATTCCAAAACAGTACTTTGAGGGTGTAAGAGATATGACAGTTTGTGAAAGATGCCTGACAAACTAGAAAGCAGTTTAAGGACAAGAAGTAAGGGGGATGGAGAGTAAAGTGGAATTGTTTCCAATTAAAGCAGCTAGGGAATTAGGTAGGTGGAATGTAATTATCTACATTGGAGTTTGGCCAGGCTTCTCGACTCGGAAAAAAAATGCTCTGTGATCTTTAATGAATAGAGAGGTAGGTCCAAGTTTAACATCTCATCCAAAAAATGAAATAAGATTTCTAAGTCCTTCTTTCCCGGAACATAAGTGGCAGAAATTCTTTTTTAACGAATTTGAAACTGCTTATAAGTTCCATACTTCAATTTAAAATAATTATTTCATAAAGCCATGACTTTTGAAATGGGAGTGTTGGAGAAAAGACAGTAAAATGGCCCCAGCAATCAATAAAAGAGGCTCAATTAATAGCAAATAAAAGTGAAATCTGCGGCATTTTAAACCCCAAGTTGTTAAGTCATACCAACATATATCAAAAATTGACCTAGTTGGTTAATGTTTTCTTGGTTACCTAAAGAAGGAATTTTTAAAACAGGTCAGTTTGCTCAAAGTGTGCAAACCTTCCCCAATGACTGAGCTGCCAAAGCAGTGTAATGAAAACTGATAAGCTATGCAAACTTGGGAAGCCCGAGATGTGTGGCAGATAAATGTAAGCAGACATTATATCTTTCATAATCAGTGCAGAAGGAAAATGTGAACGGAATAAATGGTTGAGAAATATCATAGATTCCATTAGATGCAAAGATTGAAGTGTTAGACACCTTTTAGCTCAGCTTTCATTTAATTTATGGCTTTCCATTCTGTAGTCTGAAGGGACTGAAAAATTCTTTCTCTAATTTTTTCCCCTTTCATGGCTTGACCACGAAGATGAAATTGGGGTACTTTAATTACCATTCAGAGCCAAAGGCTTGCCCTTTGATATGGAAATCCCACTTCTGCGACCGCCTTTTCCCGGGCCCTTCTCCTTCTAGTTGCCCAACAGGAATTTTAAGCAGCTTTGTCACCAGCTGATAGGGAAAGCTAACTGTAGCTCTTTTCTATTAAGTTTTAAGTTACACTGCCTTTCTTTCACCAAATTGGAAGAGTTGAAAATGAGGGAGGGGAACAGAGAGAGAGGGAGTGAGAGAGAAGAGGGGCAGGGTGGGTGGGGAATGACTGACTATCCATTAGAGTTGCAGAATTATAGTTTCTCCCCTGTCAGCATGAAGCATGGCCCATCCTGCACAAAGCCTCTCACTTTAAACACACACACAGAGCATAAACCGACGAAAACTGCCATGTACAGTTACCCCGTTATTGTCATCTGCCTGCTGCATGACTCCCGGCTTTGCTATAATTATTAATTGCACTTGTCAACTGTCATTAATTCCTCTTTAGCATCCCTGTCTTTGAGTAATTAGACAGAACAGCCTCACTGAGCTCATTGTTTAGAGCCCCTTGAAAGAGCCCACTGGGCTTTCTGCAGAGAAAACCATCAGGAATACAATAGAGCACTTCTGAGTTAACCCTTTGGAAGTGTGAATAGAAGGGAAAGTACTTTCACAGGTTTGGGTGGCCTGCTTTGGTTGCTGGGTACAGAAAGTCATGGCCAGACACCTAATAAATGGAACCATGTTTTAAATGTTTCTTTCCTGCAAAGAAGGGTATTTAAGTTGAATGAAAAGTCAGAGAAAGGCCTTAGGAAAAACATAATTTCCTAATTATCATTGCTAAATTTTTAATGATTTTCTCATTTGATCATATGTTTTGTATTTTGGAAGAAACAAATTTTTCAGAAATAATATCTTCCTACATTCATTATATACATTTGCATGTACAACATAAAGGTGCATACAAAAATATGTGTATATTATGCACAAAATTGTTCCAGGTGATTTCTGATTTCTCTAAGTCACAAAAATTTTAGAAGAACAAGATTGAAGCTCTAGGGGTCTTTTTGTTTGTTTTGTTTTGTTTTTTTCTGAAACAGAATCTTGCTCTGTCGCCCACGCTGGAGTGCAGTGGCGCAGTCTTGGCTCACTTCAACCTCTGCCTACCAGGTTCAAGCAATTCTCCTGCCGCAGCCTCCTAAGTAGCTAGGATTACAGGCACGCACCACCACGACTGGCTAATTTTTGTATTTTTAGTAGAGATGGGGTTTCACCATATTGGTCAGGCTGGTCTCGAACTCCTGACCTCGTGATCTGCCCACCTTGGCCTCCCAAAGTGCTGGGATTACTGGGATGAGCCACCGTACCCGACCAAAGCTCCAGTTTTTATTTAAACCTCTTTCCAGCCTCCCACAGAAGGATCCAGTTGATGGTGCTTTTAATTGTACAACTAGTGCCTCTGACAACACGGTTTTATTTTCTTTTAAAGCCCCTATTCTGGTCAGGCGCCATGGCTCACGCCTGTAATCCCAGCACTTTGGGAGGCCGAGGCAAGTGGATCACGAGGTCAGGAGATCAAGACCATCCTGGCTAACATGGTGAAACCCCGTCTCTACTAAAATAAAAAAAATTAGCTGGGCGCGGTGGCGGGCACCTGTAGTCCCAGCTACTTGGGAAGCTGAGGCAGGAGAATCGCTTGAACCCGGGAGGCGGAGGCTGCAGTGAGCCGAGATCGTGCCACTGCACTCCAGCCTGGTAACAGAGCAAGACTCCGTCAAAAAACACACACACACACAAAAACACTTATTCTGAGAACTAAGCCATATTTGGCTTTGGGCCCATGACCCTTAAACATTCCTGAATTTAGCCAGTCTCACCTGATTAAAACAAAACAAACAAACAAACAAACAAACAAAGTGAGTTACATGGTTTACCTTTGAGCAGCAATGAAAAATGGGAATTATTGTTATCATTTTAGACGACATCATGCATAAAGAAAGCACTTGAAAACTATTAAGTATTATAAAACATCATTATTATTTTATCACCATTGGCTAATAAAACTAAATTCTGTTAGCCATTTTCTAATAACAACACTCTTAATAATAATATTAAAAAGTTACCTGTTATTTGTTAGCAAGTTACCTGTTATTTGTTAGAAATCACTCCTGTAGAAAAGCTTCTTGATCTGGCTGTTCCAGTAAAAAACAAAAATCATAAGAATTTCTCTTGAAGAAAATTAAGGTCTATGGAATTGTGGAAAATAAACTAAAGTAAAGTTGATCACTAGGAATCATTAGAGCTATTTCCTATATCATCTTAGCTACAAGATTTTTTCAGATACTAGGTGAGTGCTTTTTAGCAATAATAACATATATTGAAGTCTAGATATGTACTCTATGTACTTTATATACATTAATTCATTTACTGTCCAAATCTCTGTGAAATAGGTACTATTATCTCAATTTTAGAGATGGAAAAACTAAGCAACAAGTAGTTACAGAAGTTGTCCAGGATCGCACAGTTAGACAACGGCAGTCAAGTTCTGGTGAGCCCAAAGGCTCCATCTTAACCACTCTTCTAGGCTACCTCTCCAGGATGGAAGACACTATCTTTTCAGGTTTCCATTCAATAGGTAATGTATCTAGATTTCTGGTGGTGTTTCCTCCAGTGCAAAATAGATTAATTAATGTACTTTTAGGTTGGTGCAAAAGTAATGCTTGTCATAAAAGTATGATAAAATGTGCTGAACATCTTAGGAACTTGGCATTCTATATATTCAATGTGGAACAGTGTTGGGGAGCACAAGAAAGAGACAGAAAGAGAGCGAGCGAGAGAGAGAGCAAGTGAGCGAGAGAGAGAGCGCGCACATGGTTTTGCAAATGTAGATTAGGTATTCTCAGGCACTGTTATCGTGTTTAAATGTTAGGCTAAACTAAGAAAAACCTATTTATACATTTGTGTGTATATATTTACATATACACGCATATTGAGCTATTAACACAGTTCAATGCATTGTTTACTGAGTATTTATTGCATACGTAGACTGTGCTATGTATGTAAGGTACAGAGGGAAATAGAAAAACATAAACTGTGATTCCTAAGTAAAAGGCATTTTCAAACTTACTGAAGACAGAATTTTGAGAACCATACAATTAACACACTACAAAATGCTAAATGGAATATGATCAATGAAATAGATTAAATGAAACAGCTAAGATCAATGACAAGCAGTTACAGGGAAGAAAATTTTGAATTATTAAAAGGAAAAACTTTCTAAGTATTATAGGTGTCCAACAATGCATCAGGCTGGCTTGATAAGTAACGAATATCCATTACTAAAACATTCAAGTTGGGTGATGATCTATAAAAGAACAAAATAAAAGAATTTCTATAGTCGGTGGGACGTTGAAACAGCCTAAATACTGTTAGTGTTCATCGTGTATATCTTAGATTCCATAATTCAAAAAAATAACATTTTAGTAAGGGAGAGGAACTTTATTTCATTATTTACAGAAAAGTCATCTTGAAGAAGTTTGATGTTGGATTTGATTTTGAAAGACGAATTGGAGATTAAGAAGTGGTAATAAGAGTAAAGAAAAAAACCCAAATAGAATTACAAGCACAAAGAGATGTAGAAATAAATATTTCTTGGAAAGATAAGCTTAAAAGGCCTTCCTCACTTACTCCAAGGGTAAGATGGGAATGGTATGAGAGGAGTGGGTGGGGATGGTATGAGAGGGAGTGAGGAAGAAGTAACAGAATAAAAGCTGTATCTGTGGAAAACAGGCACACTGGAGAAGAGCATGATGAAGCATCGTTTTCACTGATTCGCTGACGAGGAGCATGATGGGTGACCTGTTAATCAGGAGATAGCTGGAGTTTAGTACTGAGTTATATGGGAATAGAGATCTCGTTTCCACTACCTACAAAGGGAACTTAGGTAAATTACTTGACCTTCCTCTAACTTGGTAGAATATCATAGGATTGTTACGATGACTTAAAAGAGTTAATCCATAGAAAAACATTTAGAAAAGTGCCTAGCACACAGTGAGCATGTAATAAATGTTAGCCATCATTATTATTACAATATACCTATTGCTAACCAATACATCTTAATTGATGTTTAATGAGTATAGTACAGGGGAAGAGAGATGATTTAGGGTGGTTACTTTTCTAACAGAGCTCCTGCAAAGTGAAATGGACTTCCTTAGGTAGTGATATCTTTTTCTTATTTAAAGTACTTATGATGAAGAGAAGTCATCTATCATAATGTTGTGAAGAGGTTTTCTGCAAGGAATGAGAAGTTGGATCACATGTCTCTTAGCTCTCTTCTTCTTCTAAAGTGCTGAAATTCTAAGTGATTAACAGTCAGTCTTACCAATTAATAAGAAATCCATACTTTTAGTCATTGGAAAAAAATGAAATTTAGGTAATAATTTCTCAACTTTGGGTTGATGAAGCACTATACTATTAAGAGTGTGAGCTTTGCAGTAAGATTATGTAGACTCACATCCTGGTTGGGTCATTTAATTCTACTTGTGTAAGCCTTGGACAAGGGCATTTTAATTTGCACATGCCTCAGATTCCCAAATTAAAACCATGATGATAATAATAGTAATTCTTATAGGTTTGTTTCGAGGGCTCAATGAGTTCAAACAAACATGTAAAATATTTATAAAATGCTTATGAGTGTTCAATATATGCTAACTTTATCCTTGTCATTGAGATTTTACGTGTAGAATGTAAAAGAATAAGAAATACTAAATTTTAGAGGAAAAAAAACTATATCTACAGCAAAAGCAAATTTTAAAACTCTCTTTTCATACTTTCATTATTCACCCTTTGTAGTACTCCAGTCAATGTGACTAAAATTTTTAGCAGAAAAGGTAGCTGATGGACTCATCCTGAACAGTTTTGGGGTATATGAGCCATTAAGGACTTTGTAGCAAAGGATCACTCCACTGAATTTGTATTACTTGGATTTACCATTGCTCCCAACACCCACTCTCGTTAAAAGCATTTACACAGTTTCTGTTGGGGAACCTATATTACATTTTACTTTTGGTTGCTTGAATTCGAAAATCCACTCCCACCTACCCACCCCAAAGCCACACCACACCACACAGGAGAAAAATCTTTGAGGCCATAAACACAGCATATGCTGAATATTGACACTTCCCCTATAGGAAAAAAAAATCAATGGCACCTCACTATTCACCAAATTAGACAAGATTAGCAGGTGGAATTTAATGACCTGAAATTGACAGACTTATGTGTCGCTACTGCCTTAATATTTCTGAGCCAAACTGAACTACACGGTTTTTTCTGTCTCTGCACCTTTGTGCATCCTGTCTCAGTTCTCTCCTCACTTCCACCATTCAAGGCTCCACTCAAATACCATCGTCTTAGCTTTGCCTTTTTGGATTCCCGCTTCTACTCCATAACCTCTTCTTCCTCCATCCCAAGCCTGTGAAACCTCTTCTGTTTCTGATATATGAAATATACCAAAAAATATCAATTTTAAAAGCATATCAGATCGTGAAAATAAAAATGAGAGGTTGTATTGTGGTAAATATATTCCATAAATGTTTATATCGTTGGCTACGGAGACTTCAAATTTGGCACCATTTTAGTAGTGAATGGCAAAAAAGAGTACCGATTAGGTATACAATTCACAGGCATCATTAGATAAAAACAGACTACTGCTCAGGGGCAACATAACATGTAAGAGGAGTCAGAAATTTCTCCCAAGGAGTCTCAGAGACTACAAACTGTAGGTTGCAATGAAACAATTCTGCAACGAACGAAATTCTCGATGGGCATAATGAGTTGTATGGGACTCTTTCTTACAGCAGCCCTCAATCAAGGACAGTGACACCACACTAAACATAGGTCTTAGAAACCACTTACTTGAGGTCATTAGAAGGCATTCAAAGACACATCTCCTTGCCTGTCTGCCTTAGTTTAGAGGTAGATTTCAAAATACCTCCAAAGAATCACATATCCCTCAAACCACTTTTCCTAAATATTGTTTGTCACCATTGACAAACAATGATTTCTCCCAGATGTTGTGGAGCAATAAATTTGAGATTGTTGTCTCTAAAAGAAGTGGGATTCAGATAATCTACATGGGCAAACATTAAACCAAACGCCCACGATTAAACTCATAGCAAGGTGACCCCATCTTGAGACAACTGGCATTCCTAATATGGACAGCTTCTTGATGCAAAGAGCTCAGAAGTGAGTTGTTAACCTTTGCATTCTTCCTTTCACTGGAGGGACTGATGCATTTTCTCCTCTCTCACCTCCAGCTCCACCTCAGGACTCTAACATTTTTGAAGACAAAGGTCCCATTTTCCTTATTCTTGTGTCCTCTGCAACAACCAGCTTTCTGCCTCCTTTTCCATCCAACTCTTGACACAACTTCTGACAAAAGACTAGAGAGGATAGGTAGTAGGCATATCTGAAATGGGATTACCATCAATAGACTGGGAGTGCAACATACATACATTGCCTCCAAAATGTCTTATAAGGAAATTACTGGGCTGCGCGCAGTGGCTCATGCCTGTAATCCCAGCACTCTGGGAGGCTGAGGTGGGCAGATCACCTGAGGTCAGGAGTTCGAGGCCAGACTGGCCAACATGGTGAAACCTTGTCTCTACAAAAAAAAAAGGAAAAAATTAGCCGGACATGATGGCGGGTGCCTGTAGCCCCAGCTACTCAAGAGGCTGAGACAGGAGAATTGCTTGAACCGGGAGGCAGAGGTTTCAGTGAGCCAAGATTGCACCACTGCACTCCAGCCTGGCTGACAGAGCAAGACTCCATCTTAAAAAAAGGAAGAAATTACTAGGCCGGGTGTGGTGGCTCACACCTGTAATCCCAGCACTTTGGGAGGCCCAGGTGGGTGGATCATGAGGTCAGGAGATCGAGACCATCCTGGCTAACACGGTGAAACCCCGTCTCTACTAAAAACACAAAAAAATTAGCCGGGCGTGGTGGCGGGGGCCTGTAGTCCCAGCTGCTCGGGAGGCTGAGGCATGAGAATGGCGTGAACCCAGAGGGCGGAGCTTGCAGCGAACCGAGGCCGTGTCACTGCACTCCAGCCTGGGCGACAGAGCGAGACTCCGTCTCAAAAAAAAAAAAACAAAAAAAAAAACAAAAACAAGAAATTACTAAAAGGAAGATGAAACAATACAGAATATATTAATAATCTTTGTTTCTGTACATTTTGAGCACTTTGTTCAAAGATAACCTAAGCATATCGTTAAAATAAAAAAATAGATTAAAATCTTAGGTAATGAACATCTTGGAGATTGCTATGCAAGTACTCAGTATATATGTAACTAAGATAAATTTGCTGAGCAATATTTACCTACGTAGCATTTCTACTTTCACAGGGGTACTGTTTCAAACTGGAAGTTCCTCAAAGAAATTTCAAATCAGATTTCTCCTCTGCTGGCATTCCTGCACACTTGTACTTTCTAGTAGTTATGCAGCCTTAATCTTCTAGAAATTTAGATCATAATTCCAAGAGTTATTAGGTTGGAAAACAGCTTCTGGGCAAATGATGTTATTCCAAAAACTTTTTACACCAGAAATAATAGTTGGATTATTTCTGCCTCATAGTCTTCAGGCTTGATTTTTAATGTAATTTAAATATACTGACATGACTTTTTTCTTTTTACTTTTAAATAACAATACTCTTAAAACATAAGGGAGAGGTGAGGGAATAAAGATATGACAAGAGTTTTTAAAAGGTTAACCTTTGCTTTGAGCTTCCATTTCTGTCCAGTTTAGCCTATTCTTTTGTATTCCAATGGCATTAGATAGATATCTTGGTATTTGCTATTTAAGGATAAATCAACACATTGAGTTCTATTAAATTTCTGTCACTCCTTTCTAAAATAGCTAGTAAATCTATACATACATTTTCTTTTAAAAAATTTTTTCTTGCTCTTGAAAAGTTATATTTTTCCTAAAATGTAAATATTTGTCTATGAATTTTGATATCAGTATGAAGTTTAAAAATAGAAAAATGTTCATGTACTAAAACTCACTTATTTAAACCTCACCGTCTGAGGTGTGTTGAACAATGGAAGAACACAGAATTCATTTTGTAAAGGAGTCCTTTAGAGTCAAATAGGTGAGTTCATTTGAATAAGTTATCAAATGTATTTATCTTTATTTTAATAATTTGCTTCATCCTCTGCATCCTTTCGTTAGAATAATCACGTCTTCAAATTAAGGCATTTGGTTACAAAAGTGTGGGGAAAAGGTGGAAATGCAGAGCCTTAAAAAATCCCTCTGTAAATGTATCTGTAAATTCATGGATATGAATTATGCTCATGAGATAACTGCTTCATTAATAAAGGAAAAAGTGACTACAAAAACACTAGAAGAGTGGTAGAGGGATTTGAGTTTTCAAAAGTTGAATATTACAATAACGGATGATGTCTATTATAAAGGATGCTGAATTTATTTTCAAAGTATTCCAAAAATCTCAAATCTGGAGTATTGTTCTCAGTGACAGGGAGACCCAGTTGAATTCAAATTAAGGCAAAAGTTGATACAACAGGAAGAACTACCCAACTAGGGGAGGCATATCAACCCGAAAGCCTGCTGTCTCCAGAAGCAGTGTGTCCCCCAACTTACCATGGGGATTTTCTGAGCAAATCTTGGATGAACTTGTTATCACTGTTATAGCATATTATTCTGCCATGTAGACTTGAGTTTCAATATATTGAAATTTTCGAAAAACAATTTGTTCCTCTAGATTTTCTCTAATTAAAAAATTAGAAGAAATAACTTAGATTCTAAGTTGAAATAGTAATCTATGTATACAGAAAATGCTGTCATTAGAAATAATATGGCCAGGTGTGGTGGCTCACGCCCGTAATCTTAACATTTTGGTAAGTTGAGCCGGGCCCTTGAGCACAGGAGTTCGAGACTAGCCTAGGCAACATGGCAACACTCCGTCTCTACAAAAAATACAAAAAAGTTATCTGAGAGTGGTGACATGTGCCTTCAGTCTTAGCTATTTGTGAGGCTGAGGTGGGAAAATCACTTCAGTCCAGGAAGCGGAGATTGTAGTGAGCTGAGGTCGTGCCACTGTACTCCAGCCTGGGCAACAGAGTGAGAGTCCATCTCAAAAAAAGAAAAGAAAAATAATATATAAAGACTACTACATTGATATTTATGGTTTAAAAGTGATATGCATTTTTCTTAAAATGAAAGTAATATGTGTTCATTAAAGAAATGTAGCTGAAACATACAATTGAGAAGAATAAATTTTGAAATCAGCTATAATCCTATATAGTGTAGGTAAAGCATTTTAGTGTTATCTATACACTCTTGTTCTATGCATGCATGTGCACATATGTACTCATTCAACCAATATTTCTTGAATATTTCCTATGACTCTGGTGTGGTTTCTCATGTCATTATAAAATTATTTTTCAGTAAAATTAATATTGCATCATACACGACCACCACAATTTATCTAACCAGAGTCTTATATTTCTTGACACAAGGTTGCATTTTATCACCCAAGTTGGAGTGCAGTGGCATGATCATGGCTCACTGCAGTCTTGATCTCCTGAGGAGCTGGGACTACAGGTGTATGCCATCATGCCAGCTAATGTGTGTGTGTGTGTGTGTGTGTGTGTGTGTGTGTGTGTGTGTGTGTGTGTTTTATTTTGGTGGAGATGGGGTTTCACCATGTTGCCCAGGCTGGTTTCGAACTCCTGGACTCAAGTGATCCAGCTGCCTCAGCCTCCCAACGTGCTAGAATTACTAAAGGCTAAGCCACTGTGCCTGGCCCAGGGCCCATTTTTAATAAACAGGTTTTCAGTTTTGTGTTACTATTAACACTATATCCCTTTAGCTATAAACGTGCATATATGTATAACTAAATATAAATATATACCGACATACACGCACATATGATAATATATATATGGCAAATTGCTAGAAGCATAAGCATCAACATTAACAGACTTTTAATGTGCACTGTGTGAAATGGTTCTGGTACAGTAACACAATTGACACAACTGGACACAGAAAGTGAGAGGCTTCATCTCACCGGAATTTCTTCAGCATTGGTTACTGTGGCATTTTTAATCTTCACCAATTTGCTAAGTGAACTATGATCTCAATTTAATTTGAATTACTTGATGATTTATAAAAATCAAACATTTTATGTTTATTCTTCATTTAACTTCCTCCTATTAACTGAATATTTCTATTATTTCTATTTCTATTCATTTGTAAGCAGTTTAAATGATATCCTAATTGCATCTGTTGAACATAGGAAAATGCCAATAGTTGACCAGTTTTAACAAAAATGGCAATTTAGGTTGTTCCGCCTAATGTACTGCAAATATATTTCTTAGATTTCCATTTGTCTGCCAGTCTTATCATTTAAGATGCAAAGAAGCTTTTTCATTTATGTGATCAAACCTATCACAATTTTTCTTTGGTGATTATCACCTTTGGTGTAATGCTTTAAAAGGACTTTCAACCCTCCTCCTACTTCTATTCACCAACACTGTCTCTTAGTATTTTTATGGTTTCTTTTGATGAGAATTTAAATCTCTAATCCTTCTAGAATTCATATTGGTAATGGTATAAAATTGTAACGTTTTTCTAAATACTTATAAATCTGCCTTGAAACCATGTCTGTCACAAAGATTTGACATGTCTAGGATAACACTTGTGCCACTCAGGAGGCTGAGGTGGGAGGAACACTTGAGCCCAGGAGATCAAGGTTGCAGTGAGCCAAGATGACATCACTGCACTCCAGCCTGGGCAACGGAGCAAGACCCTGTCTCAAAAACAAAACAAAACAAACAAACAAAAACCTTACCATGTTGTGAGGGGAGTTAAATTCCCTAATTATAGTCCAAACATCATGTTTATATTTTGCTATATCATAGAATATTATAAAACACCAATGACTCATACAATGTAAGTTACTTTCACAAATTATCTAAAAGATGCATAGATATGAGCATTATGTAAGAAAATAAAAAACACAATTCATAATTATGAATTAGGGAATACTTTTACATTCATTTTAAAATTAATCTCAGCACTTTAACCTCACTTATGTATGCAAAATATATTTGCATTTACAGAATATGACTGTGAGCAACACTTCCACTGACATGATAAATAATCTAGAATTTCTGTACTCTAACTTTGCAGAAAGTACTATGAAAACAGTTTGGGTTCATGGTTTTTACTTAAATTATTCTTGTTAGGACAACTTCTTTGTCTTTCTAAAGAAAGACAAAAAATAAGCAATTGCTTGTTCACATATATTATGTTAAAGGCTTTTAGTCAAAAGTTCATGTATTATTTTATTTGGAAGTAAAAATCCTCTTCATTACAAATGATTGCTGGACAACAGAATGATGCTTATGCAATTGTTATTATATTCTTAAGGAGCAGATTTTCTCATCTGACTTTTAAAAAGTAATAAAACTCAAATTGTCCCATAACTTTTGAGAGATTCTCACATATTTTTAATCAATGAGGAAGCTGAAAAGCCATAGCAAAAAAAACTGTACAGAAGACCATTATATTCGTCCAGGCTAGGGTTTGAGGGCTGCCTCAAGTGGATCAGTATTGGCTACTCAAGTGGCAATACCTAGTTCCAAGATCAGGAAAATGAAGCATTTCTACTGAGATGGCATTATGTTACTTAAGTTGATGTACGTTTTGAAATTAACTCCATAATTCAAAAGTGTGCTAGTAAAACTCTCCCAGTGAATTATATGTACATACACTTGAAACACCCAGAAAATAAGTCTAATAATTTTATGCTAACCTATTCAGATAAAATATTTGTATGTAGAGCACGAAGACAATCAAGTATAATCAGGCATTTAAACAAATAATGTTGTGTTAAGAAAAAAATTATAAGGGTATGGTAGCATTAGATTTAAGTATTCCTTTAGCCTGCTTTGCATGGTGTTTTACTGAAAATGCTTCATTATCTTGGTGAGACCAAGCTGAAAGTATATTAAAAAAAGGAGTCTTACTCAAGAGATTTACGTGTACAATAAGAAACAATTTACAACGATTTTTAAAGGTTCTGAAAGACAATGAGAAATAGAAATAGACTAAAACAAAAATGTTACACCTTTCAGAAGATATACGATCATATAATGAATTATTAAGAAACAAAGGATGTACATCCAAAGACTACTTTCAGGAATCAATTCTACCATATGTTACAAGAGAAATGTGGATGAAATTGTAGAGCAGAAACAATTAGGTGCACAGGTATGTAGCATCAGGAGCCTTTATTTGTGAAACCTAAAATCTGTGCCTTCTTTATTAAAGTAATAACCAGGATTTTTATTTCAGAGGGTCATTGGATTTGGCCAAGGTCTTTCATTCTTGTTAATTATTATGTGTTCAGAGTAATGCACATTTTTATCTACAGGTGGCAGACCTTTTAAAAATCAATTTCAGTCATATTCAGTATTTTGTTTTGGTGTGTGCATATTTTTTAGCTGCCATCCCCATTAAAATGTAACAGTGTGCTATTCAGAGTTCTCATTAATGTTGCACAATTTAGATGATAGATTTGTCAACAAAGTGGCTCATTCTCAAAGGCCAGTGAACCCTGTCGGGATAAATGCCTTAAAAATTGTATATTGCAGGGTAATCTTTAATTATATAGAACTCACTTGACAATTTACAGTATATTGGGATTATTTTCCTTTTTCAAGCAATAAAGCATTTTACTTTATAGATTAGGGTGACTGAGGGAAAAAAGTGATTGGATTTGATAAATAGTTAAAGCAAAGAGCTTGCTTATTTGCAAGTAAAAGAGAAAGGTGACCAAAAGGCGTGTACAAATGACAACCACTTAGGATCACAAATTATTAAGTAGCTAAATGGTTAAAGCAAATAACTATAAATGCAGTGACATTTTAAAAGAATGTTAACACAGAAAGAGATAAGCAAAACAAAAATATACTGACACCAATGGTATAACTAATCATTATCCTCAATTTAACTTCATAAAATCTTGGATTTAAATACCTATGTGAAGTTTCTTATTTTGTTGTGTTGGTTTTGGTCAATTCAGCATATAATATGGTGTTCAACTAAGCCTTTTTGTGACTATTATTGATTTGTTGGAAAGGATTTTTAACAGAGAAGTACTCAAAATATATGTAAACGTCCATAACTTTATAGTTCTCAAAACATTTTTATTCCATTCAATCTAATACCTTTCTATGCCTACTATCCTTTATCACATTTCTTTATTTTTATTCTTTTTTTTTTTTTTTTTTTGAGACAGGGTCTTGCTTTGTGGCCCCGCTGGCACGAATGCAGCTCACTACAGCCTTGAACTCCCGGGCTTAAGGTATTCTACTGACTCAGCTTCCTGAGTAGCTGGGAATACAGGCATGTTCCACCATGCAATTTTTTTTTTTTTTTTTTTTTTTTTTTTGAGACAAGGTCTTCCTATGTCACCTAGGCTGGTCTCAAAACTCCTGAGCTCAAGGCATCTTCCTGCCTCAGTCTCCCCAAATCCTGGAATTACTGGCATGAGCCACCATGCCCAGCCTGGTATTCTTTTCCAGAATACTGGACAGAATAAATGCTTATTTTAGTATCCTATTTTTGTTCATTTCTAATGTGGGAAACTCTTTTTCTTTTTTTGAGACAGAGTCTCACTTTGTCGTCCAGGCTGGAGTGCAGTGGCACGATCTCAGCTCACTGCAACCTCCACCTCCCGGGTTCAAGCAATTCTCTGCCTTAGCCTCCCGAGTGGCTGAGATTACAGGCACCCACCATCACACCCAGCTAATTTTTGTATTTTTAGTAGAGACAGGGTTTCACCATCTTAGCCAGGCTGGTCTTGAACTCCTGAGCTCGTGATCCACCTGCCTCAGCCTCCCAAAGTGCTGGGATTACAAGTGTAAGCACCACGCCTGGCCTAATGTGGGGAACTCTTTATAAGAACCTTCAATTATTTTACTTAATTTTGAAGATGTCTCCATTTAATTTATACTATTTGCCAGGATATTTCTCCCACTTAAAGCATAAAACACCACAAAAAAATTAATGAAATCTATCAACTATTTGCTCTATTATTTTAAGATTTATCTATCATGAGATATATGTACAGAATATGTTCAGTTTAACACATAGTAATAAAGCACATGCCCATGGAAGCACCACACAGGTCATTACTGGCACTCTCTCTTGAGTTAGAAGTGTTCCTGGACACAAATTCTGCACCCTGACCTCAACCTCTTTCCTCATTCGTAGATATCAGCACTCCCTGGCTTTTACACTAGTATTTCTTGCTTGTCTTTAGTCTTCCTATCTACAGTGTGTTCCTAAATGATATAATTTAGTTGGCCTAGAATCATCCTGTCTGTATTCTGATGTGTCTTGATTTTTCCAGCTAATATTAATTACAGCACTAAGATTCTTCCATTTTCAATACTTCACATGTCATTGTACGATTGTTCTATAATTTTCCAACTTGCTGATTACAGCTGAGTTATTTCCGGATTTTTTGGCAAATACAAATATTTCTCATGTAAACCATCTTGTAGATTTCTTCTGACACATATATACACATATTTCTCTAGGATATTTATCTCTAGGAATAATAAAATTGCTATTGCTTAAGCAAGGGCTATAAATTTCAACTTTACTAGGTACTGTATCTAAAAGTAGTTGTTCCAACTTACATCCCAACAAGCCCTTGATGAGTGTTGCTATTGCTCTCCAACCTTGTCAACGCTTTGAACTGCTAGACGTTCTACTTTTCTCTATTCTGAGGCATGTGTAGTGGAATCTCATTAAGAGTTTATGTTGTATCTCCTGGCTACTACTGAGACTAAGGATTTTTTCATGTCTTGGACATTATTTCATATATTGGGCATTTTCAAATTATTGTCCATTTGCATTTCTTCTTTTGCCTTTTTCTACTGGACTATGTGAACTTTAACAACGACTTGTAGTTTTTTAAAAATCAATTCTGAATACCAACCTTGTCAATGATGTTTTTGAAATTTATTCTATTACTCTAGGTCCTGTTTTTCACTCTTTTTATGGCGTTTTCTGATAAACAACAACAAGAAAATGTGTTGTGTGCTTTTTTGGCTTAAAGAATCCTTCTCTACTCCTAAGCCATATTCCCAGGTTATGATCTTAGAGTCTGTCAATATTGTTCTGTCCCTTACACTTAGGTTTCGGCCAACTAAAATTGATTTTTCTGTGTGATGTGAAGTAGAGATCCAATCTTATTTTTTACATGGAAAATGAATTTTCTCAGTATCCACGTATTAAAAATTTATTTCTCCACTTTAAAGGACTGCCCTTATTAGAAATAAAGTATCCATATTTGCAAGAGTCTGACTTCTCTATTGTCTCTCATTTGCCTACTTGTCTATCCATGCAGGAATGCCATACTTTCTGAATTAACGGAGCTCAATAAAATCTGTAGGGCAAGTCTTCCTACCCATTGCTCCTTTATAAAGAGTATCTTGACTATCTTTTGCCTTTCACATTTTAGAATTAACTTGTGACATTTCACACACACACACAAACACACACACACACACAATGTACAGATAACAAGAAACAAAGACAAAAACAGAATATTTATTGTGATGGCATGGTACTTATAAATCAATAAGGGAGAAAGAGACATCTTTACAATATTGGATCTTTTCAATGCATGAATATGGTATATCTCATCATTCATATCAGCCTTAGAAAATATTACTTAATAATGTTTCACAATTTTCCCCATAGAAATATTGTGCATCTCTTATTACCAGAAACTAGAAAAAATGATGCTGATATATAGAAAAACTGTACATTATACTATATTATATGCATCAGTCTTGCAAAATTGTCTTATTAACTCATATCGTGTGCCAATAACGACAGTTAGTTGTTTCTTTTTCAACCCTAATAACTTTATTTCCTTATCTTTCTTTACTGCATTGACTAGGATTTCTAGAAAAATACTAAATAGCAGGGGTGATAGCAAATATCCTTGTCTTGTTCTTGAACACAGAAGGAAAGCCTTTAACATTTTACTATTACGATTTATCTTTGCTGTATGTATTTTATATCACATTAAGGAAGTTCCTCCCTGCTTTTAGTTTTCCAAAAAATTTTTAATACAAGAAACAGATGTTGAAATTTATTAAATGCCTTCCCTGCATTTATTGAAATGATCATATGACTGTTTTAATCTGTATTAAATTGTTTATTTTTTTACATATTATCAAACCTCGTATTTCTGGAATAAACCAACTTGGTCATAATTTTATATTAAATGATTACATGATTAAATTTTTGTTTTATATATTGCCAAATTTGAATTGCTAATATTCTGTTGAGGATATTTCCACTTATAATCACAAGAGGAATTGGCCTGTAAGTCCTTTTTCATACTATTCTCATCAGCTTTGGTATGAAAATTATATGATAATTATAAAATGAATTCGGATTGTTACCTCTTCTATCTTTTGAAAAAAAAAAAATTATGTAACATTAGACTTTGGCTGAGTGCAGTGGCTCACGCCGGTAATCCCAGCACTTTGGGATGCCAAGGCGGGTGGATCACTTGAGGTCAGGAGTTTGAGACCAGCCTGGCCAACATAGTAAAACCCCGTCTCTACTAAAAGTATAAAAGAAATCAGCCAAGCATGGTGACATGTGCCTGTTAAGCGTGGTGACATGTGCCTGTAATACCAGCTACTTGGGAGGCTGAGGCACAAGAATCGCTTGAACCTGCAAGGCAGAGGTTGCAGTGAGCCAAGATCAAGCCACTGCACTCCAGCCTGGGCCACCCAGTGAGACGCGGTCTCAAAAAAAAGATTAGACTTATTTCTTCCTTGAATTTGCCTGCAAAGTCATCTTGGTCAAGATTTTGCTTTTGCTTTATAGGACGATTTTTGATTACTGAATTAAATTTCCTTTATAGTTATAGAACTATTCAAGTTCTCTACTTCACTTCAGCAAATTTTGGCATTATATTTTTCTAGAAATGTTCCCATTCATCCAACTCTTTATATTTACCCCAAAAAAATTTATACGTATTTCTTACCAGCTGTTTGATATCTGCACATCTGTTGTGGTGCTTCCTTTTTCAATACTGATATTGGTAATCTGCCCATTTCTCTTGCATTTTAGCTCAGTCTCATCAGAGGTTTGAAACATTTATTCACCTTTTCCAACAATCGGTTTTTTGGCTTTCTTAGTCCTCTTTGTTGTACGACTGTTTTCCACCTTGTTAATTTTGTTCTTACTTTAATTAATTTCTTCCTTTTATTACACTGAGTTTATTTTGTTGTTTTATAACTTCTTGAGAGGAATTCTTGGCCTATAAATTTTTGCCCTTTGCTTTTATAATATGTTCATTTAGGTTATAAATTTCCCAGTAAATACTTCTTATAGGCATTCTGTAATTGTTATATGTAGGATATCTATTATTGTTTAGTCTAAAAACTTTCTAGTTTCCGTTGTGATTTCTTTTTAATTGTGAAACTATATTCCTAGCTCTATTTCTGTTTGCAGCTTCATTTCATTGTGGTACAACTTTAATTCTTGGAAAATGGTTGAGGCTTAATTTAATAAGATATTCATTGACTTAGAATATGGTCAATGTTTATCATTGTCTCTTATGTGCTTGACAATAATGTAAATTTTACAGTTGTATGCAAGGTTCTACATATATCCATAAGGTCATGTTTCTTAATTTTGCCATTCAACTAAATCTCACCAATTTTTCTATTTTATTGTATCAATTACTAAGACAAGTGAATTAATATCACTGCTATTATACAGTTGTTTATTTCTCTTATTGTTCTATCAATTATTTCTTAATACACTTCAAGATTATGTTATTAGGGGCATTGAGATTTAAAATTATTCTGTCTTCCTATTGAATTGAAACTTCAATCATTTATAAAGTGACTCTATCTCTAGTAATTATTTGGGCTTTAAAGTCTATTTTGCTTAATGAACTTTAAACACTAGTCACACCAGTGTCCACATAGTATCCATTTGCATGGTAAAATGTTTTCCATTATTATTTACCTCTGACACATGAGAAGTCTGAGCAATAGCAGTTAGGGAACAAACCCAAAAGTAAACAGGTATAAGTGGTACAATTAGGAGACAGACCCAAACAATCTGTCTCCAACGTCTATGCTTCCAAACATCATACATCATGTGTCTCTTACAAGTTCAAAGAGTAAAGTCAGTTTAGGTTTTGAAAGGAAAAAAAAAAAAAGCTTTCACTGTCATCTCCACAATATTTTCTCACATTGCTATCAAATTGTGATTTTTCACTCATCTTAGAGTTAGATTCTCACTCTTCTAATATTCTAAGGTAACATAATACTTAAAAAAAATCTTAATCCAGAACTGCAGTACTCAACCTCTTCCACTTATACACAAGTTGTGCTTTGTGCCTTTGAAATAGGCATGCATACCAGAAGCCTTCATGTGTTTATCCAATGCCACTGAACTGTAGCACGGTACCTTGAACTGCCCTAAGCTAAAAGAGGCAGCCAGGCTGCAATATGATCAAGATGTCTAAGTGGTTGTATGGATCTACTGAGCAGGAATCCTCATTTCAACCCGACTTTGGGAAAAAGTAACCAAAAGGATGGGTGCTGGGCTGTTTCAACTCTCCTTGAACAGAGATATATATAGTGTCTTAACAAACAGGGGCACTTAGCAGCTTATATATACCTTCTGAAAATCCACACCTTTTATATTTCTCAAATTTTAATATTAAATTATACTATTTAAAAACTCTGTAAACTATGAGGAAAATTAAAACTTCTCATGAGTCCATTATCCAGAGTTAATTATATTCGATGTGTTTATTATTTTTTCTATTAATTTTTCTGTGTTTGTAATATATATGCACATGTAGAGATATATATGTGCATACATGTGTGTACATAAATACCCACAAACTTGGAAACATAGTATATCTTTAGTGTAGACTCTGATTTTTTAATTTAACATTGCATTATGCATAATTTTATGTCTTTTAAAATTCTTTAGAAAAGAATTTTAAATACCAAATATCAAATTTTAAATATCAAATGAAATACTCATTTCATTCTGGTTGCAGGATATCCCATCATATAAATGTATTCAAATTTATTTAGCCACTGCTCTACTGCTGAACAGTTAAATCTATCTAAAATCTTCCACTTATAAATATATGAAAATTAACTTAAAAGAAATATAAAATTTTATCTTGTTTAAACTGTTATGTTGGATCTGGATCACTTGCAACTAAATATCTTCCAAACTAATAGCATGGGAATGTTACATAGAATGCTTTGACAACATTTAAGGCTGTTTACAGAAGTGGCCAAATTCCTTCCTGGAAAGTTGAACAAACACAAGGTTTCCCCAAAATTGTTGAAAATGTCCATCTCTCTACATTCTTGTTATATTATTATTATTCCAAATTACTCTCCCCTAGTTAGATAAGTGAGGCATAGCTTTGCATTCCTTTTATTACCTTTTGTATTAGTTATATTCCTTATTAACTACTTGTTCTTGTATCTCATTATCTTTTAAATTAAGATATCACTGTCTTTCTTATAACTGCTCTTTACATTTAATGTTTGCCATATTTATTAGAAGCAGTAGTCTCAGTTTGTCATTTGCCTTTTAATTTTATTTATATTGGTATTTTTGCCTGTAAACCTATAGAATTTTTGTTTGGAATAATTTGGTTGTGACTTATTCCACTTTTGTTAGTATAAAAATCCATTATTCGCTATGTTTTCTTCTATATTATATTGTTTCATTTGTCTGTGAATATATGAAGCCTGAGTTATAAGTATTTTAATAATACTGTTTGGGATTTTAACAATTTTGTTTTTAAAAGAGGTAACCACTACCATTAATTCTAAGGGTTTTCACACATACACTTGCATCTTGAAATGGTGGGAACATAAGTCATAACACTGTAAGAGCAGATTTCTGAATAAATGAGCTTTAAGTCATTATGCAAGATGAACAGTGTTTCATTATTCTTTTCAGGTATCAACGAAAGGAGATTTCCCTTTCAATCTTACTGGTGACAAACTTCTCCTGAACAACAGAATTCCTTCCTTTCATCCTTTTCTGCAGTTACCTGCATGATGACTAGTCAATCAATAAATTAGAAAAGGATTTTCAACTCTAGATCTGTGGTCAAACTTTCAGTGCCTGTTCCCAAGAGTATAACATTTTTGAAAAGACAAACAGGGATTTCATGCACACACAGATAGATGCCCATGGAATGTTTCTGTCAGTAAATTAGAAAATATTTGTCTGGCTTCAGCAATATTACATTTTCGTATGTATTAACAGAATCATACCCTGGAATACTTAATAGCCTATAGAAATTTTTCTAAAATATGTGACCTATCCATTGCAATCCCAAATATTTATTTTGAAGCAACAACAAAAAAGTAGCAACAAATGTTTCAAAAAACATTTTTCAGTGGAGAAAAAAGCTTTCACAACTTCAGAAAAAGTGTATCTCATTAAGAAAAAGAAAAGAAAAGAAATGTTGCTATCATCTGCCAGTTTAGAGACATTACCATCATAATGAGTCTCAAAATCATAATTAAAAAGCCAGTTGTCATCTGAATATAAAAGACTATGTACTATACTTTTATATGCATATGTTTTATATATTTTTACTTATAAATTAAAAATAAGAGAAAGCATATAAACTTCCATTTTTGTGAAATAGAATAGTTATCAATTTTTCAAAAGTGTTATTATGTGTTTTATGAATATACCTTTTTCCTACCCAGTGCAGTGCCAGAATTCTCTGTTCAGCTTTCAGAATCTTGTCAACAGATTCAAACAGGAATCATGTCATCAGCAAGAGGAAAGCTGGAAAAATAAAAGTAGACCATTAACAGTGCATTGTTTTATTTAGTAAATATGAACATATGACTCTTGAAAATAGAAAATGTGTAAGGTTTTCAAAAGAAATTTATATTTATATATGTAAATTGATAAACCATTATATATATGTAAATTTACATTTAAATATATAAATATATATGTAAATTTACATTTAAATATATAAATATATATTTATATGTATATAATTTATATGTATATAAATTTATATTTATATATTAAATATATAAATATATATTTAAATGTAAATTTACATATATAAATGTAATAAAATTATGGTTTGTGGAAGAAGGGGTATTATCTTGGCATTATAAAGCCACCACAATTAATCTAAAAACTCAGTAGTTGTTGTGGTCCAATTTTAATGTAAATATCCTGCAGATGCTTTAGGACAGGCTAAACTAAGGTAGATTCTTGCTGCTCGAAATGATTCATGAGACAGCTTCAGGTGTCCTCTTAGGTCTCTTCTTTGAGCCCATTTAAACATATAACAGCAATGGTCAACACAGTAATTGTTAAATGTTCAGCTATTTTTCATTTCATTCCATCACTGCTATGTATTTCTCTGAGTGCCGTGCTCAGCTCAACTTCAGAAAGTGCTCTTGCCACTATCATGAGTGAATAAAATTCTGGCTTTGTTACCAATTTTCCTAGGCTGAACAAAAATCGGCCCTGACAATCTGTTGAGATTCCCAAGAATCAGACTTATGAAAGCAAGGAACCTGTACACGGTAGGAGCCACAGCCTTGATTCTGGCTCAGTCGCTCCGCTATTAGTCCAATTCAAGGGAAATTGAGTAATCTCTTGGGTGTTTATTTTTATATCATCACTGATTATTCAGTTTTGATCACAAGGTTTACAGTATTTGAATAGTTTTATTACCATACTATATCTTCCTGGAGCATGCCTCGTATAGAAGCATTTTACTCCATTCCAAAATCAGAACTTTTGTTAGGAAGCACAGAAATTCAAGTGCCACAATGTTGACAAAGAGAAGAATCCACATTACTTTATTAGTTTACTCATTACTTCATTGAAGAATATTCCACAAAGAGAAAAATTATCATTAAAAACTTTGAACATCAGGCTGGGTATGATGACTCACGCCTGTAATCCCAGCACTCTGGGAGGCTGCAGCAAAAGTATTACTTGAACCCAGGAGTTCAAGACTAGCATGGGCAACACTGAGACTCCAGCTCTACAAAAAATTTAAAAATTAGCTAAGCATGGTGGCATGCATCTGTAGTCCCAGCTATTTGGGAGAATGAGGTGAGAGGACTGCTTGAGTCCAGGAGGTTGAGATTGCAGTAAGCTGTGGTTGCGTCACTGCACTTCAGCCTGGGCACCAAAATGAGACCCCATCTCAAAAAAGCAAACAAACAAAAGCCAACCAAAACAACAACAAAAAACTTTTAACATGGGAAAGTATGTTGCTGAAGTAGAATAAAGGCTGTCTATATATAGTCAGTGGATTTTTAAAAATGTATTTCCATAAAAAATTGTACTTAGAAAAAATACCACAAACTCCACTTTTTTTTTTTTTTTTTAGTTAAGTGAATTGTCTCATCTGCCCAACTGTAAAGAGACTACACTACTACCACAATTGTGTTTACTAAGTGGAACAGTGAAATTTTGTCATATCATATATTTGGGTGACACAGAAATTCACAGGTGGTAATTTTACCCACAAGAGGGAGCTTGTATTTTTATATTTTTATTATAGAACATGAAAAACTTGAATTAAAATATGAAGTTCTAAAAATGTCTGTTGATACCATCATCTTTATGTCAAGTCAAATTTTGAGGTAACCAGATTGTAGTTGGCATATTTTTCTTCAATGATAACATATCACTATGGCAAAAGATTGGAAATATAATTGGAATTTTAAAAACATTTCCTACCTATATTATAATTAGGTTTTTTTAGATACAAGAATGAAGATGTAGCTGGCAAAGCAGCCTGAGAGAAAATTCTTTTTAGGTGGTAGTAACATTAGGTGTGTGAAATTGACTAGAATTATTATAAGTACTCTGCACCCAAATTTAATTACAGAGCAGTGAAATGATAGTTCAGTCATTCTTTTATCAGAAAAGAGGTTGTAAAAACCAATAATTTTCTATGTATTTATAGAACAGGAAACAACCTACTTTAAAAATTACTAAGATCGCTGATATCGCTAATATCACTTAAAACTTGTGTAAGTAACGTTGTAACTGGCATGATACCACAATGAACTTTCCTTTCCTAGAGTTGAGAGAAAAAATTTTCTTAAAAAAAAACTCAGCTCAATTCCTTCATATCCTTTAAGGTCCCTAAACAATATCTTAGGTTGTTAAGACTCTCAAAATAAATAAATACACTCTGAACTTTGTAAAAATAAAACGAATTCATCAACTTAAAAACTCCCATCTAAAAAAATAATTTTGGCAACTCTTATTAACCCCTAGTGATCCGTTCTATCACATTCAGAGACACAGAAATAACTAGGCTGAAATTTGTTTTCTGACCCTCTGTAAACTGCAGGGGAGACAGATGATAAGAGTTCTGTCACTTTCTCCCAAGGTTCTTGTCTCAACTTCTAGAACATACTATATAACACAGGCAGGGAGTTGAGAAAGAAGGGGTTAATCATGCTGCTCTTCCTTCTGGAATTTCCAACCTACCCATTAAATCATTGTTTTTTTTTCTCCCACTAGGGACTGTGAATCTAATGGACCTAAAATCAATACCTTACAAATGACATAAAAAATATATTCATTTTATGGACTAATGTACCCTAGTGTCTGAATCCTATTTACACCCTCTACTTTAAAAAGGAAGGACAGACCCATTTCTGCCAGTAAAAGGTTACTCAGTCACTTTGGTGACATGCTGCAGAATGCACTGTCATACTAAAGTGCAGCACGAGGGAAAGATTGGTGGCTGCAAAACCACTATTGTGGAAACTTTCAACACTGTGCCGTGAAATTGCGTTAAGAAACACAGTCAGGGAGGAGCACGCAGGTAGCTTCAAAGATGTTAGCCATGTTCTGAGGTGCTTTGACGGGTCTCTGTTTCATCATCTTGTTTCATAACTTAAAGTATATTATATAAAATTTTAAGTGGATCAAATATTACATAATATCATTTTAAAAACAAACACAGCTTTCACTTAATAGTGAATTCTATCATGATTGAAAAAAACTGGATAAAAATTCCTAAGAGGCAGAAATGTTCACTAACATACCAAAGCACTACTAGCCAAATAGACATAGTGTGTGATCAAGCCACATTAAAGGGGACAGAGGCAAGCCCCGGGGAAACAAAGGGTATTTCATTTACCAGATACAGCAGGGACACAATCACAAAAGGTGACTACTGCTTGGTGTTTCACATATTGAGAAAGTATGCTTATGAGAGGGTTTTATGTTTACAGAACATTCTCCAAACCAAAGAACCCACATACTTCATCAAAAGCCATTCTTATCATTTACAAAGTATTAAGGTTTTTTTTTTTAGCATAATACATTGGTAACTTTTTTAAAATTTTGAGAATATCTTCTTCTACATTTAGTATTTTTATGATATCAAATATAGGGCAACCCAGTACAAATGCAAAGATACCTTCAGTTTCATTGCAAAGATTAAAGTGTCAGGGGAAGGGAGAGAGAGAGAGAGGAAAGAAAAAAAAAAAAACAAACCTAAAAATTAAGGAAAGAACTTTTCTCCTAGGAAAATATCACCTGACTTACTTTTTGTTTCCATGGGTACAAATAGAAAAGAGAATAATGAGTAAGAAAACAAACTTTAAAACAGATAGTTTTTGAGAGAATACTAGCAACAGGTCAGCATGAAATTTCCAGTTCAGTTTTACTGGCTTAAAATCTATACGGTTATAAAATTACCAAAAGGAAAAAAAAAAAAAAAAAAAACTGTTGTTCTTTATTCCATTTGCCAACCAGAGTCATTTATCCCCTATTAGATAAAGTATAATAGACTCTACGGAAAGGGTCATTGGCCTTCCATTTAATGATATTGCCAGCCCCAATCTGCATTTTCCCAGCAATGTCCCTCAACACAGAATAAATGGCTGATCTCTTCACAATAACAGCTGATTTCTATTTATTAAGCTAAAAAGGTCACCATTTTCTACGGCTGGGCCGCCCTGCACTATTGATAATTTTATGCATAAACAAATGGCAAATTTGTGCCACATAAATATGCATTAGCAATTACTTTTTCCTTGGGCAACGCTCACCGCATGCAAATGTGTACCTCGCAGGGCCTGGTAGCTTTTGTTTTAGCTCTTGAACAGTGAAACAAAAGAGCACAATAAACAATTTTAAAATTGCCAATCAATAAGCAATGCAAATGCAAAGGTAAATGGCAAGAAACTTGCTCAGAAACAGCAAAACAAAAGTGAAGCATGAGGGGGATGGGGAAGGATTTTCTTTTTTATATTATTTCATTTCTTTCTCTTTGATAATGAAAAGGCTAAAGTACTCTTGACACAGAACAGCTAGCTAGGCTGGTACTAAAGCAGATGCCAGATGGGGAAAGGAGAAAATATACACATGTTGAATAAACACACACATCCCAAAAAAGAGGGTAAGAGGAAAACTGTGTTCCTCGATGCGATTTCCGGGGCATCACCTACTCAAATTTCTGATGGTCAATTTCAGAGATTTGTAAGAATATTCAATTTCAGAGATTCAAAGAATTTTAAAACTAGGAGGAGCTACAGAGACTCAACCAAATCTCAATTCCGTAGTACTTTGCTATGCTGTTGTTTCCTAATGTCACCTCCCTCAGTAAAAAGGAATATACATGATCAATAAATGCGATATCTTTAGGAACACAAAGAAAAGGGATAAACGAGGAATATATAAGAAATAAAGGGAGGGATAGCATTAGGAGATATACCTAATGTTAAATGACGAGTTAATGGGTGCAGCACACCAACATGGAACATGTATACATATGTAACAAACCTGCACGTTGTGCACATGTACCCTAAAACTTAAAGTATAATAAAAATAAATCAATAAATAAAAATTAAAAAATAAATAAATAAAAATCAATATTCATCAGAAAAAAAGAAATAAAAAGCAATCTACAAAATGTTTAAAATAAAAACCCTAATCTCAAAACAATGCGAGAATAATGTCAGGCACAAGAAGCAAGAAGCATAAGAAAAACTAGAAACAAAAAAAAAAAAGGTGTTGCCCAATTTGAACAGGAAAACAATAGATAACTCAAAAAAGCTGATTCTTTTAAATCAAAAATTAGCCTTAAGAGATTTTTTAGTGTTATTTACCGAGCACTATTCTAAGTGCTTTACACTTAGATCCATTACACTTCATCTTCACAAAACCCTCGAAGGATGGTACTATTAGCGCCGCTCCCATTTCCTAGTGCTGAGGCGCAGGGAGGTTAAGTTAATTAGGGCAGTGCTAGATCTGGGTCTTGACCCCATCTGAAGCCAGCACCTGCAAGCATCACTACTGCTAATACTTGCCATCCATTCTTTAAAAGCCATCCATGTTGACCCGGTTGAAAAATTTCTTCTGACCTGTGTAGACAGCTTTACCTTTGCATAAATAAATCACACTGTGTTTTAAACATCTATATTCAGGCCTTATGTGAGTTTCTTTGGCCAAGTGATTAAAATACTTTAGCTTCTGTAAAATATATAAATATTAACTTGTATGTTAGTACAGATGTACCTTAGTATATTAGTGCATGTGCACTGAGAACGTGCCGTAGTCTTAACCACTGGAGAACAGAAAAACACTTTGTGATCCCATCTTGATCTTAATGTAATTAAAGGTTTTACTATTCCTCAAAGGATTAACAAGATTTACCCACAATGTTGTAAAAATAAATATATAAAGTATTCTTGGCTAAATGAAAATAGGCAAACCTGGAAATCTAAAACCAGCAAGTGGTTCTGTCTTGCTCAGAGCCAAGAGAAGTCTTCACAGGTATCTCTTAGAATCCTGATATTGATCCTAAAAGTCAAACTTCTTTACAGAAGGTCACAAAACTTCTCCCAGCAATATTTTCCTCCTGGTAATATCAGTGTTGGAAGGCCAGGACTGTTGCTTGCATATACGGTGCCTTTGTCTGAGTAACAAAAAGATGACCCCTTGGGGGAGGCCATTCAGAAAATATGCCACCTGCACAACCATACCTGGTAGTCCTTGAAAAGACTTTAGAGTTTCCTTACTTGGAAAAGTGTTATTGTTAATATTAAACTCCGTCTTTTTAAGAACCAAGAACCTACTCTTTAATACAAAATCAGTATAAAGATGCATTCCAACACGATAGCGATATCTTACATGTTAATTCAAATAACTACGTAGCTAGGGTACTCCTATTTCCTTCTGTTTTGTTTCAGTTTTCAATCTTTGTGGCTGTGTATATAAAAGCTTGGGTATGTTTTTTCTTATTATTAACTAAATGCAACCAATATGTGCCGAAAGCCATTAATTTATAACAGGCAAAGTTTTAGTTATAATCATTCCTTACCCAAATGCTCACTCTCTATGCAAGGTAAGTAATTTAAACTAAAACCATGAATATTCCAGCTAAAGTAGAGTTTGTCTGAAATTTCTAAGTACTCATAGACTCTACTATGTAGAAGTCATGTAAATGGAAGTGAACAGGAAGTATGTAAAAAGTGTGGTTGGGTTAAATGGACGTTGCAATGTCCAAAGGCTCACCATGGGTTTCACAGCCAGAGGCTATGTCAGATAGTCGCATTGTCTGTCCCCAATCCCACAAAATTAGATTTAAGTAGCGGTTATCTTTGGGGGATTCAGAAAGTCTTAGAGAACAACAGGAAATTCTAGTGAAGATTTTGTGTGAACAGCAGGAGGGGAGCCACTGCCTCATTTGCCCTGGGTGAGGGTCTTGCCAGCCACTCTGCTTTAGACACATCTTTCTTTGCCCATACCCTGCTCTGCTAATCCCTGGTGTAGGCTGATCCCTGGAGGTCAAGTTTCTCAGGCTTCTCTAGGAGTCACCTTCCAGGTGAGTTTCACTACTGGGAGGAGAGCTGATGGAGGTGTAAGGAGAATGTGGGAGGCACACGTTTTTTTTCTTTGTGTGTGTGTGTGTGTGTGTGCGTGTCTTTCATTTAACTTTTTAAACATTTATTATAGACAATTACAAACATATTTAAAAAATAGAGATACTAGTAAAACAAACCCTCATCAACCACATCCAAATTTCAGCATCTATGAACCTTCTGCTATTTGAGTTTCTCCCTCGTCTTTCCTGGCTTCCTGCCTCAGGCAGCAGACTCTTCTTGGTCTACCTCCTGCCAGGCAGGCTCACATGGTTCCAGCTGCAGTCCAGTGACCCTGGTAACCCCATCTATTCCCTTTGTCTCTCCAGTATAAAGGTGGTAGCAATTTTTTGCTGTTCCTGAAGCCTAGGTTGCTCTTTTACAATTTTTACTGTCAATGTGTAACAATTTTCCAACATTATATACCACCTTTTGAAAATAATCAGGCTGAGCGTGGTGGCTTACACCTGTAATCCCAGCACTTCGGGACGCTCAGTCGGGTGGATCACCTGAGGTCAGGAGTTCGAGACCAGCCTGACCAACATGGTGAAACCCCATCTCTTCTAAAAATACAAAAATTAGCTGGGCGTGGTGGCGGGCACCTATAATCCCAGCTACTTGGGATGCTGAGGCAGGAGAATCGCTTGAACCCTTGAACCCGGGAGGTGGAGGTGGCAGTGAATGGAGATCAAGCCTTTGGACTACAGCCTGGGCAACAGGGTGAGTGAGATTCCATCTCAAAAAGAAAGAAAAAAAAATAATCAGAGTGGCTTCTGACTTCCTGCTTGGACCCTGAGCATACAGATTGCTAATTTTATTTTATTTTTTATTATCTGTTGGTAGAACTACCATTTATCCCCCTTATTCTGAGCTCCTTTGAAGTATTAACAGGTCAAGACTTTGTAAAGCATGGTACCCTTTCAACAGCATGAGGCCCAGTATGCTGGTCCAATATTTGCAATGCCTTAAGTATGATTCCCCACATATAATATTCATGTTTTCATGTACAATCTATTTTACATGACAATAAACAATCTATTCTTATTCTATACCTTTTGTTGATTGCTTATCGATATTCTTTACAAACTTGCTTTGTCTTAATCTATGGGCCAGTGAAAGAAGAGCAGCGCTATACTGGTTCTGGAAATTCTACATCAGTGCCTAACATCATGGAAATCTGCCTAGTCTATTTTAAGGAGGTAGCTCAGTCTGGCATGAAAATACATTTTTCCAGTGGTAGGTGGCAGCGACTAGTTAACCAAGTTTATGTCTTAGACAAGACATGTTTAACATGTAGTCATTTGTTTATTTATAACAAAACATGACCTTCCAGTGTTAGGAATAAACACACACACATCATAAAAATGACTGATGTTCAATGGCTCTTACAAAATTACATTTTGAAAAATTATGGGATGATGAATCAAACATATAGATTACATTTCTGTGAAACAGACATGTGCTTAATAATTAACGGAAAAAGATAAAAATAATATTTATAATTTTGTCTTACCCAAAACACTTGAATAATTATGTAATCATATAGCTACATGAAGACATCCTCATCAAATTTGAACTAGAATCTGTGAGGAAATTTTAAAATATGAAAACATCTAAAACAGAAATGATGGACTTAATCCACAAGCTGAAACTTTAACCTGCTTTAATATAAAGTTTTACTATATAAATAAAAAATACAGAAGAAAACATTTGCTTTAAGGATAATTCACAAGACCTTGCAATGTTTGACAATCACAATGCAAGCAAAAAATGAGACGTGACAGTAAAAAAAGAGAAAAAAGGGAATACAGTTAATAATTGTAGTGTCCAATCAAATGTAGGTAAAACTAACACCAATGGTAAGACAATATTTCAAACACGAGTTCCAGACTAGTTTCAATCCTGTATATATGGAACTCGACAGTCAGAAAAGATCAACCCAGAGCATAGTGTGCATGACAATTGTGCTAAATCGGGTACTATTAGGAGGAGAAGATACATTCAGTTTGAAAAAGATCAAATTCAAGAGCTTGGGAGGGCCAGTCATAAAGTACAATCAGATATTTGAAGGGTTGTCATTTGGAAGAGTAAGACTAGATATATTGTCTCATGCTCCAGATGAAAGAACAAGAGTTTTTTAAATATATAAATTTTTTTAGAGACAAGGTCTCACTCTGTCATCCAGGCTGGAGTGCAATGATACCATCATAGCTCATTGCAACCTCAAACTCCTGGGCTCAGGTGATCTTCCTGCCTCAGCCTCCCAAAGTGCCGGGATTACAGGTGAGAGCCACTGCATCTGGCAGGATTATGGGGACACAGATCTCAGTACATTATGAAAAATAACTTTTTAAAATAAGCTATCCAGCAATGGCATAAACTAAAGGAAGCCAAATGACTTAGGGTGTATGAAGGGCTGTGGATACAGAAAGAACGGGTCACTCTGGCTTTGTTACTTATCCAAGTGATCTTGGACACAATTAACCCATTTATGCCTCATGTTTTCTCATTGGTAAATTTATTCCAGCATACACCATACCAAGGAAAGGTAAAAGATCAAACAGAGACTGACTACAGAACCATCTGTCAGAGGTCTGGGAATAGAATTTTTGAACTAAACTAGATATTGGGTCATGTAGCTTTAAGACCCATCCTAAACTGAGACTAAATTATTCTAGTCCCCGAAGTTCAGGTGGATATGTTCACTTCAGGCAGGAATGGTTGGTTCTAAATATTTAAAAGCGGGAAAAGACTGTTGCAATTCTGCAGTTTTAAAAAAGTCATAGCATCAGATAGAGAAAAGATATTCATATTTGACCCAAAAGAAAGCTAAATAAAACTTACAAGGTATTTTTAGTTAATAAAACACATGTAACATCAGAAAATAAGTCAGATATGATTATTTAAAGCAGCAATATTCATTTTTGAAAAATTTACAGTATTAACTTTTTCTCGTCTTTAAAATCTCTACTCAATTTACAGATAACTTCTTGGATACAGAGGAAACATGAACAAAGTACTTGTGCTTTTTGAACACTAAGTGCTGCTTCCTTGCCGCTGTCAGCCAAGCCCTTCCACCACTCCTTCAACCGTGCCTTCTGTCATGGCTACTCAGCCCATGGCAACCCAGAAGAACACAGAAGCGCGAGCTCAGCAGGGCTAAAGGGCATCTTAAAAACAGTGATTCTCAAATCCTTTTTTTTTTTTTTTTTTTTTTTTTGCAGTGCCCCAGGGTTCTTCTAGTTATTTTCAAGGAATGCTCTAAAATTTTCAAAAAAATTCTTAAAATCATTTTTTCTTGTCCTAAAAATTATAGATCTCTTTGGGCTTTTCAAGTCATTTTTACTTAAGCGATCTGATTTGAGCTTCAGCAATTCTTTATGGTAGGTATGACAGGGCTGATCCCTCTCTTACAAAGAAAAAACTCAGAAAAATTCTTACGAGACCCCAAATCACAGAACAACAATGCAGCAGGAAACAGGCAAGAACCCAAGTCCAGTCCTCTGTACTGCCCTCCGTACTCTATAACAGATCACACCCAGGAGTAAGAACTGGCAAAAAGGAAATTTTGGAATCCCTCAAACTATGGAAGCGTTAATTTCTTTCCAGGGCCATGAATGTTTATCAGGATTATGCAACACTCTCTATGTGCCTTCTTATTCATTGACAGAATATTGTTTTTACTTTTAAAGTGGGATTAGCACAGTGCTTCACAACTGAGGGTGATTATGTCCCTGGGGGACATTTGGGAGTGTCTGGAAATATTTTTATTGTGATGACTTGGAGGATGCTACTGGCATCTAGTGGGTAGGGGCCAGGGATGCTTCTAAACATCCTACAGTGCCCAGGACAGCTCCCACAACAAAGAATTATCTGATCCAGAATGGAAGTGGTGCTAAGGTTGAGAAACCCTGGATTAGCAGTATTTTCATTTAAGCCATCTGTTTTTGTCTCTTACTTTTGTTACATAAACATAATAATGCTTTCAGAGTATAACATTTTCTGGGTGCTAATGACTGGTTTGGCCTAAGACTATCAGCTCTTAGACAGTCACTAATTCCACAAAATGCCCTATGCCTTAATCTTTGCTGTTTGACAATGCATTGAACAGTGGTTCAAGTGACAGAGGTCACCGTTACTGAGATAAATTGTTCATAAAATAATTTGTCATGGTATTTATAACAGTTTGCTTATAAGAGTGTTAAAAATAAAGCGATGCAAATGGAGAAAGTCAGAATTACACATTTCAATAATATGAATTGGGAATGGAAATTCAGTTGTGAATAAAGGAGTAACCTTTGACTTTTCTGTGTATAGCACACATTGAAAACCTTGCAACAATGCATGTCCAACCTTTAAAAAAAAAAACGTGGTGAGGAAGGAGTGTGCGGCCCCTCCCCACCACCTGCACACCAATCTTTAAAAGTGAATTTGGTTCTCTTTTTACTTGCGAAGTTTTTCAATAGACATTATAATAATTAATAATCTATTCTCAGAGAACCTTTTATTCTTTGCCACAGTTCATTCTCTGTCTCATGATGGGAGGTATCTTTCTTGCTTAGTCCTTAGATACGTAACCACCTAAATAATGACTTTGAACTTAGAAACTTAAACTTTTTCTTTCACATGTCCCTTTAAGAATCTGAAGAGGGAGGCCAAGGTTGCTTGAGCTCAAGAATTAGAGACTAGCCTGGGCAACATGGTGAAACCTCCTCTCTACCAAAAATACAAAAAGTAGCCAGTCATGGCGGCTTGCATCTGTGGTCCCAGGTATTGGAGACTCTGAGGCAGGAGGATCACTTGAGCCCAGGAGGAGGAGGCTGCAGTGAGCCGTGATCGCATCACTGTACTCCAGCCTGGGTGACACGGTGAGAACCTGTCTCAAAAAAAAAACAAAAACAAAAAAGAATCTGATGAAAGTTACAAACCTAATCCATAAAAATACAAATTTCCATATTGACAGACCATTCTTTCTGAATCTCTTGCGTTTCTGTACTTGTTATGAGTAAAGGCACTGAAGGCCTTTCTTCAGGACGGTCTTAAGGACATTTGTATCTTTTTTTTTTTTTTTTTTGAGACGGAGTCTCGCTCTGTCGCCCAGGCTGGAGTGCAGTGGCGGGATCTCGGCTCACTGCAAGCTCCGCCTCCCGGGTTCACGCCATTCTCCTGCCTCAGCCTCCCAAGTAGCTGGGACTACAGGCGCCCGCCACTACGCCCGGCTAATTTTTTTGTATTTTTTAGTAGAGACGGGGTTTCACCGTTTTAGCCGGGATGGTCTCGATCTCCTGACCTCGTGATCCGCCCGCCTCGGCCTCCCAAAGTGCTGGGATTACAGGCGTGAGCCACCGCGCCCGGCCGGACATTTGTATCTTGAAAGCCTTAGAAGATAGAGCTATTATCTTCCTGTAGAGCAAAAGGCAGGTTTGTTTACCATCCAGTATCACAAGGATAATGTCTCACTTAGGGCCAAAGGTCAGACATGCTTACTGTGCATTATAAAAGCCTGGGGTTCCCTAAGCTCAAGTTTTCTGCACCTGAAGTGTAAACATCACCAGACTCTCTTTCAATCACCATGTGGGAATCAGGGCTCAGAAAACCGGTACAAACGCTAATACCTTGTCTACTACTCTCCTTGTGAGTACTAAACTTTCCTTTGTCTGCGATCCAAAAGTCTAGTGTCTTCTGCCAGCATTCATAGAACTATGCAGGCTGCTGTATTAGCTTAAAAATAGGGTAAAAATCTCAGACCCTTCACAGTTCTTAACAATGCACCCAGAAAACATAAGCATACTGTTTTTAACAGATGGCCATTTTATCCTCATATCCAAATCCAGAAGGCTAAAAGTATTTATTTTGATATCTTAGTCAGTAAACAGAGGGGAATGACCATAGACTCTAATATCTGAAAAGTACCTTAAAAATCATACAATGTTAGGTTGATTCCACAAAAATATATTTGGCTAATGATAGTAATAATAGTCAGCATTAATTGAGTGGTTTCTACATGCCAGGCACTTTGTCAGGAGCCTAGCAAATATTATTGAAATTTATTCTGACAATAGCACTGATGAGGCGGCCATTATTATCCTCATTCCACTAGGGGAAGATAAGACCTAGGTAAATTAAGTAACTTGGCAAAGGCTACACAACTGGTCAGTGTTGGAGCCAGAATTTAGGTTCAGAGGTGAAATGTGAGCCCATCTTGTGTCCTCCTAAACTTTCCTTTTCTGCCTCCCCACCACCCCCCTCTCCCAGCCACACTGGTGGTATAAAGGCATGGTCCCTGCTCCTGACGGACTCACGCTATAAAGAGGGAGAGATATAAAAATAGATAGTTTCAAAAGAATGTCCTAAGGGCTTTGTTGGAGTATGCACAGGAAGTTCCTAGAGCAAGGGAAGGGCCCAGCCTTCTCCAGGAGCCACCAATAGCTTCCCAGACAAAAGGATAATGAAGGCGAGTCTTAAAGGATGATTAGAAGTAGGTCAGGTAAAGAAGCAGGGGTCTTGATTTTACACATGAGGAAACAGAAGCCCAGACACAGGGCTAAGTTCACATAGCTACTTGTAAAAACAGGGTTGCAGTTTGATGGCTGATAAATTTTTACTATTTCTTGCTGCTTACAAAGATTATTCCTCCCTTCGTATTAGGCAATAGGCAGTACTCAGTATTATCTACTGTTTATACTGTCATTATTCTCCTTTTATTATTATTTTTAAAATATGACATGATTAGGCACTGGGCAGTCAATAAAATAATATGTGAATATAGTGTCATAAGAGAGTCTCTTTGCTAAGAAGGGCACACAGCACGTCACAAAGTATCCAAAGTGTTAATAAATCACTCGGAAATTTAAATGTTATTTTCTGTTAGATTTTATTGAGGGATTTATCATGATTATAGACAAAGTTCCAACAAGGTCAACATCAACGTTCCAAAGGCATGAGCAGGTAAGCTAAAGAGAGATCAAATAAATTGTTTAAATGGTACAGCACAGGTAGTTCTCACGAATGTCTCTGCAACCAGCCTAACTTCCATTAACATAGTTAGAAACTCTCTGATATGAAGAAAATTATTATAACTTCAGATATTACTCTAAGGAGCTATTGCTGTAGAATAGAAATGAAGAGATGTAGATAAATCTGCTAATGTTCATCTTATTCACATAAAATGTGCATATAGAAACAGAAAACAGAAGCAAGAAATTCAAGGAAATCATGCTCAATAAAGATTTGAGTACAGTTGTAACACTTTCTAAGTTACTAATATAGTATGTTCATATAGGTTCTAATACAGTATGGCTCAGTATGGTTTGATAGTTAATACTTGGAATTAGAAAGTGAGGTGACAAGTATACTGACTAAATGAGCAAAAAATTACCACAATATTCCTGATTGACCAGACTGTTTTTATAGGACAGTATCACCACCACCACCATCACTATGTAGCATCACGACATGTATTGAGTGTTGCCTATATAAAAGGAAGCACTGTGGTTGCCAGAGATGAAAGTGCCGTGGTCTCTGCTCTGTAGCTGCATTTATGGATGGGTGGAGGTGGAAGTAACAATAACATACAGTTACATAAAATAACTACTGTAATTCACCCAACAAACTCTTACAGAGCACTTGCTCTGAGCAAGGCACTATGACAGGCTTGACAAAGGAATCCAAGAAAGAAAGGGAAGTAAGGACTGGAACTAAGGAGAAGAAAACATGCTAACAGTGACTTGCACTTCAAACACAGTTGTTTCTAGTTCTTACCTGAACCAGAAATGATCAATAGTGGCAGGGTGCCAAGATCAATGGCAGCCCAGGGTCAGAATCACTGACATCAATATGATCAGTATTACTCAGTCTCATCAAATTGAGGGATTCTTTTGCAGTGAAGAAAACTGGATAGTGTTGAATAGAATTTCACTAAAAAGGAGACTAATGCTTCAGGATTATTTATTTGAAAATCTATTTAAAAGTTGCATAAATAAAATTTTTGAAATGCTTTTCAATATTTAAAAAATATCTAAAATGTGATTTATTCATCATAGTTATAAGCCAATGGAAGGATCATAGATACATTACACTTATGTACCTGCTACAAAATGAGAACTCATTAGGGGAAGACAGAAATTTTGTGAGACTTGAAACTTACATGATTTGGGATACCCTATTTAAAGAAAGACAAAATTTTGACCTTTTCACATAGACCACAATTTCACAAAGAGAATTTTGTAGAGATAAAGAAGATAATCTACAGTCTGACACAGTTGATAGAATTTTGTTCTTCTTAGTTAAGAAAAGTTTCTTCCATCTTTACAACTGGATTTTGGCAAGGCCATGTAATATTCTCAGACTGTATCAAGTTTGAGAAAACTTGTAATCAAGTTTCTTATGAGCTGTAACATTTCGAAGAAATTTCCACAGACTAGCTTCTGGCTTCATATATTTAAAACGCAGTCGCTCTTCCACTACCCGCGTACTTCAAGTTTCTCATGACATGAGAGATGACCTCTGGCCCTAAAACCTGGTGTTATACTCTCAAGTGAGTCGGCTGTAGGATTATTCCTGGGAGACATTTCCATGATGGAATGGCTACTAATAACATATCCATAGTGACTATAATGTAGACCCAATAGATCTAGTTGGGTTGAGTGAGATATACTGACATCACATGTAGTCACTATACTATAATAACAAGAGACTGCAGATGATATCAATATATCCCACTCAGTCCAACAAGATCTATTTTCCTTTACCTGATTCCTCCAATGGCCACATCACCTCAACACTATAGCTATAAGGTGATATGTGATGGAAGGAGAGTTGGAATACAAATAGTGATAATAACCAATTTGCAATTCTAACAAAAACATATGCCCACATGATCACATTGCTAGTTCTCAACAGTGACCAGAGAATGGGCTTAAGCTTCACTCACTTTAAGACAAACCTGCCTGTGGTTTTCACCAAGGCTTTTTAATTTTTATCATCTTTAATGTGAGGTAGTTATACAGTCACCAGTTAAGTCAGTTAAATAAACTATTACATTCTGTCCCCCTATTACAACAATTCTTTTAAAATTTACATGGGTATGGCTGTATCTATAAAAAGAATCTTCAACATAACATACAAATACTTCTGAAAACACTGTGAGAGCAGAATATCAACATATTAAGGACTGGTTATGCAGTTTATAAAAAAAAAGGTGGGGAAGAATCTTCACAGATTATATAATTTAGAGACAGACATTAATATTCCAGAAGGTGGGCATTTATATATCAATATCAATATTGACAGGATTGTAAAGATTTGCTGATTTTCCATTTTTGTTATCACTTTTTTAAGTCAATGGGACCGATCTCACCATCTTGCTGACATGGCATACTGATACCAGTTTCTGAAAATTCTACTTTTCTAAACTATCAGAAAAGGGCTGTTTATGTTAAGTTCTTTAGCCTTTCTCCTCCTCAAATGGCATAAAGTATCAAACCTAGTTTATATCTTTTGATTGTTCTATGGTGTATCTAGTGAAATAAATCAACTTGTCACAAAAGTAAATAGCAACAGAACGGAAACAGCTCCATTAAATAGTAAAGCACCATTTATAACATTATTCTGACAGCCTTAAGTCCTGGAAAAAAATAAGATCTGGAAGTCGCTGCTGCAAAAGCATCAGAAATACATGTGTTCGTAAGTGCAGATTCAAAATGCTAAACAGAATTCTGATGTAGGGACCCCACAGAATTAGATCAAATGTATCCATCTGTTCGCCTTCATGTAAATAATGCTTAAATGACCAGTGCTGGGACCTCTTGTAGGACAGGCCTTGAGACTTTCATTACATCTGTCACTTCCCCTGTTTACAGCTGCCTCATCAGTAACTCATGGGTTTTTTTTTTTTCCTCAACACTCAGAACAGCATCCCAAGGAAATGGCACCAGGAAAAGAGCTATTCCTTTATTTCTCTTCTCTCTACCAGATTTCGGTCTCAGTAACTAATATTAATCTCAAATATAATACACTCTTCATGGATGCATGGAAACACTTCAATAAAGCACTTTAGTTTCTTGTTTCCACTTCTGGAACTCAGAGGGGGCTATTTCATAAGCAAATGTGAATACCTCCATGCAAATGCCCACACTCTGAGAAGCACCGCCCCTTCCACACTTTCTACCTCTCACATGTGGTACATGGAATGGAGTCACCAAAATGCACAGCGTCCAGCAGGTTTAAACAGTTCTACACTGTTGACACTGCTAACAATATATCTAAGAGGGAAGCAATGCTACAACCTTCATCTCTGGATGGACTAGATTGTTACGGTGGCTGCATTTTACTGAAGGCAAACATGTTTCCCTGAAAATCAAGTTTCATTTGCTGCGCACAAAGTAGCTTTGACCCCACAGGGATGAAGCCGACAGTGGCCAAGTTAGGAAAATCTAATCTACAAAAAATTGCACAATTCATCTCTCTTGGTTCTGCAATTGGCCTAATGCTGCATTTTCTGAAACCTTTCCTGTTTGAGAAAACACACCAGGTCTTAACATCCACAAAAGGTAAAATATGGAATTCCATTGACACAATGAAGTATAGGAAACAGCCAAGCTTTCCCAAGTTTGTGGTTTTTATATTCGCGATAAGAAATATTCACCAAAAGTTTAGCACAGACATATATAGAACGTATTTATCATGTATAAGGTATATATATGAACTTACAAATAAATTTTTATAAGTATATATGAGTAAATATAAGTATATATGAGTAAATATAAGTATATATGAGTAAACATAAGTATATATGAGAAAGAGCAACATACCAATGGTTTCTTTTATTGACAGCACATTTTTTCCTTACTAATACTTTCTAGTGCTAGAGGATCTTCATACTCTCGTGTACAACAAACTCACACTTCTCCTTCAATACCCTCTTGTTTAAGTACATGTATCTATTCAAAGTCTTTGTTGCAACATAGAAAATTAAGTTAAGAAACAATGCATGTACTGGCTATTTAAGACACCCCCAAACACTTTAATCCTGACATTTAAAACTGCATGCACTGTGGACGGAAGTGCAAATATATAAAGACTAATAAACTTCTTGCTCTGAATTATTTGTGCTCACTAAAGGATATTTTGTTCAGTGAAACTAAAACTGTTTTTTTGAAGTTCTTGGTTTTTGTTTGTTTGTTTGGAATGGAGTCTTGCTCTCTCAGCCACGCTAGAGTTCAGTGGTACAATCTTGGCTCACTGCAACTTCTGCCTCCCAGGTTCAAGTGATTCTCCTGCCTCAGCCCCTCCTGATCAGCTGGGATTACAGGCGCACACCAGCACATCTGGCTAATTTTTGTAGTTTTTTTGTAGAGATGAGATTTTACCATGTTGGCCAGGCCGGTTTTGAACTCCTGACCTCAAGTGATCTGCCCACCTTGGCCTCCCAAAATGCTGGGTGGCATGAGCCACCGCACCTGGCCTTGAATACTGTTTTTCACAGGGTACCTCTTATTTGGTGTATCTAATATGCTGCCTATAGACTATATGAATCAGGACCTGTGTGCGGTATAAAGCCAATGGTCTTTGCTAAAGAACATTAAGTAAAAATCTCATTTTACCCAGTGCATTATTTTAGAATATGTCTCATCCTTAAAATCTGAAGCACTCACAGAACAAAAAATTAAATCTGAGAAATAAAATATCCTAACACAGTGCTGAAAAACTTCATAATCTTTCACTTGAACACCAAGCCAAGGTTTATGTGAGACTCCATCCTAGGGCACTTAGTTTCTGCATTAGCAGAAGTATCTCTTTATACGCTGGTTTTATTTCATTAAGATATCATCATCAAAATTCATCTGCCTCATCATTTCTCATGAATGTTTCAGTAGGAACACTGCAAAATAACACAATAGAAAAAGGTAACTGTTTCCACATTATTGTGAGATTTCCTCGCTGATAAATGAGAGAAGTCACAGACATTTAAGACTATTTGACGGTGAAGCCACAGCGCTCCTTCTGCAGTGTTTCTCTAAAACTCTGTCCTTGGTGAAGAAGTGAGAACTCCGAATAGATCTAGCCATGGTTCACAAAAATCAGGTCCTAAGACCAGTGCCTCTTGAGCTTGTTTCTCCCTTCTTGACACAGTTGTCACTTATAAGCATATGTGGATATTTATACTGTAAAACTCATAAATAAGTGAGGAAAATACCTTTTGAAGAAGTGAAAAGCAATGGTTGTGTCTTTCTCGCTGAGAATTCTGATAATTCAACTTTCTGACAGTAGCAATCATGTCAAATGTCAGGGCAGTGAAAGTAATATGGAATCACTCTCCTACGCAGCCAATATGTTCTGTAGATTTCTTGTCCTAACTAAGGCATTATCACTTCACAGTTATCTAGAAAGCAAATCTGTAATCGGCAGATACATTGTTCTTAAAAAAAAAAAAAAAAAGTAGTTTGAAAAAATGCTGCTCTCTTTTATTTCTTAGTATAGTTTCTGCCACCTGGATACTTGCAGACCCCACATGGCCCTACATAGACAGACAGACACACACACACACACACACACACACACACAAACACAGAGGGTCCTGTAGCTAATCCCTAATCTACTCATTACCCTAAACTGCCAGACAGTTAATTGAATTAATAATTTTTTGTATTTGACAGTCAGAGACATGACGGTAGTTATGCTAAGTCGTTTACAGTTTTAACTTAGAGGAAACTAAAATAGAGTTTAGGTTCTTTCTTAATCATCTGCTTAAATTTCCTCCTTGTAATTAAAACTGTAGATCCAACCTGTAATTCGGTGAAAATTTTGAAAGTGACTAATACTCATTACCCAGGAGGCTTATCTAATGTAATGTACATTACAGAGCACAGCACTTATGGGTTTAAAATCACTGGTTCTTTCTGTTCAAAACAACCAGCGCTGAGCTTCATCTTCGACAGTCTTCCCATTCTCAGATTTTTTTCTTTCTTTCCAATAAAACAAACTGTTCTCTTCTTTCTCCACACAGCATGGGCTGAAAAGCAGCCCAATACCGCAGCGTGGGTATACGGAAATGGAATTTCATTAACTACTACAAGTGGTCCACGAGCTAAATTAATTAACCAAAACAGGTAAAATTCCCACTCTCTTCCTTAAATATTGCTAAAGCAGTATTGCTTCAAATAATGAACAGATCCTCCATAGCTGGCAAATGACTCAACAAGCCGAGAAGATCTGATACCTTTTAAGATTGTCTTTTGTATTCTCACTGCATTCCCAGTGCTGCAGGTCAGGTCAAGAACTTCAGGAACTACTGCACTATGGAAACGCAGCATCTGTGGGTCTGGAACTGTGAGTGACTGCTCAGAACATTCTCCGAAGGAAAAGAATTGTGCAAGGGAATACTGTACCAGCTGCCAGCTCATAACTAGCACTGTCTGCTGGGCAGGAGTAACGATGTTTATCCTGAGAGCCAGCATCCAACATCAATGCGCTCACCCTTTTCTACTCCCTATTTCCTTAAAATTGGCACTTCCATATGAATACTAGATGACAGTTATTGACTATATATGTAGGTTAACTATTACTGAAAAGCTATTAACCACCCTCCCTATGAATACGCATTACTCCTTTTTTTCAAAGTGACAATTTCTCCTTCAAAAATTACATTATGTTCTTATTCCCCAAAAGTGGCAGTTTAATTTGTTTTATTTCTGAGACAGGGTCTCACTCTGTCACCCAGGCTGGAGTGCAGTGGCATAGTCTTGGCTCATAGCAACCTCCTGGTTTCAAGCGATCCTCCCACCTCAGCCTCCCCAGTAGCTGGGACCACAAGCACGCACCACCACCACGTCCAGCTAATTTTTGTGTTTTCTGTCGAGAAAGGTTTTGCCATATTGCTCAGGCTGGTCTCAAACTCCTGGAGTCAAGTGATCCACCTACCTCGGTCTCCCAAAGTGCTGGGATTACAGGCGTGAGCCACCATGCCCAGCCAACAGTGGCAATTTTAAATTAAAGAAACTGAATTTTAAAGGATCTTACAAAACATTATCAAACTTCTCTTCCAATTCCAAGTGTATTAAAACGGGTATGTATTCCTAATATTTTTAAAAGTTGTTTCACGATATTTTAATCAATGGAGATGAGTAATAGGGCCAGGTATTAGTTATGTAGAAATGTTATACTCAAATACTATATTATGTAGTAGCACCAGCAGCAACAGTGTTAATATGTACTAATAGAACAGTTTCTATGTGTCACCTATTATTTCTAGTATTTTACATATACTTTTTTCATTTAAATCTCAGAAAAATACTATGAGAGAAGAACTTGCATTTATGTACTTGCTGAAGGTCACACAGATAGGAAGGTGCAAAACCATAATTCTAATTCTGATCCCAGAGTAGTCAAAAAAAAAAAAAAAAACTACATTTTTTTAACCTAATTGTGAATGTATTTTTGGAAGGTTAAATTTTTTAAGTACGTAAATAGCCAGGAGTGAGAAAGTTAACCACATAAATCCCTAGTTTTCAGTATGTAAAATATCACAAAGAGTTTTCATATTATTAGAAAAAGATGGCCAGGAAAGGGTATTGAGCTGTTATTTCACAATGAAAGTTTACAAGTATTGGGTCTATGTGTGAGAATGCAGCAGTTATCAATATTCAAAGATAATTCATAGCTATAGATACTGAGTTGTCTTTTCTCTACTTTGCAGGGTGAAACACTTGAATTCAGAGATTTTATTACCAATACAAAGAGCTACAATGTTAACTCTTGCGTTTCTGGGTGGGTCTTTATCTTCTTAAGTTATCTCCAAGACTGACCACCAGTCCTGGGGAAAATTTCTTTTCAATGATTGCCCTGAGTAGCTTTGACTCTCAATTCCCCTAAAATGTGAGAGACTATTCAGCAATTTACGACAAGTTATCTATTTGATGTTACGTGTCAGAATAAATGGGAAAAAACAGACCCAAGTCTGAAAGAATGAAGGTGTTTACAATGTATCTCTCATTCTTGATATCCAGCCCGGTGAGAATCTCATATTTTAAGTATTTTTTTTTTCCTTTTTAACTGCCAGTGCTTATATCTGGGTATATTAAAAGGCCTCAGAGATTATAACCTATCCAGGCAGGGATTCACATTTTATAACTTATTGTCTATTGTTTAACAGATTTAAAATTTTCTGCACAGTATCTTCAAATCTCCAGAGAAAAGAGGCTATATAAATTCAAAATAAACAAACACTAGACAGTTTATGTGGTAGCATTTTTGATTTCCTGATATGCCTTCCCAACTGGCTCATGAACGTGAATTCATTTAATAAATTAATTTCAGAAAAATAAAACGAATTTATCCCTAGTGAATGTCATTCTTTCCTACTACGCCAACGAAGTGATCCGAAGCTCTGCATCAAACAAAGGCTTATTTCTAGTGGCAAAAAAATGTGTCTCCTCTGACATGATGCTTATCATCTGTGTCTACCCGTTATTTGATGACCCCTTACCATGCTCTCTGTGTGATATTTAATTTGCTAAGACTAAAGAGGCCACAACAACCCTTCATTTTACCAAGAAATCTCAAAGGTAAATAAAATTCTGGAGGCATTTCCTAAAGAAACAAAACAAGTACAAGCTTTTCCTTAGGAACTTCAACAAGAAAAAAACAATTCAAGAATTTAGGGAATATCTGAGAACAAAGCGAAACACTGCTTTCATGAACAATTTAAATGTATTTTAAACTTATTTTGACTTATTCAAAAGCCACAATGCTACGTCTTTAATAGTCGACAAAGTTCTGAGACTGAAATTCTGCCAGTGGTAACTTCTGGGTTCAGAAAAATAGAAAAACATGCCAGAAGGGGAAAAACCTGTGGATATAGGAAAGGGAGACCCTACATTTAAGAATTAAAGTATACTGGAATTCAGCTATATCTGCATTAACTATATGCGTTAGCTAGTTACAGGAAGCCTTAAAAATGGTGTTAAATGCACCATCTGGAATCTTGTAAAATGAACTTTTACCTGATGGTTGGTGGCAATTTATTACTAAACACAAGAGAGATGTGTGAGCTATTTTGGACTCAAATAGGACATTATCCTTGCAACGAGACCAATATTCACTAAGCAACATATCCACTGAGCGGTATAACAGACCACTGAAATTGTTGTAAAGATCCTATAGCATTATGGATTTCAGTCTGTGAACCAAGAGACTTTTTATTCCTTCTGTTACTCTCTCCCCACAACTTCTTTCTTCCAGGAAGCCATCCAGTAATAGTTTTTCCAAAACTATAATCTTTCTTAAATTTTCATACTTTGAGTCTTAAAAACAGTATATTGCCTATTCACAGAGGCCCCAATCCCAGAGGTAGCTGATAGTCTACACGTCACCACAACTTGTGAGAACCCAGTGTTAGGATTTTACTGTTGCAGGGACCAGACACTCATTTTAAAACTGCTTTCTGCTATACCATTTTGTCTCTGTGCATATGTTGAATATGTGTGCCTTAACTGGAATTTAATTTGCATCTATCAAGAATGTTGACCTATGTCTTTCAAATGATCCTTGCATAGTTTCATACAGAAAACCTTCTTCTTCTACCACTGCCACTACAAAAGTTTAGGAATAACGAGAATTCGAGGGTCTCTGTACTCTCAGCAAGTGCCCTGAGGTTGCCTCAGTGCTCCCTGCCATGAGCCAGCAGCTGCCATAACCTTCTGCCACGCGGAAGACCCAGGGACAAGCAGCCCGCAAGCTCTGCTTCCTAGTTTGCCTCCAACTGCATACATAAAGTCGCTGTTGATCCTGACACTCTAATGCCAATAGTAGTTATTGAAAGTGTTCCAATTCAAGAGACAATCTCATTCTCTTAGACCTATTCCACTTTATACTGAAATGCCATGACAGCCGTCTCAAAAAGTTGCCCCAAATGCCTTATCTTAAGTGTCTGGATTATTTATGGAAAGCATCAATCTCAGTGGATACATCTAACAATAACTATGACTATATCTTATTACAATGATGAATATTCCTTATGATATACTACATATAATCATGAATGTATCTCATAATATCTTATGATATATTATGATAACCATGAATTATGCATTTTCCACCTCTCCACATTCAAATAAAAGAGCAGGCGCCAAAATGTAACTTTGTGGAAAGTTTCTAGCAATACTAGAACAGTTAGCTTGTTAATAAAACAGTATAAAGCAAAGGGAGATGAATATTTTGAATTATTCAGCCCTTTATTGCAGTTTCTAATAATGTAGTGCTCTGACTGAAACGTTTATTTCTGAAGTTATTCTTTTTCTGTAATTTTTTAAACCAGCATGAGTGCGCACACGTAAATTTGTACTGTCCTGGGTGGAGGATGAAGAAAAATGCATTTTCCTACCCCTGGCTGCAGGAAGTCAATAAAGCATGCAGACGTCAGGGATAAAATGACTATGATCCAAGCTGATTTTAACACACTAAGAATATTTTCCCCCAATTCTGTTCTTTGGGCAAAATACAGCAACTACATCAGTTCTGATGAGACAAGAAGTAATAGTATTTTTTTGCTACAAAGTATATATATATATAATTATTTATGTTCACATATATGAATACATGTTCATAAGGTCTTTATAAAATCTCAATATCTTTAGTGTAATAGACATGTTTCTCTAAGTTTCTCTTGGTTACTTCAACAAAAAATAAAATAAAATGTAAAATACAACTGGGTGGGAAGTTCCCATTTTTGGGCATGGTTCTATCCAAATACAAGAAGATTCAGACATGTCATAAAATATCTCCTAAAGATATTTCTATACTGATTCCCATTTTGTCCTTTCTCTGTTTCTCTCACCCCTACATATGTATGTCCATGGGGTATTATTCAATTAAAAGAAGACATGACAAAATAATAACATGTATCTGCTTATATGAATTTAACATTGTTATAGGTCTATTCACAAATATCTTGATTTCTTGGAGCACTGAATCTATCTACAAAAACCCACGGGGAAGGGTTCTATACAAGTACTTTTCACTATAATTCGTTCTAGGGACACTTTGTAAGTAAGAGCTTGAAAAACATTTTCAGAGAGTTTCAAGACCTTGCTTCTTGCCATACAAAACATGGGAAAAGCAGGCTCTGAAAAAGTATAAAGAGGGATGGATCTATGAGTTTTGATTTTTTTTTTTCCCTAAGCATTACAAGTTCCCAGGCTATGGGTATATTTAAGAGAATTCTCTGTGGGTAGTCAGAAACAAGGCAATGCTAACCCTGCTAAAAGTTTTAATATGGCTGGAAGTTGCAGCCCACAGCAAATGATAGAGAAAAATGAATGGCCAAGGATTTCAATACTAAAAATGAAGGGAGAATGTCATCATTGTTGCCCAGAATCAGTCTCCAAATATGAATGATTAACTAGGGACAGGGTCCAATGCGTCACAATGGGACATATCAAAAGCCATTATACAGGGACAGCTGATGACAACAGTGCTCAGAGTGGGGAAAATGAAATTGCTGACTTCACATTAGTTATAGGGGAAAAACAACAACAGTAACAAAAACCAAAAAAAAACCTGATTTTCTGAAAATAATGCACACTCAAAAAATTGCACCAAATTTAAAAGCACACCAAGATCAGTATGAACCAGAAAGGCCAAAGGAAAGTGAATACATTATATAAGACAAGGCTTACAAATGAGACCATTTTTTATACCATTAGAGAAAGGCCAACAAGAAACTTTCAGCACAACACAAATATATACCAAAAGGAAGGAAGGTTGTATAAGGCTCTATATTTGTAGGTGAATTTTCTTGGCCACATAAAATTTTTAAAATATCATTAAAAATGAGTAAAATTCATACACATCCAATATAGTTCAGATATTCCTTAAAGTTGACTGATTTCTCCTACCCAAAAGTTAATAGCATATTACAGTAATCATACAGAGTATAGGGGACAAAACAAGACGTTAGACATCATGTTCATAGGAATTCAAAAAGTACTTTTATTTGACCACTGAAAAATGTCAAGTGAAACATATTTGGCCCTTGATGAGAGCAGAAACCTTGTTAATCACTGGCAATAGGTGCTCTATTTATATAGCACAGTATCTAAACAAAAAAATAGGTATTTTTAAGTTTAGATTTCCTTTAAATATAGCAAACTTTGTAGGAAGAAGCTTAATTGAGTTATAAGTACTATAATACAGGTATTCCAGATGTAATTCCTATAGTTGAAGAAAGTATAAAAGATGTCTCTTAATATTTGCATTAAATAATTGTGTTTCTGGCAGTGCTCAGTAACACATCACATGAGTAAATGAAGGTCACCGATTCCTTCTCCTGTGTTCTGTTTGTAGAAAGCAAATCCTAAGTCCATGTCACACTCAAAGGGAGGGGATTTCACAAAGGTGTGAATGCCAGGAGGTGAGGATCAAAGGGGAGAGAGAGGGGGAGGCACCTTAAAAGCTGCCAACCACAATAGGTAAACTGAAAACTCAGAAAATTCTGTCAATTAACTTATTCTTTTTTTTTGAAAATTGGGGAAAGACAATTGTTCAATTATATGTTCCACTAAAACATAATGTTGAGGCTACAGCACTAATGGAGCTCGATGGTTCTTTCCAATACTAATGGACTGAGTATCGATGAGTCTACGGCATACACTACACAAAAATATATGTCAGAACGTAACATAATGAATATCTTAAGAAAGGCTTCATAAAGTGCAGGAGTTCTCTCTTAAAGAAAGAAATAGCATGTATCATCAAGAGTCAAGGAAGAAGGTTTTGACAGGTAGATTTTAGAGTAAAGAGAATTCCATGTCAAAGAGATAGCATGAACCAAGAAAAATAGCAAGTAGGAAAATATACAATTCTTCTAAGAAATGGAAAACTGTCTTGGTTTTAGAATATCGGATATGTTGGGTAGAAGAATGGAAAATGAAGTAGAAATGGAAGATTGGGTTAGATCAGAAAGGACCATGAATGCAATCCAAAGAGACTGTACTATGTTAGAAAAAGAGGAAATTTTCTGATTAAAGGAGGAATATCTTCAGTGCTATAATTCAGAAATCAAAGCCTGACAGCCATAAAAGGAACTCAGAACTTGACAGCAGAGGAAGATTGAGCAGTTTGGCAGCTAGGTGGTCTGACAGAGGATTGCAGCTTTGGGATAAAAAGGAGAGGCCTCTCCACAGCACTGGTGTTTTGCAGACCTCGCTCTTGGGCCATGTTCTCTACTCGCTTCGTATTTTAGCTCAAATCACTCTCCTGACCATTTTCAATATATCTCTACACAAATGATTAACAGGTACAACAAACTTAGCATGTCCCCCAATTTACTCATCATTAAACCTGTCCTCCTGTCAAGCCTGCTCTCCTCTCATATTCCTTCTCCTTGTTAGCACGATTGTTGATTCCGTGCCCCAAGAAAGAGGCTGGACAGTCTAGACCCTCCCTCTCCCTCACCTTTCAATCAGCGTGGTCATCGTCACTGCTGACTCTACCTCCTGCCTTCCATTTCCAATACCGCTGACTTACTTCAGTTCCTCAGGAAGTCTTGCTACCACAACACAAAGACAACTGAATAACCTAGGGGCACCCTCCCCCTCAATCAATGCCTTGGTCCTGAAGAAGATGCTGGAAGAATGACGATGATCAAAGGGAAGAGTTCCGAAGACCCCACAATGACTGATGTTAGATTTTTCCACCAGGCTGGTAGAATTGTGGCCTGAGAGTCGATAATTATGTTATTATGACTAATTATGCTATTATAGGATAATTATGTCAATAATTATGTTAAATAGTAGAAAATAAAGAAAGTGATATTTCTCAAACACATGAGATTATGTTCTGATGTTTATCCACAGTAAGCACAAGGATCTCTCCAGGGATTGCTAAAAATCCTTGAACACGCCTAAGTGTAACAAAGAGAGATGTCAATCCTTAGAACTGCACCCAATATGCTTTGTGACAGTGATGGTGATTCTGTTGGACAGCTTGTCTACAGAGATGGGGGTTCATGAATCATTCCTGAAATATCAGGGTCTTGATGAAAATGAGTTTTGCCTTTAAATTCCATAAGCAGATAAAGAGTGTCTGCTACGAGGGAGAGGGAGGCAGCCTCATTGGATTTGGCTAACAAGTTTAATCTTTGCGAGATTTCTAAGAGAAAACCTAGAAGATGGAAAGGCAGTGAAAAATATTTTATTTATTTGTGTGTGTGGTTTTTTTTGGAGACAGAGTCTCGCTCTCTCGCCCAGGCTGGAGTGCAGTGGCGCGATCGCGGCTCACTGTAACTTCTGCCTCCCAGGTTCAAGTGATTCTCCTGCCTCAGCCTCCTGAGTAGCTAGGATTACAGGCACCCGCCGCCACGCCTGGCTAATTTTTGTATTTTAATAGAGATGGGGTTTTACTTTGTTGCCCACGCTGGTCTTGAACTCCTGAGCTCAGGCAATCTGCCTGCCTCGGCCTCCCAAACTGCTAAAATTACAGGCGTGAGCCACCGCGCCCAGCCGATGAAAGATATTTTAAAGATCTCCACCTCAGAATCCACACTTATTTTAAAAAGCAAATCAAGACCAAACAAAAACAACCCTATAGAACTCTTCCTGCAAAGGGATGGGTTCTGCCCAAGGAACGTGAGGATCAGAAAATATAGATCTGACCTGTTTTGAACAGGTTTCAGCAGGTGCAAATTGTGTATCACTCTCTGCTTAAGAGATTGTCAGACTGAGTCCCACACCCATAGAAAATTCTCCTGAAAGTGGAATTCAGGGCTGGCAGGAAATGATAAAGGCGGGGAAAGTGGGCGTTTGCTGTTCACCTCTGAGGAGCCAGGGAAGCCAGGCACAAGTTGGGTGATGCCTGCACCGCCAGCTCTGATCTGGAGATAAAGAAGACGAGACCTGGCACAGCAGTTCAAAGCTTGCTGTAATGTTTTTAGAATGCCAGCAGCAAAGTGACTCCAAAAGGACAAATGGGCAATGGCCCTCAATCTATGATTCTGCCACCGAAGTGTGGACTGGGGTCATGCAAAGATTGTTATTTCCATAAAAAAAGCAGAGAGCGCTCTGGCCACTTTGACAAGAGAAAAAATTTCTTACACTTTCCCATGACCATAAGGAAGTGCAATCAATCTTCTTCAGGCTTTGCTTGCAGGGAAGATGAATGTTTGTTGTGCCTAGATGGCACCCACAAAGAAGCCCACATCCAGCAAGGAGAAAGACAAAGAATGCTGGGAGAGGCAACGCTGAGGCCACTTCTGGGGGCTCAAAACATGGAGCATTTTCCTCTCACATCCAAGATAGCCAAAACCCAGAGAGGGGAGAGAAAGGGGCAAAAACATCCTTTTGGAGACAAACCCCAAGTAAGAAGGTAGGTGGGGATGATAGCCACCCTTCTACTCCTACCCCTAAATGTGAACAAATGTCACAAATGCCCAAATCCCAGCTTGAGTGCCCAGACTAAGGGCAAGGCAGCTACTATGAGAAAGGAGAGAACACAGCTGGAGACACTGGGCAGCCTGTTCCCTCCACCAAATTATATAATGTCCATCACCTTCTGCCAAGGACCAATGCTCACCTTCCAAAAACTACACGATGATTAAAGATGGTGGCTGAGCAGGAAGATCGCTTGAGCTCAGGAGCTCAAGACCAACCAGGGCAACATGGCAAAACCCCATCTCTACAAAAATTACCAAAAAAAAATTAGCTAGGCATGGTGGCATGCACCTGTAGTCCAAGCTTGGAACAGGAGAACTTAACTAACATATTAAGTACAAATTGTGCAAGAACTTTCACACACGTCGTCTCATTTCATCCCCACCAGGGTCCTCTGAAAGAGGCATTATTTTTCCTATTTACTAGTGAGGAAATAGAAGCTTAGAGAGATTCAGGGATTTAGTCAAAATGTCATAATCCTTGAAAATATAGACTGTCTTTTTTCATTTACATACTTGCATACATGTTTATACTTGTATACACAGACTCTGACTCAATAAATGGGCCAAATGGAAGAACTGGGATCTGGCAGAGACAGTGTCTTTCTCATTTAGTACTGTATAGCTGGAAAGGAAGGAAGGAAGGAAGGAAGGAAGGAAGGAAGGAAGGAAGGAAGGAAGGAAGGAAGGAAGGAAGGCCGGCCCCCCCACCCACCCACTCACCCACCCTGGGTCAAAAGGTCAAACATGCACTTGACCTCTCAAGTCGCCCATTTGGCCCTCTTCCAAGTGTACTTTACTTGGTTTCATTCCTGCTCTAAAGCTTTTTAATAAACGTTCACTGCTTCTCTAAAACACATACAAACACAAACACATACATAGCATAATATGGCTCTACAGAGACACAGAAAAAGTATTATTGGATTCTTCAGGTGGCCTAATGGAAGGAAGGAAGGAAGGAAGGAAGGAAGGAGGGAGGGAAGGAAGGAAGTTAGTTTGTACTTCAAGCCTCATTCTCTTTCTAGTTTGGAGAATTACTGTTATAGTAGGTAGCTAGTCAGGCATGAACAGGGCAGGAGAGGGCTCCCCCAACCCCACCAGGAATGTCAGGAGACCATCAGGTGATGGTCACGCAATTGTTACACTGTCTGTCTAAAATAATACTTGGTCACAGCTGGTACCAGGAAAAGGCAGTCTCCCAGTAGAAAAAAAAAAACAGAAGCTGGTGATAAGCAGCTTCCCGATAAGATCTCTGCAGTTAGGTGAGTGTGCTCAAGCATGCCTATTAAGAGGCAAAATGGAGAAGTTTAACTGGTGTATGACCTTCTAGGGACATTCTGCTGGTAAGGGGAGAATGCCTCAAGTGAGCATGCGTAGAACTCCAGTGAACACACTGCTCCCCTCCCAAGTGCTGGCAGGCCACTGTGCATGCGGACAGTCCACCTCAAGGGAAGAACCAGGGAAAAAGTAACGCAAGACCCGGGAAGTATATGCCAACATATAAAAGCCCAAGTCAAAAGGTCAAACATGCACTTGACCTCTCAAGTTGCCCGTTTGGCCCTCTTCCAAGTGTACTTTACTTTGTTTCATTCCTGCTCTAAAGCTTTTTAATAAATGTTCACTGCCGCTCTAAAACTTGCCTCTGTCTCTCCTTCTGCCTCATCTCACTCAGGCAAATTCTTTCTTCTGAGGAGGCAAGAATCGAGGTTGCTGCAGACCCATTTGGATTTGCCGCCACTAAGATACTTTGTGGTACCACGTGACTTGGATAACACTACTAGACTGATGTCCTATCAACTTGGTATTCACAACATCTAGCACATTACCTGGCACTCAGAAGCGCTCAACAAATGCAGACTGACTATGGTCACCTGCTGAAATTTAAAAAAAGTACACAAAAAACTTCCCAGCACACCCATAGACTCCCAGTGGCAAAGTAAATATAAGTTGATGATCAGGTCAACAACTAAATCTGAGAAGCTGAAACGTCTACCTATGGAAAATTGAGCATTGAGTGTATATGGACAGTGCCCTGACAGAAACTCACAAACACATACACAGCACACTATGGCTCTACAGAGACACAGAAAAGTATTATTGGATTCTTCAGGTGGCCTAATCCCATACCATTTTGTACCTTAAAAGTAAAGGTCAGAGCAGTGAACTGAATCAGCAATGAATGTGAAAAGCAATGCTGTTAATATCCAGAGACACTGAATTCATACATCCCTCCTCCAAAAGGGCTGGGATTTTTCAAATAGAAACTGCAGAGAGCAGTAGAATTATGATATCCTTGTAGATAGGATGTTCTACTTCACAAACATGGCCATATTCTTATTTTCTTCTTCCTTGGGGAGCCTCCATCTCAAGATAACTTTTAAATAGAAACAACCGGCTTTTCAGCAGAGCCTGATTATCAATTTGCACCTCTTGCAAAGGAAGGCCTAGAATTCTATTGTTTTGTTAATTGTCAATTTGCATCTTTGAAAGGTGTTGCATTTTCTCTTCTTTCTAGCAGGTTAAGACTAATTCTGTATGTTAATAAATATTATAAACACTTTTCACGAAAAATGCTGTTTGCTGAGAAGTAAGCTATTATTGTTATTCTCCATTTCCCTCTACTTAATTACACATTACATTTTAAAGTTGATCTTATCAAAACTAGTTACGCTCTTATTTAAAATGTTTTTTCTTCAGAAAAAAAAACTTTTGCTTTTTAAATCAACATTTAGACAAAATGTTTTTAAGGTACCCATTTTTAATAGACATGAAAAGGATACAAATTAATTAAGGCAAAGTTTCACAAGGACACCTGTGATTTTTAGCTTGGGTAGCTTATTTGGAAATATTTCTTCCTTTGCTTTCTTGTGGTACATATATACTATAAAAATATGAAAAGTAAAAACAAAAATCCATTTTACAAAGTAACAGGAAAACTGGAGATGCAAACTGTAAAAACCGTGATAGGAAAAGAGACACACATTACATAAAGATTTCCTTTACACTAGGTTTACAAGTAGTAACTTGGAAAACTACAAGTTCTTAACATGCCCTATCAGTACTAGTTCCAGTAGTTGATTCAGAATGATAAGATCTTTTGATATGCTTGCCAAAGCAGGTATTTTTAATCTACTGCAACACTTTCCCTACCTGATTGCTAAATATAAAATACTAAGTCAAATATTATAAGGTAACTCTCGAACTTTTCAGCTTGGAGAGGTGGTATTTAAAAAGATCAAGTGACACTTCCCATCATATCTGCGTGAGGATGTTTAAAGGCCACTTATATTGCTAAAAAAATGGATTTACATGTCGTAAATAGTTTTAATTTACTAAATGTATTTATAGCCTACCTTTTGGCCTAAAAGGATTTAAGAGTGGTAATCTCTACTTGTGTCACTTTGGTTTCTCAGGTGCAAAATCACGGATAAACAATATCTATCAATAACAAAGATCGTACATTTAAAATGTCTGTAAAGTGCTTTCTAAAATATGAATGTTACATGTGTTATGTATTACGGTTTCTGGGTTTGCTCCTAAACCATGTCATTATTCCAAGAAGAAGCCCCAACTTTGTGATATACCTTTACATTATAAATATTTAAAAGCTTTCCTGAAAGTATTAACACTTTGAAAGAACATTTTTTTAACATTTAAATCAACTCCCCAAACTCAGCCTATCCCTGTCCCCAGGATATTTGTGTAATATATACACATTTTATACATGAGCCCATCCTATAATGTCTCTTACTGCCATTCCACATTCTTTTGGATGAAACCTACAAAATCTAACTTTGTAAATCTATTTCCATGGAAAAACAAGAAAAAATAATTACTGGCAGAAAAAGTGGGTGCAGAGAAATGGTGACGTGATAGAGAGTGCAATTTTAACATTAAAAGAAGTGAATTCCATTTGCAAATAACTCAGTATGGTCAAGTCATATGACAGGGAAACAGACAAAACTCATTAATAGCATAAATGGTTGAAATATCTGACCTTCATTGAAGGATTTTCAGTGTTTTCAATTTTTTTGTTTCTTTTTTTTTTTAACTCTAAAAAGTATACTTCCATATTTTAAAATGATTCTGAGACTACAGACTCCATTAATGTATTTCAGGAACTACTTTTCGGACATGTCAAGCTTAGAACACAATAACCCAAAATATGGGACCTTGACAATTGAGAAAACTACAGAGCAAGAAGGTCACTTCTGCCTTTCTCCTAGGAAGCATGGTCATAAAAAAATTCCAACCTATCTCACCTGAAAGTTCATAAGACCCTCATTCCAGACGGTCCTGCCCCATGGGGGGCCAGGAGGTAGAGGTGGGGAATATCATACAGAGACACAGGAAAAATCTGAACAAACAGGACTTGCTGTAGTACGCCCCACCCAGTTTATTACTCTAAAATCATACTTCTATTGTCCAATCATGTTTTTCCATGATTATCCATGTAATTCATCAGACTTAGCATAAAAATATAGTTTTTCCTGGGCCTTTTGAGCCATCATTTCTGAAGGTTCATTAAATAAATTTGTTATGTTTTTCTTTCATTAATCTTTCTTTCATTATAGGGGTGTCAGGTATGACTCTTGCAATGGCTGAGTTAAATATATTATTTTTTGTCCCCTGCAAACACTATGTACCAAGTTTGTTGAACTAATTTTGGGGATTGTGGGATATATGAGGAATAGGATTGAACATTATATTACACAAATTAATTTCCAGTTTTAACTAAAACCTGATGTCTCTGGGCAAAATAAATACAATTTAGTCATTATGACCTGAGACTAATTTTAATCATTTTATGTAAATTGATGGGAATTATCTTCAGGTCAAGCTGCTAGTAGAAATGCTGAAGATCAACATTCATGTTTATTGAATTCTTGACACCACTTAGTTCTATTTAAAAGCTGAAAAGGTTCCCATCAGACATCTGGCCAGTCATAGTATCCCCAGAATCAGTGGCTTCCTTCAGTCATGAAGTGTCTATTTGCCTCCTTTTTAAAAAGCATAAAGCTGTGATTAGAAGTATAATGTCTGTGAGGTTCTTGTAAAATATATATTTTTAGAAAAACATGCTTCATCCTAGGCAAATATTTAATAGAGTATCAAGGTCATAAACTATTTAAAAATCAAACAAGAGTTTTATGAAATTCCCTTTAAAAGAAGTGATTTTAAAAATTCTACATAAATTAAACCCAAAGAAATTGGTAGTTGAGAAATTAAGGCCTTTGGTTTACTTAATGAACAGAATAAAACATAACTTCTTTTCAACTAACATTGAGACCACAACTATTTATTTTTCTGCTCCCACTGATGACAAATATGTGGGAAATGGATTTAAATCTCAATGTAAAGTAATATGTGCAGAAAATTTCTGAGCTTTCTGCAGTTTTAATCTAAACTTTTTTTGTATTTAAGCTTTGTGATCACCTAGCTCCCCTCTCAAAAACACTCCAAGAGTTTCCCATAATATTTGTAGTAAAGTTCAAAACTCTTTTTTTGGCCTAGCAGGTCCTAAATAATCCGATTCTTTGCCCACTGGTATCATTGCAATCCCTCCAATTGCAGTGAGGTCCTACATCAAGCTTTTGAATTAGCAACCTGCCATTTCTTCACCTTTACCTGCTCTACTTTATACCATTTATTTATTCATTTGTTTACTCACTTCTGTATCACCAATCAAGTGTAAACAAGGGCATGGACTGTGCTGTCAGGATCACGTTTACAGCCCCAATTCCTAGAACAGTGCTTGGCACATAGTAGTTGCTCAGTAAATACCTCGAATGAATGAATACTCTTTATCTACAATTAGCAGGTCATAAAATGCATAAATCTGTTGGAATTCAGAAAGACATTTAATTTATGTGGCACTTATTTTTTTGAAGTAAATATTATTTTAATTATCATCAAATAAATTGCTTTTAAAACTATTATCAAATTTAGAGAAACTCTCCAAACTCATGAAGCAACTCCGTGACTTACAGGTCTGTCATTTTAAAGACCTGCAACCTTCTTAAAGGTCACTGCTTGCACGCTTATTGTATTCCAGTGCTTTTCTGTACTACTTTTTCCTTCAAATACTTCCAGCGGTTCTGCTTTTTGGCATATCATTTCAATTCTTCAAAAATTGACTTTGGCATTTTTCTCTATTTTTGTCAGCCCCGGTTGTATGCTTTTTTCTTTTAAATAACCTTCTGCTTCATACATACAATATGGTGCAGACGCTATACAAGGTTCCTGAGGCAAAGGGTGTGAGCACAAGAAGTTACATGCTCACTGGGCTTTCTTACTACTTTGAAGTGTGTATTTGCTGCCCCTTCTGCCTTGAAGGGTCCCAGATCCTCTAACAAACCTCTACTTAAATGATCTAGCTCAAATATCACCGCCTCTGTGAATGTCTCTGATTTCTTCAAAGCAGAAGTTGCTGCTTCTGGTTCACACCTGTAACCCCAGCACTTTGGGAGGCCAAGGCGAGAGGATAGCTTGAGGCCAGGAGTTCAAGACTAACCTGGGCAACAGAGTGAGACCCCATCTCTATAAAAAAATAAAAATTAAAAGCTGGGTATGATGACATGTGCCTGTATTCCCAGCTACTCAGAAGGCTGAGGTGGAAGGATCACTTGAGCCTAGCAGATCAAAGTTACAGTGAGCTATGATCATACCCCTGCACTCCAGCCAGGGCAACAGAGTGAGAATGTATCCAAAAAAAATACAAAAAAAAGTTGCTGCTTCTTCCTCAGTGTTCTGGCAGGACTTTGTTCAAGGTCTTGGTCTTGATGATGAACTGATCACTCGTGCTCCTTGTTTCCCCATTGGACTACTTTGTGCGTATTTCCACTGTATAACACTTTATTGCACTTATTTGTGCTTCAGGGTTTAGCCCTCGTATTCATATTCATACGCTCTCTTTCTTTCCATTTTTGTCCACACTCACTTCCTTACTCATGAACCCCAATTTATATTTATTTTTAGCCCACGCTTCTGTTCAATATTTCTAGCTGGATATTTAATAGGAATGGCAAACTTACTGTTTTTAAAGCTTATCTATTCTTTACCCTCAAACCTTTTCTCCAAATCTTTATAAATAAAAATGCCCACTTTTCAGTTACTCAGGCCAAAATCCTCAAATCATCTTTGATTCTTCTCCTTCTCACACACTCAGTCTTCATCTTGATCAAAAAATCCAGTTGATGGAATCTTTAAATGCACTAAGTCATGGTTTTGACCACTTCTAACCACATGTACTGCCACCATGCTGATCTAATCCACCATGATCTCGTCTGGCTTATTGTAATAGCCTCCCACCTTGCCTCCCTGTTTCCATTCCTTGACCAAAACCTGTGTCTTCTCCCAACTGCAGCCAGAGTGATCCTTTTAAATGATAACAGTTCTTGCGATAGTTTGCTGAGAATGATGGTTTCCAGCTTCATCCATGTCCCTACAAAGGACATGAACTCATCATTTTTTATGGCTGCATAGTACTCCATGGTGTATATGTGCCACACAGGAAGGGGAACATCACACATCAGAGCCTGTTGTGGAGTAGGGGGAGGGGGGAGGGATAGCATTAAGAGATATACCTAATGTTAAATGACGAGTTAATGGGTGCAGCACACCAATATGGCACATGTATACATATGTAACTAACCTGCACGTTATGCACATGTACCCTAAAACTTAAAGTATAATAAAAATAAAAATTAAAAAATAAAAAAAAAACTAGGCTGCTTATACATAAAAAAAAATTATAACAGTTCTCTCTGCTCAAAACCCTATCAACGCTTCCCATCTCATTCAGAGTCAAGGAAAAAGTCCTTACAATGCCCTATGCGGCCTAAATAATCTGGCCTCCAATTACCTTCTGACCATATGTCCTTCTATTCACTCCTTCATGCATTCTGCTCCAGGCACATGGACCTCCTTGCACTTCCTTGAACTGCGATTTGCATTCCTTGTTTTACTCTGTCCACTACCTGCCATCCACCATGAAGGCAGGGATGTCTCTTTGCTTTGTTCCTCATTATATCCTTGGTACACAGAATTGTGCCTAGAACCTAGTTGGCAGAGAGCACATATTTGTTGTTGGATACTGCATGGCTCTAAACTGTTTACCTTGATTATTAATGCATCTGCAATGTTAAGCACAGTTCCAGCTATATAATAAATATTCAACAAATATTAATGGATGAGTTAATGGATTAATTAATGAGTTAATGAAATACTTTAGCAAGGAACAAAGTCTTAACATAAAGAAACTTCCCTGAAATCAAATCATATGACAGCTCATTTACTCTACCTCTAGTATTTCTCTTCCCTCTTCACCTCTGCAAAAACTTTTTCAATCTTTCTTTTATTTTAACTCATCATCTGTGCTCTTACTAACTAGGTCTAGATAAGTTACACTGCATTTCTAGCTGTCTGTAAAAAATAGCTACAAAATAGCTGAATTTGGGTAAGAATGTTTTTTCTATTTTTTCTTCCTATGCACATATATTAAACTTTAAAACTTTTATACAATTAACATATCTTACTTGTACTTTAGTAAAAAGAAAAAAGTTAAAGAGATTAAGAGATTAAAAAACAAAAAGGGAAAAAATACAGAAACTTCATTCAATGCCTTGAATGTTAGTATTTTAAGAAAACATGAGTTAAGCATATTTGTAAGGTTTTTTGTGCATCATAATTTATATTATTATGTAAAAAATAGATGTAAAGACATCTCTTCTTCAAAGTTTCAAATTAATACATGTGTAATTATGGCCAACTTAATTCCTTCCAATCCCTTACTGGCTTATGACTCTCATTACCAGAATCAAGAGTAAGAAAAAAAAATCAAAATAAAATAAAATATGAAAGTTTCTTTTTAAATAGTTATCATCCAGCAAATCATTTAGAAATCTTTACTAATTTCCTCTAGTTTCAAATATAAAGGGAAAGTAGTTCAGATAAAAACCATCCTTGTTGTAACTTTCTAGCACGTGGTCCTCTTTATTCTGAAGGCCTTAGGCTCAAATGAAAGTTACAACTTTAAGTCCCACACAGAAATCTTGAAAGTGCCAAATATCTGTTCAACTAACTCAGGCTTCAGAAAACGGAGGCGTGTGACTCTTTTTTGAACCTTCCTTCAAAGCTAAGGCCTTCAGCCACGGGCTTCTCTTTCACATCACTTGGGGCCACTGGTGATCAGACAACTGTGAAGCTACCTCAAAAGCTCTGTAGCCTCTGCAGGCACAGCCATGCCAGGGACAGTCACCTGTGTCACTTGTAGTATTCTCTTCATTGGTAATTACAGAATAAAAATCACTGGAGTCTTAACACATCAGGAACATGCCAGGAAGAAGTATCTCAAGATGATTTTCAAGTGGCTGGTTTAATCTTTAGCTATATCTTTAGAGAAAGCAGGTGGGTGGGGTTGAGGGGAAGGGGAGTAGAAGGGTGGAGGGTCTATCGTGACACCCAGTCACACTTTCTACCACCAAGGGACCAAAGGAGTTCACCACCTTTGGCCCTCATCTGAAGCCCTACCTAAATGAAATGCATACCATCATTTGCCTCTTTCTGACATTCAGCAACAGACTTGATATTGGCACAAGTTATCTGAATGATCTGCCATGACAGCACTTTTTCAAAGATTGCCGATTTCCCATGTACTAGGCAAAATTTTCAGTACTTTCAACTCACTCATCAGAAGTGATTGGAATTCTCTCTCTGGGCCTCTAACTTTTGGGTGTGAAGGAAGGAAGGAAGGAAGAAGAAAATCCGCAGAACTACAAACTAGTGTGCAGAATTTCACAAGCTTCACCATCTCTTAGCATGTACATAGGAATAATGAAATAGGACTGTGCCAACTATATTTAAATTCCACATGTCGTTTCAAAATGTATTTAGAGAGAAATTAAATTTTTTTAAGTTAAAAAATAGAGGCTTCCTTTAAAAAGCATTCCTTATTAGGTAGGATAGTCTTTATTTTATTTTATTTTTTCTTAAGGCAAAATAGGGTTTCCATTTGTACAAACCCCTTCTAGTGTGAGCAAGAAGCTGGTGGTAGCACAAGATAATTTGGTCCTGAAGCAGGATTGAAAAAAACTGGAAAGCTTTTTGTAGGTTTTAGCTTTTTAAATGATGGTAACCCTTTACCCAGGGGTCAGAATCTCATAATCTCTAATTCTAGGCAACCAGGGAGCAACTAAACTGTTGAAAATGTCCAAGATGAAGCCATTTCCTTAAATCATACAACCTCAATGTGTCATGGAGGAACTCTGATAATGAGATAAAGAAAGAGCTGAGATCTTTTATTTTAGGTTCAAGACAATTGACAATTGTGTTTAACAATGAGCACTGACTATAAAATATGCTCTAAGTATTATTTTAAGAAAGCAATTTTTAACACATTTAAGAAACTATTCCATCAGAATGTCTTGCATTGGATGAAAAGATTCAGTTATCTGAAATATTACTTACTTTGAAGACTTGCAATTTTTTGAACATAACAAATGTCATCTGTGTAAAGCAAATTTGAACTTTGACTAAGTACATTTGTCTAAAATAAAATGGTATAATTATTATCCTAGTAACAGGAAAGTTTTCTATACCCTTGTCAACACTGCCAGGATATATAAACTTGAATATTAATCTTAAGACAGTCTTGGTCTAGTCATTTAAGATTTTCGTTTCTATTCCTTAATAGTCTGGCCCCTAAGTGTCTTCACTTAACTAATATCAGAAAAATACTGAGGCATTCTTTCCACTGTTGCTGGGACTTCACCACTTCCAAAATCTCAACTCCCATAGTTTCCTTCTCACACAATCTCCATCTCAAAGAGCTATCTGTGATATTCTCTTTGTTAATGCTGACAACAGCTCCACCTTCACTCCACCAAGTCATTCAGGCCGTTACACCTTCGTTTCCCTTCCATCTATCAGCCACCTCTTGGCTTCACTTCTTTGTCATAATTCATCACTTAACCTACACTCTTTGTTAACACTCTCAATGCTTTACTCCTTTCTCTTTTCATTCAATATAATCTGAAAAATCAAAAGAAGAGATCCCTCCAATATTCGCTCTTCCCTTATTCAAAATATTAGGAATATAAATATTTCAGGCTGGGTGTTGGTGGCTCACGCCTGTAATCCCGGCACTTTGGGAGGCTGAGGTGGGCGGATCACCTGAGGTCAGGAGTTCAAGACCAGCCTGTTCAACATGGTGAAACCCCATCTCTACTAAAAATACAAAAATTAGCTGGGCATGGGCACCCAGCTGTAATCCCAGCTACTCAGGAGGCTGAGGCATGAGAATCGCTTGAAACCGGGAGGCAGAGATTGCAGTGAACCGAGATCATACCATTGCACTCCAGCCTGGGCGACAGAGCAAGACTCTGTCTCAAAAATAATAATAAAATAAAATAAAACAAATATTTCACAGCCTTCTCTTGAGCTAGATGCACCCATGCAGTCAAGTTTCAAGGATGTAAGCAAAAGCAGTGTGTGTGATTTCTGGGACAGTTGGGTAGGATGCATGCCTTTCCTGTCCTCTTAATTTTTCCTGATATATTAAGTGTAGAGAAACGGCTGGAGGATTTGCTCATGAGGTAGGCTGAGAGACGGTACATCTATGACATAGATGAGCCTGTGTTCTTGAAATCATGGCGAGCTATGTTTGTTCTAGACTGTCTGTCTCAGGATCTTTTGAACAGAGAGACATGCTTTTATCTTGTTTAAGCCTTTGTTATTCTGGCTTATCCTATTATTAGTTGAATCTAAGCCTAACTAATTATGCTGACCATCTGCCTTCTTTACAATTATATATTTAAATGCCACAGTTTCCTCTTCTGTAAAATGAAAATAATAATGGTACCCAACTTATGAACTTGTGGTGAAGATCAATGATTTGATAGTCCCTAGTACATAACAAACATTAAAAATGTTGGTTATCATTAGCATTACCCAGATACAACCCAGTGATGCTGGGGAAAACTGCAAAACCATTAGGATTGGTAATACTGAGCCTTCAGTGAGAGTAGTATCATTTCATTTGCTTCCATTGATCATCTAATCCAATTCCTTCAGTGACTATTCTACAGATTAACACTCTCCTAATATTTACTCATCCCCCAATTCCAAGGACCCTCACCAGATGACACCTCACACCGCAAAACTGGGGCCACAAGGCATATCCTCCTTCCACACAGAATGACTTGCCTCCACCTGTGTGTCTTCTCACTCAAGCCACTTCTTTGTCTTCTACCACTCCTGAGGAAGAGGTGCTCTTCTTCTGTGCTGGGATCATCCCTCTGCCTGGCTCTAGATGCCATGCTCTTCCATTCCTTTCACCCCTCCCTTGTGTATCTAACTTTTGCTTTCTATTGATTTAGCTCATCCTTGTCAATAAACACGCTCAAATTTCTACCAGCACTAAGCATGCTCATTCACGCATCCCCCTCAAGCTGACATATTCTCTCCCTTTCCCTGTTTATCCATACATCTGACAACTCACTACTCCACTATCAACCCCCATCAGTGAAGTCATTAAATATTTCTTTGTTTCCAAATCCAGTTCTTACGTAACTTGATCATCACAAGTCACCTATTTTTCGAAGCCAGAAAGCTGGGAGTCATCTTGGATTCTACTTCTCCTTTATGTCCCATAATCAATTAATCACCAATATTGATACTACCCCCTAACTATCTTAAAAGTCATCCTTCTTTCTGTATTCTCACTGCTATTTTCTTTCTCCAAGCCCTCTTCATATGCTATCTGAATTTGTGAAGTAATCTCCGGAGTGGTTTTCCAGTCTTTTTACCCCTTGAAATCCATCCCACACATGGTTCTGAGTGCTCTTTCTGAACTATAACTTGAATTCTGTTACTATTTTGCAAAACAAAATAGAGCTCTATGGTACGGTGTGCAAGACTTTTCATTATGGAGAAGCTAGTTAGAGTCCCTCTTTCATCTCCTAAGGCCATCATCTTGCACTATCAAATTAATGATGTGACATGCAATTTCATCCTTCTTGGAACCAAAGTTTATCCCTCAAACCTCACTCAAACGTCACCTCTTCTCTGATGGCTTCCATGATCAGCCCCATTCCTGACAAACTTAACAATTCCTTCATTTGTTTAGTAACTCAGTAGGTTACACATGCTTATGTTATCACTCATGTCATGGTTGACTGTGGATGTTTGTTTATATTTCTACTAGACTGCTAAACTTCTTCTAGACAGGTACAGCTTTCATTCATTTTGCATTCTCAGTGTCTACCACAGTGATAAAACTCCAGATGGCCATGTAAACATACAGAAAAGATTTGGAAAAAGTTACCCAAGTTGCACAAAATTACCAAAGGGGGAAAAGTATTACTTTAATAGGCAAGGAATCCATTTAGGTTGTTTTGGTTTTCACACAATCGAGTTAGAAATTGTTTTATAAAATGTTCCCTCCTAGTTAACCCAAATAAGTAGCTTTAATATGAGTTTTCTCTCTTTACCAAGTTTTCCTTTATAGGTCTTATTTTTAGCTCCTCAATATTGAACTCTTGATAACTTCATCTCACTATTCATTTTGTAACGATGTCACACTAAATTGATTGTCCTCCACCAAATTTCCTCAATTCCTATATCTATTCTTCAGAGCAAAGTCTTATCTAGTGTCTTTGTTATTAGTTGTAACTTTACTTTCCTGGAAAATATCAGCAGATTTAATTTTTCTTTAATACAAATCTGAGCACATTTTGAAGATGCTTAAATAAGATCCACTGTGCGTCTGGGCGCGGTGGCTCACGCCTGTAATACCAGCACTTTGGGAGGCCGAGGCGGGGAGATCACAAAGTCAGGAGATCGAGACCATCCTGGCTAACACAGTGAAACCTCGTCTCTACTAAAAATACAAAAAATTAGCAGGGCATGGTGGTGGGCACCTGTAGTCCCAGCTACTCGGGAGGCTGAGGCAGGAGAATGGCGTGAACCTGGGAGGCGGAGCTTGCAGTGAGCTGAGATGGCGCCACTACACTCCAGCCTGGGCGACAGAGCAAGACTCTGTCTCAAAAAAAAATAATAATAATAATAATAATAATAATATACAGTGTGCAACTACACGATGTATTAAGAAGTCGTGAAACTGTCTTCTGTGACCAACCTAATACAAGATTCTTCAGATTCTAAATTCCCTACATAGAGTAGCATCTGTAGGTTGTGAGCTTAGCCTTTTCTTCTGTCAGTGTTGTGCTAAGGCATCCACATTTCCTTTCCCAGCCCTCTTGTTAGAAGGCCTGGTTGTATGAGAATGTTAGCCAGGGTTAATGCTGTAGTCTGGATTATCAGACAGGTTTATTCCTTGTAAAGCTGACTGATTCATCTATGGATTAAAAATGTCTAAGAACTCACTTCTGATATTTATACATGAGAGGTGTGTAGCCAATGTTTGTGAACTGTTTCATTAATTAATAACATTCTGTGCACTTAAGATATTGTTACCACAATTTATATTTGTGTAGAAAAATCTCAAGTAGGTAATCACACTTACAGAATTCTTACTAATTATATTTGCATCAAATTTTTAAAACTAAACATTAAATAACTGCAATTAAAGAGATACATAAAATATTGGTATCTTCTCAAACATTTAACATTCTAATTTGTTCACATGTAAGTGTTTAAATGCTTACTATATAAAAGTCAAAGAAAATACACAGTAAATTTGGAAAATAAACGTCTAGATATTTTTAAAAAGTTCAAGCCCATGAATATCACATACTCATTTCATATTCATACTAGAGACTATCTTAGTTTTATAGTGTCGACTCAACGTATCTGAACAAACAATTGCTTGGGCCATCTTGCTGGAGTACAAGAAAAATTGCAATATACAATTATATTTAGTGTTAATATTTTAAGGTTGCATTTTTAGGATTACTATAAATAGAATATTCATCGAGTACCTAGAGTAGGTTGGGTAAACAACCAGTCATTTAATTTAACTTAGTATTAAAACAGAAATTAAGCGGGGGAAAAGTTATATTATGTGAATGAACATCAAAGGGTTCAGAAGTTGGCCCTAATATACTCACGGTCTCATCCAAACTGGAAGTCTCAATTATTATGTTGGAAATGGCTTAAAACTGTCTTTTTTGAAAGACTACAGGACCTTTATTTTCTCCTTCCCACCAGACTATAAATGCTGGAAGAACAACCTGTCTTATGGCATTTTGGGCACACAATTTTCCTTCCTGCAATAAATTGGAAGTACAGAGTTTATGTCTGTTTGATTCCCATCTGTCAACTAAACAGCAGTGAGATCAAATTCATCGTTCAATTTCTAAAGCTGTTTATTAGTTATATGCTTAATTATGGCATTTTAGGAATCTCATTCATGACATGAAAAAAATCAAGATAGTAACATGCTACACCGATGGTAAATCTAAGATGAGATGTACACATTTTGTTTCTCATTGCTGGCATACACTATCATTATTAGCAGACTGTACTTAAGCACTCGCCTAAGGTGCTATCTTTGATGACAAGCTAAAAAAATCACCTCCCCCTAGATGGAGACAGGCATTTAGAAAGCATAAAAACTAAAGATAACAAAGTCTGTGCTAACTACTATTGCTGATGAGCAATTGTTATGACAGAAGATGACGGAAATAATGGCATCTTTGAAAATATGTGTGTGTATGCACACGTAAGTGTGTCCTCTTATCCCTTCTAGTATAGATTGCTCTTACAGGCTGACCTAAATTTTCTTTCCTCTTGTAAAAAGTCTGAAACTGTTATGTTGGTGTCTCAGTGAGCTGACGTTTCTCACAAACATTATACTGAATTATCACACATTTTCTCTGTGTTATACCTTTGACAACAAGTTAAAAGTGGAAGAAAAAAATCTATCTGCAAACAAGAAACCTCTGTTAATGAAATTCTGCATTACATAGTCAACCTTTAGCTTGAGGAAGAAATCAAACCCATACTCACAAAAGGATGAAGTGAGAGTGTGGACCAGACAAAGTATCAAATAATGTTGTTGTTGTTTTTTAAATAATCTCCCAACATTATTTTTGTCCCACTTTCTAGTCATTATAACCCCAAAGGTTCAAATTTAAAATCAAGCCTTTTTCCCAATTCAAACACAAACTATGTGTTACTACTATTTTATTAAGGTTTTTTGTTTTGTTTTGTTTTTTTAAAACAATTTCATTCAATTTTATGAGACAGCCCTTATCTAAGTGTGGTCTCTGGTCCAGCAGCATCAGTATTATCTGGAAAATTGTTAGAAATGCATAATCACAGAACCCACACCAAACCTGCACATTTAGAACCTATGGAGGTCATTAATCTGTTCTAGTTAAGCCTTAAAATGATTTTGATGTACCATTGTGGTAAGGCAATGTAATAAATTATTCAAATAAATGATTTCATTCATTCTCAAAATAGTAGGGTAGGTTGATAGAACAAAATAAACAGGTAAGGGTATGTAGCTGATTATATATATATGTATATATATATATGCACATATATAACATTATATATTAAGTTAGTTATATAATTAGTGATAGACTAGTGTCAGAGTGAGATTCAAAATTCTAGACACAAGTTATATTGGTTTTCTAGCACATACACTCAAACTCTAAAACCATTTCTGTAACTTCAAAGAACCATTTTTAATGTCAAACAAAAAAAGCAGCTTTTTTATAATGTATTAATCTCTTTATAACATGTTTTAAAAATTAATATATTACAGAGAATATTCCAAGTAATTAAAAATCACTGCTATCTTTTAAGTGTTCATGAGGAAAATAAAAATGCCCTTCTAATTGCTGTCAAGTTGGGAGTATTTTATTACATTTTTAAATATTAGAAAAATGCAAACAGCTTCCTGAAATATTGAATAGTGGGTAAAAAGGCCACAAGCCCAGATATAGCTGGTTCTTGGGATTGGGAAGGTGTAATGCAGGGATTGTACCTAGTATGCTGGTTTTAATTTTTTTGGTGGTGGCAGGGGAGACCAATAAAGTTTATTTATATTTCAGATGGAGGAAGAGGCCAAAAATTTACAAGGAGAGCTAGTGTCACTTCCTTAGCTAAGTTTCTAAATTTCTTGGGGAAAATGTTCAATTAAGAAATACAGGGAATGCCTCACTTATTAAATAAATGTAAGAAATGATTATGTATAAACAATGTCTGCCACAAATTACAAGGGCAGCTTAGTGAAAGCAAATGGACTGGATCGTCCTTTGCTGTCAGTTGCTCATACTCCACGCTGCTAAGAAGTAGAAAGGAAGAAATAATTATGGAATTGGGTCTTATATTTCTTCAAATTTTATTTCAAACGTCATTTTGCTTGAAGTTAGTTTTGAGATGTAGCAATTAGTAATTCAGCATTTTTCATAACATTAGTTCATTAAAAGTTTTGTTTGGAAAAATCCCAGTCATATTCACAATGTTCTACTTTTCTGGGTGAAAAAAAAATCAAGGTTCAGATTTCTGTATTTCCATAAATTGCCTTTGGTGAAAAGAAATGGATACATATATTAAACTGATTCCAAGACAAGCTATCTTCTGTCTCTGATCAGACGTCTGTCAAACTATCTGTCTCTTATTCGATCTTGAAATTCTTCTTTAGAAGGACTATTTTACGTGGGCAACTCTATATATAGTTGCGACATTTATTCCTTTTTTTTTTTAAACAAAGAAAAGTTTTTGCAATACTTTATCACAAAAGTTAACCGTACTGACATTCTACCTGTTTTAAAATACTTATTTAAAACTCTATATCCTCTCATATTTGTGACAAATATATAGCATAGTAGTTAAAAGCCCAAAAGATAAAGCTAAACTATCTATGCTCATAGTCTTTTCTACATTCAGTAGCTCTGTGTCTTTAGGAAACTTACCTAACTTCCCTGAACCTCAGTTTCTTTGTATGTAAAAAGGAAATAATAACAATACCTACCTCATAGGGTTATCATGAAGTTTCAACGAATTAATACATATGGGATATAGCACAATGCCTACCTCCTGGGAGGTAGTCAATAAAGGTTAGTTATTACTTTAGTTAGTACCTTTTAGACCTAGAAAACTTACTGAATCTTTTTAAGTTTCATATTTCTCATATATTATAATGTAAATATTTACTCTTTTTTCCTTAAACTACAAACCAGAAATTAATAAACATATGAGGCACCAAGAGTGAACCAAACAGTTGAATTTGGATATATTGCTTTCCTGAATAAAAGGCATGATAATTCCAGGTCTAGCACAGACATATAATTGTGTCACCTTAGAAAAATTACTTAATCTCAGCACTTTTCAGGTTAAAAAATTATTTGTAAAAATAAGTTAAAAAAAAAACCCTAAAAAAGAAAGAGCATTAACTGAACATAATAGAAAGTTATACACACTAAAATTGTTTACTGTAAGGATGAAAAAGTAGGCTTTCAGTTGGGCTGATACCATGAAAAATTTAAAAGATATATATCCATAGATGAAAATTATGAGTGCAATCTTTTATAGTTTATTTATGACAGATTTTAGTGCCTAACACATTTTTAAACAAATCAATGTTTATCATATCTCAGATATGATATTTCAGAGACATCTCAGATAGTTGCATAAAGAAAATAGAGAGGGAAGAACCGTTGAGAGAAGCAGCAGGAAGACCAAGATGGCAGGATACACAATGAGCCTTGATTTAGAAAAGGACGGGACAACTGCCAATAAGATCTCAGAGCTTCCCCTCAATGAAGAACCGAGCCACCCAAAAGCATATACTAATACATAAAGAACAGTAAAGAATAACTTTATTCTGTGTCTACAGAGGAAGAAGGGGAACATGCATTTACATGATAGTGGAAAAGACATGTTTTAGATATGATATAAAAAAGGACATTCTCCACTGTGTGGGTTGTTAGAATTGAAATAAATCCCATAATTAGCAAGAATGAGAGTTCCAGAATGAGATGGATAACCATTTCCCAACTGGGGGCAATAAAGATTCTTGCACAGCCTTGTAATAAGGATTAAGTAAGAGAGCACTTTAGGTAAGGGTGATAATACTATCCATACTAGGGGTTGCGCACACGTGCACGCGCGCGCGTGTGTGTGTATGTTAGATAAGATGTTCGGTACTTGGCATTTGCTATTTATTAAGACTTGTTAGAAAAACTTTAAGTCCATTCTGGTTCAAGCATTTACTCATTCTGTAACTGTGAAGGACAACCTCCTTATCTCTCAGGGCCCAAGTTTCATCATCTCTAAAACAAGGACCTTAAAACTCATGTGGCAAGCTGGTGAGAACAAAATAACTTCTGTACAGCATCTGGCACAGAGTGGGTGGGTACCTAGTAAAACATTTGCTTCCCTTTTCTTACTCTCTCCCAAAAAAACTAAAGAAAAATCCTCCATCATATTCATGCCATTCCTTATATATCTAAAGCCATACAATATTTCTCCTTAAGCTGAGCATTTGCAAAGATCAAAAAGATTAAGACAAACAATCTAGGATGCAATTTGGAGGAGGAACGAATATGGTAGCAAATCCTTCCTAACTCCTCATATAGAACTGACTACATCCTAATTGAGGGCTCACTGTACCCTTAACAAACCTTTATGACTCTTACATACCTTCATTTGATCGCACTTGTGTATGTTTATCTATCCCTACTAGACTGTAAGCTTCTTTGTCAAAAGAATGAGTGTCTGGCATATAGTTGGTGAGTAAATATTTTTTGAACGAGGTTATGAAGCGGTGCTGTGCTTTTCCTTACAATATCCAGCATGTTCCCACTCAGGGTTTTGCAACTGGTGTGACCTCTACCTTGAATGTTCATCTCAGATACGGGTATGACTCCTGCCCTCACCTTTTTCAGGTGGCATCCTAAATTTCACTTACTTTCTCAGCAAAGCCTTTCCTAGCTACTCTATTTAAAATTTTGTGTTTGTACAGGTCTACCCACCCACCCATTCATACACACACATACACACACACACACACACAGGTCTACCCACCCACTCATTCATACATACACACACACGTGCAACCTGTCTTCCTTTCTCCATCTACCACTCTCTGCCTTTTTTACTTGCATTGGTTTTTCCATCATCTGTCTTCCCCTCTTAGAGTTTAAACTTCAGAAAAGCAGGAGGTTTTGTGTTTTTTGCTACTACCTAGCATTTGGCACAGCGTCTCAGACACAGTAGGTGCTCAATAAATATGTTGTATGAATGAATAAATTTCACAATGGCATAGCATTTGGGAAAAAAAGAATGAGTACTTTTGATGAATAACAATAGGACATTGATAGAAATTTAAAAATTACGTGATGATTAAGCTAATCCTTTAATATTATATGACTGCTCAGAACTCATTTTCTGTTACTGATATACTGCAGTTTTAATTTTCCTCAAACAAAGGAGCTTTGTTTCTTCTCATGGGAAACTAACTTAAGATTTATCTTGTATTGAGTTATCCCAGTGTTTCCTTATTAACAAAGATCAAAGATATGCTGAAAATGTCCATACAGATGACGCAGGTGCACAGAAGCAGAAATGAAGGGCTAGAGCAATGGAGACTTTTTTTTTTTTTTTTTTTTTTTTTTTTTTTTTTTTTTTTTTTTTTTGAGATGGAGTTTTGCTCTTGTTGTCCAGCCTGGAGTGCAACAGCATGATCTCGGCTAACTGCAACCTCTACCTCCCAGGTTCAAGCAATTGTCCTACCTCAGCCTCCCAAGTAGCTGGGATTACAGGCATGTGCCACCATGCCCAGCTAATTTTTATTTTTATTTTTTTTAGACAGAGTCTCGCTCTGTCCCCCAGGCTGGAGTGCAGTGGCGCATTCTCCGCTCACTGCAAACTCTGCCTCCTGGGTTCACGCTATTCTCCTGCCTCAGCCTCCGGAGTAGCTGGGACTACAGGAGCCTGCCACCACGCCCGGCTAATTTTTTTATGTGTGTGTGTTTTTAGTAGATATGGGGTTTCACCATATTAACCAGGATGGTCTCCATCTCCTGACCTCGTGATCCGCCCGCCTCAGCCTCCCATAATTTCGTATTTTTTTTTTGGTAGAGCTGGGTTTCACCATGTTGGTCAGGCTGGTCTCGAACTTGTGACCTCAAGTGGTCCACCTGCCACAGCCTCCCAAAGTGTTGGAATTAGAGGCATGAACCACCGCACCCAGCCGCAATAGAGACTTTTGAATGTGAGTGTCAGAACTAGAACTCGGATCCTCTAACCAAACCTCAGTACACTTTTAACCACATCTATCTTTCTACAAATGTGATTTACAATAAAACCTAAGTCAGATTCATTGCCCACATGGTATTGGTGCCATTTAGACTATATTATTTGTTAGCTGGCCAATCTAAACTATTCAAGAAGGCAAAGATCTATGCATGCTAGCAAATCCTATTTCCTGAATATGCCCTCCTCTCAACGTCTATATTTGAAACCTTAACAATATGTCCACCTGGACTTCTTGGAGGGCTCTGGTTTGCAGGGACAATATATGCTTTGGTTCATCTATGGAACAATCAGCTTAAGAAGTTGTATTCAGATATTATTAATGTTTTCAAACCCACTTCCTATTTTCCTACTGAAATCCCTGCCAAGCACACACTTCAGCAGACACTAAAATAATTTGGGTAGTTGACATTCAATCCAAATTTTCTATGGAAATCTGCCAGATTTGACATCTGTGAGAAAGTGGGTAATTTTTATTATCCACAGAGAGCAAAAGCTTGGTTTGATATTTCTCTACCTCCACACATCTCCCTGTAGTGGAGCTGCTACTCAGATATCCACAAAAAGTGGTTAGTGAGGAAAATTATTTAACCCTTTCACCCTTGTCAGGATACAGCAAAAGCTCAATTCAAATTAATTTTAAAGTAACAATGGAAATGGATAAAACAACTTTTGGAGGTGTGGGAGATGCAAACTACCTTTATTATTATCATCATTACTTTTGCCTAAAAACTATTTATGCTTTATCTGTTGTTTTAATACAACTGCTTGTCTTTAAAGTTCCCTTCATTTGGTCTAAAACCTTAAACCAGAATTTCAAATTAACGTTATTGTTAGAGTCCTTTTTCAAACCCTAATAATATTTGGCTCTGTAGTACTACAGAAACATGCTTAAAAATCATACAAAATATTTCTATTGGTATTACATTTTATTTCCCAAGAATTAAGAACTAAGGTATGTATTAACACTTAAGGTTTCTCTAATCTCTTTTAAAGAAAGAGATAAAACTGGATATTCCCATGTGCTTATAGGTCATATACTAAAATGCTACCAAGGTTTATATTGTAAATAATGTTACTTTAGTTCACTACAACAAAAGAGGTTTCCCATCTTTTTATTACAATCTAGTAGTTTAGCATTATATATTAGTCTGTTCTCACACTGCTATAAAGATACTACCCGAGACTCGGTAATTTATAAAGAAAGGAGTTTTAATCGACTCACAGTTCTACATGGCTTGGGAGGCCTCAGGAAACTTACAGTCATGATGGAAGGGGAAGGTATGTCTTACATGGCGGCAGGCGAGAGAGAAGAGTGTCCAAGAGAAGCAAAAACTGCCTTATAAAATCATTAGACCTGGTGAAAACTCACAATCATGAGAACAACATGGGGGAAAAGGCCCCCAAAGTCCATTCACCTCCCACCAGGTCTCTCCTTCAACATCTGGAGATTACAATTCAAGATGAGATTCGGGTGGGGACACAAAGCCTAACCATATCAAGAATGTTTCCAATTAAGAAATTAAAAATGATTATGGTTCTATATTGGTTCTACACTGACAAAGGTTTAAAAGTAGGTCATGGGAATACAAAAGCATGATAAATTATTCATTTACAATAATAAAATGGTTGGTGATGTGTTGTTAATTTTCGATATAAGGGAAAATGGTATTTAAAATATATAGTTAAGGCTGGGCATGGTGGCTCACACCTGTAATCCTAGCACTTTGGGAGGCCAAGGCAGGTGGATCATCTGAGGTCAGGAGTTTGAGACCAGCCTGGCCAACATGGTGAAACCCCGTCTCTACTAAAAATACAAAAATTAGCCAGGTGTGGTAGAACATGCCTGTAATCCCAGCTACTTGGGAGGCTGAGACATGAGAATCACTTGAACCCGGGAGGCGGAGGTGGCAGTGAGCTGAGATCGTGCCATTGCCCTCCAGCATGGGCAACAGAGTGAGACTCTCTCTCAAAACAAACAAACAAAAAGTATAAAATTAAAAACCTAAAAGTATCCACCAATAGAATTACGAATAGAATATATAACTCCCAAACCACAGAAGAAAACATAAAATAAGAAAAACATACCTTCAACAAAAAAGAAGAGAAAAAGGGATTAAAAATAAAAATGCAGACATAAAAAAATTTCTGCCAAGTAAAATTAACGCATCAATTATGACAATACATGTAAAGTTAAATTCCCTGTTGAGGGAAAAGAAAAACTTAGGTTGGCTTAAGAAACAAATTCAATCTTATTTTTGTATAACAGGTATACCTAAAAGAAATGTTCAAGATGAAAGGAAAAAAAGGGGGAAAAGCTCGTTTGTACAAAGGTGTGATCTGGGCCCATGGACAGGATGAAGGCTGCTTTCTGAGACAGTGACAGAGAGAGAGGAAAATCTGATTATGCTGCAGCCATACTGGAGTACAGTCAGGACCTTCATCTCTTTTGGGTCAAATCCTGCCTGAGTGTCCTTGACAACCCTCAATAATAGTGTGGCCATGATATCCTGTATTAGCTTCACTAGAGAGCCTATTTCCAAATTCTCTATCTACCAGGCCCCACTTAAACGAAAGTTTCATGAGGGCAAGCATTTTTCCAAGTTCAGTTCAAACCTCTATCTTTGGAAACAGCTTGGCACATGGTAGACATGACAAGCATATGTTTTGAATGAATGAACAAGAATATGAGTGAATATGTCTGCACAGCATGCTAGAGACCTAAACACAATCATTTGATTGGAGTTATCGCCTCTGAAATTCCACTGAGATGAGTAAAAGCATTTTCTAAATGTTGCAAACCAAACACTGAAGAATCAAAGAGGGAGACCATCAATGGACAAGAGATTTCACCAAGTTTCTGGAAGATGGAAAGCAGACGGAGTTACAATGACTGATGAAGCAGCCACACGCTAATATATAAACATACAAGGCTGCGGCTAAATGGGGAGCCAGTCTCCCCGGAGCTCCAGCACAGGAGTTACTAGGTACCAAAAAGGAAAAGTAAGTAGTGGGACAGAAAACAGGGGTACTCATGGAAGTGCTGGGTAAGAAACAGTCAGCTTCCCAAGTCCCATATTTATCCTCATGTAAAAAAAAATTTGCCAAAGAAATTGTCCGAGCTGTTAAAAAAAAGTAGGCCAGCTGGTATGGAAATTAGCATTCCAGAGTGAAGTCTTCCCCATTTGACTTTAGCAGTCTTCCAAGGTAATGCAGTCAACTCACCTGCTATTTTTAGCTCAACGTCAAGCCCCACATTTGTAACTAACTTTTGCAAATGCTTTTCTATTGCCTCATTCTTGAATAGGATGGGCAGCCGTAGAGTACGTAATTTCTGAGAAAAACCTACAATACAAAAAATAAACAACAAAAGCACTTTGGAATTTATTAGTAGAAAGGAAGAGATATTTAAAATATTTGATTTAGGACTTAATCATTCTTACACTAGGGAATATATGACACTCATGAAAAAGGAATAATTGGAGAACCAAAAGAACCCAAGAAATTTAAAATACAGGCCGGGCGTGGTGGCTCACACCTGTAATCCCAGCACTTTGGGAGGCCAAGGTGGGCAGATCACGAGGTCAGGAAATCGAGACCATCCTGGCCAACATCATGAAACCCCACCTCTACTAAAAATACAAAAATTAGTTGGGTGTGGTGGCACGTGCCTGTAATCCCAGCTACTTGGGAGGCTGAGGCACGAGAATCCCTTGAGCCCAGGGGGCAGAGGTTGCACTGAGTTGAGATCATGCCACTGCACTCCAACCAGCCTGGGAACAGAGCAAGACTGTCTCAAAAAAAAAAAAAAAAAAAAAAAAAAAGGAAAGAAATTTAAAATACAATCACTGAAAAAAGGTGAAATTAAGTATGTAAAGTAAAAGGTGTGAATGTTTTATAGAATATAAAAGAAACACCCAGAATATTTGAGAGAAAAGATCAAGACTGCATATAATATGATCACAACAGAAAGTCTAAGAACCTGTCAGTTCATCTCAAAAAACAAGAAAGCATAAAAGGAAGGATATTACTGAAGAAATACCATAGTACTTCTTAGAACACAAGAAAAAGATAAATCTTATGAATGAAAAAAGATGCATATCTATAATGTCAAGGTTAAATTTCAGAACACTGCAGATAAAGAAAAGATCCATAACACTTATAAAGAGGAGGAAAAAACCACGTTACCTCAAAGGAACATGAATTAGCCTAGGATCTAATTTCAGCAATACTGTATGCTAGAAGTCAGCAGAACATGACTTTAAAACTCTGAAGGAAAATTATTTTGCATTTTGAATGTTAAGCTTAGTCTTGCTATAAATCAGCTGTGAGGGAAAAGAACAATACTTTCAGATAGGCAATATCTGAGAAGGTTTAAATGGCCTGTAACTGAGAAAGTTACTTGACATGGTCCCCAATACAATTTAGAGAGTAACTGAAAATAAGCAAGAAATAAAAAGATATGGAGTTTAGGAATCAAGAGACCTAACATAACAGGCTAAAAATAAAAATTAAAAAATAAATCTAAAAATAAAAAATAAAAAGTAGGCTTATTTATGAAGACAATCGAGGTTTGAAAAGGAAGGCAGAAAGTATACAGGGAAGAGGAAATGGTTAGAACGATAATTTTATTGAGAGTTACTAACAGTAACTGAGAGGATGTCGTAGAGGCAAGTCATAGAGTATATGAACGTAGTGACCATTTGAAATCTACACTGACACTGGACCCCAGAGAGCAGAAATATCACAATTACATATTGGTTTCAACTTTTAAAGCCCACCTATAGACAAATCATGGAAGATTTAAGTATAGTAACCATACAGAAAATAAACATTGTAAACTGTGATAATATAGAAGTGTTGACAGAGCCAAGATAGGAGCAGGAATCTGTTCATCCTGCAAAGTAACTAATCAAGAAAAATTATCTATGATTGGTTTACCAAGAAACAGTGGTTCAATTTGCTTAAAGATTTTTGGAAACAAAAACATCAAAACGCGACAATATTAGAAAAAACAAATACATGGAAAACTATAAAAAAAGAGTTATGATATTACACTTTGCAGCCAAATTTTTCCCCCAGTAAAGTTTCTAAGAATGAAGATAATGAAATATCAAAAAACAAAGAAAGCTACCATATTCATATTATTATGCTAGTTTAATACTGATGCTAAACTGGACAAACTTACCAGCAAAAAAAGTATAGATGATGATTTTGAAGTTTAAGTAAATTTATAACTATAATATTTTCTTAGAATAAAAATGTTTGGAAGCTCAATATGTAAAACAGATTAAAACAGTAAGTTCTGATCAAAGAGGCAGCAAGATTACTATGTAGACCAAGCTCATGTATGAATACAGATGGCAAAAGCCTAAACAAAATGCAGATAAACTTAACGGGATCTTAAGAGATTTATCCACTAATCTTAAGGAGAGCTTATGACTAGTGTATATATTATTTTTAAAAATTCACATCAGTATGATCATTTTACTAGATGATAAAATGACATTTTAAAATACTCCAAAATCCACTCAATACTTAACAGCAAAAACTCTTAGGAAATAAAAAATAGAAGTATGTAATTCCTTAACATGATAACAGCTTTCTGTCTTAATACAACAGGCTAGCAAAACACATGAATCCCTAAAAATACATTATACCACTAATATCAGTAAAAAGACAAAGTTGCCAGGTTTCAATATTGTTAGTTAACTTTTTTGGTTGTTGTTAATGCTATTCCAATAATAATCCCAATGGAGATTTTTGGATATTTTATAATGTGTCTAAAGTTCACCAAGTTAAAAAAAAAAAAAAAAAGGTAGGGGGAGAAACATCTTGAATAAGATTTATTAAGAAGCTATATGGACTGAATTAATGATGGTACTGGTGCAAGAATCAATAATCAGATCAATTTAATAAAAACCAATGGAATCAACTTAATATAACCCTGAAACAAATTCTATCATATATATATAATAGATGGGTTATTTAATGAATGAATTGGGGAATACAGTTATTTGGGAAATACTCATACTATATACTATATACCAAATTAAACAACAAGAAAATAAAAGAGTAATTGTAAAACAAAAAATAAAATCATTAAATTTAGAAAATTAGAAAAAGGTATATGTGATTAGTTATATTTTCTGAATACAAAAACAACAGAATAAGTTAAAGAAATAATATAGATTTTAGTGTAAACCTAAACATTTACATTGCATAAATTTAAAATTAAACGGCAGATTAAAGACTGAGAATATATGTATAATCAATGAGGAAAACTGTAATATATTAATAGGACTTAAAATCATATTCTATATCCCCCAAAAAATAAACAAAGGATGTGAACAGAAAATTCACAGACTAGGAAATACAAATGAAAATATACAAAAAATTTAGCTTCACTAAAAATCAAAGAAGTTTAGAATTAAAATAAAGGGATGCCTTTTATTGCCTGTCGTTTTGCCAAATGTTAAAATGCTCAATCCTGGCAAAGGGACAGTGAGCCTAGCACTATTTTATACTGCCAATGGAAAGTTACCAAAAGCCTAAGGGGCAATGCTCATGCCCTTTGATTTAGTTCCAGTTCTAAGGATCTGCCTTTACAAAATAAGCAAAGAAGTAAACAAAGTTTTATGCATACAGATATAATTTACAGCAAAACATTAGAAATTGCCTAAGTGCTCACCCACAGAAGAATGGCCAAATCAGTACATCACATATACTGGAATACATCCACATGACAACAAAGCATTAAAAGTCTCATTAACTAATTAATCTTATGGAAAACTGATCAAAATCAATTAAATGATAAATGGAATATTTTACACCATATTTACAGTTACAATCCCAATTATGTAAAAAAAAAAAATAGAGATCTGGATGAAAATGTATAAAATAATAATGAATTTTCTCTGATATAATGTAATTTTGTTTTTACATTATTCCTTATTTTCCCAATTGTCTGAAATATGAAAATAGTTCTTTCACCCTAAAAAAAATCAAAACTATTTTGATACAATAAAAGAATTATTAAATCTTAGCTTTTTTGTCTTCAATTCACCCATTCTAATGCTACAAACCACAATGAACTCCTTAGCATCAAGGAAGACCAATTTCTCTTTCACCTCTAGGTTCTTTGACCTCTCTCAACAAACCTGAATGTTCACAACATGCAGCACATACAACTTCCTTGTAGCTATTTCAGAGGGGCCCAAAAAAACAGCTCTTGCTTCCTTCTCAAATCATTATCCATCCATTACACAATTAAAAAAATCTCTGTAAGAGGGCATTGCCTTTCATTTTCATTTTATTATAACAATCACATTTTAACAATAGCCTTTATTGAGCATTTAGTATATGCTAGGTACTAAGTGCAGCACACATTATCAACTTACCTAATCCTCCCAACAACTATTATTACCCTCATTGTACAGCATAGGAAACTGAAGATAAGTGAGATTAAGTTACTTGTTGGAGGTCCCTTATTAAGCATGTGAGACAAAGAAATTTGAACCCAGACAATTTGGTTCCAGGACCTTAACGACCATGCTGTCCCGTTTAAAATGCAAATATCCTTGGAGGAATTAAAATATTTACCCAAATTTACATTAAAGTGTGAGAGGCTTATCTGTTTTTAGGGAAGACAGTGCTGGCATTTTGAAAACCAGGCAAGTGACACTTAGAAATCTATAGAAAAGTTAAATTATGATCTTAAATATCAACCTCATTAATTTATCACTGTTCTTAAGCTCACATAAAAAAAAGTTTTCAGACTAGGCACATTCTCTCATAGATTCTATTTACAACTGTCTGCTGTTATTAGTCAAATTTTCCATATAATTTCAAGGCTCAGGAATTGGAATATTTTATAAAGTATATTTTCAATAGTTCCTGGGTCCAGGCTAGAAATGCTATCATATATATATATATATCCATAATATTAAATTTTTCTTGTTGGTAACATGCAATTGACACTATTTCCTAAATTTAGACCTGAAAATAAAATATGGGGATACGTTTTTTTTGTGTGTTTTTTGTTTGTTTGTTTGTTTTTTTGAGACAGAGTCTCGCTCTGTCACCCAGGCTGGAGTGCAGTGGTCCAATCTTGGCTCACTGCAAACTCCATCTCCCAGGTTCATGCCATTCTCCTGCCTCAGCCCCCTGAGTAGCTGGGACCACAGGCGCCCGCCACCACGCCCAGTAATTTTTTGTATTTTTAGTAGAGACGGTGTTTCACCATGTTAGCCAGGATGGTCTTGCTCTCCTGACCTTGTGATCCGCCTGCCTTGGCCTCCCAAAGTGCTGGGATTACAGGTATAAGCCACCGCGTCCAGCCGGGTATATGGTTTTTTACGTCAAAGTTCAGCATAACACATCAGACAATCATTCAACACTGTACCAAGAATGTTTTGAGATTGGGGGAAAGATCAGTAAGACAGGATTCTTGCACCAAAGAACTGAGAGGCAAGAAAATCAAATAGGACATTTTTACATGAAGACTCAAGCATATCATTCAGGTGCAACTGAATACAGTATTCAAACATTTAAGAAATTTTCATACAGTGAAACTCCTTACTTTCATAAAGTACTCATTACATAAACCATCTTGCTTTACTACCTAAATATAGTGTGCTAAAAAAATAAAAGAAGAAAGAAAATGCCCTCTCCCTGTTAAAGACATATGAAATATAAAACTAAAATATCTGAGAGGGAGAAGATGAGAGGACAACCTGTAGGCATAGCTGTCGCCATAGAACAGTAAATACAATCCTCTTTATTAAATAAAAACCTAATTGAGCCGGGGATGCAGGTGGGGCCCAGTTATTTCATAGTCAAATGCAAGTCTTTGGGCATTTTCTGAGCAAATGAGCTTTGTAAAACGACCTGCATTTGCCAAACTACATTATTCTTTTGTGGAACCAAATTTGTGCAGTAGAAGTTTAAGATGCACGTGGATGCTTACTGAAAGGAAATTAAGAGTATGAGATCTCAAAATTCTCTGTCACAGTCAATGATTTAGGTGGCAAGGAGACCGTCAAATTACCAAAGCTTAACCAGAGCAATAATTACCCACTATGTATTCTTGGAAAAATCAGAGAGTAGTGTCTCCTGAGAGAAAATTAGCAGGTTTTTTTTGTACACATGGCTTTCAACATCTGAGTAAATGAACAATATTCATCTTACTTTCTATAAATCAGACACTATTTCTAGTTCACAATCCCCAGATGTATCATTAACATCATAATCTAGTTTATTGGCATTACACCTCTAAATCTGATTTTTCTTTTTTTTTTTTTTAAGAGAGAGAGAGTTTCACTCTGTTGCCCAGGCTGGAGTGCAGTGGCGTGATCTTGGTTCACTGCAACCTCTGCCTCCCAAGTTCAAGCGATCCTCCCACCTCAGCTTCCCAAGTAGCTGGGACTACAGGTGTGTGCCACCATGCCCAGCTAATTTTGTATTTTTAGTAGAGACAGGGTTTCACCATGTTGGCCAGGCTGGTCTTGAACTCCTGACTTAAGGTGATCTGCCCACCTCGGCCTCCCAAAGTGCTGGGATTACAAGCATGAGTCACCACACACTCGGCCTGAATCTGAATTTTTTTGCCTCTTTTAAGTTCGGTAGACATGTATTACATCAGTTCTTAAAAATGACATTGCCATAAAATAATCAGTTTTAAGAGTGACACTGTCGTTAATGCTGGAAAGGAAATTTTTGCTAATACGTAGACCTTTAAGGCACTGAAACGTTTTCAATATTATTTTTAACAGATGAACTATAAGTAGGTCACACAATACGAAAACTGTATGTGGAATGATCTGGTATTAAGAAATGACACAAGAACTTTCTAGAATCATGGAATCACAATGTGACACACAAAATTTTTTTTGCACTAAAAGATGAGTTTTTCTTCTAGACTGAGATGTACTCCAAGTTACTTTTAAATATAAAATTTAAAAAGTAAAATATCTTAAAATCATTCAAGAAATGTCAAAGATCTTCCCTTTCTCTGGTTTTTGAAACACAAATATAAGTAATGGAAAAATTTATTTATCTAGTTGAATATAAATCCTGTAAACCCCAGTATCATTGACTAATTTCCAATAATTTTTATTAATAAGGCCTGCATTTATAAAAAATTTATTTTATAGCTATCATAAATATTACTGTATTGGTCATTTGCTTAGATATTTTAATTATTTCCTACATTTTATAATACAAGTTATTTGAAATCATTAGTGGACATACACAATACGATGTGTTAAAAATGCTAAAAGGCTGAGATACCTGTAAAATGAGACAAGAGTAGATAAGCATGTGCTCTGTTCTTCATGTAAAACTCATTCCATGTTATTCTCTAAAGAGAATAGGGGCGAAAAATAAAGTGAAATGTAGAAAAGTGAAATGAATATATTATACTTTTTGGACCTGTAATTAGGAAATAAAGTTGATATTTAATGCTTGTAATGGTGTTTGTACATCAGGTTGTATTTTTTTGGTTGACCTGAGTCATTTCTGGATTTTGTATTCAGGTTGTGATATGGTTTGGCTATGTCCCCGCCCAAGCCTTACATTGAACTGTAGCTCCCATAATCCCCATGTGTTGTGTGAGGGACCTGGTGGGAGGTAATTGAATCGTGAGGGCAGTTTTTTCCCTGTGCTGTTCTCCTGATAGTGAATAAATCTCATGGGATCTGATGGTTTTATAAAGGGCAGTTCCCCTGTACACGCTCTCTTGCCTACCACCACGTAAGATGTGGCTTTGCTCCTCCTTCGCCTTCCATCATGATTGTGAGGCCTCCCCAGTCATGTGGATGTGGAACTGTGAGTCCATTAAACCTCTTTTTCTTTATAAATTACCCAGTCTCAGGTATTTCTTCACAGTAGTATGAAAATGGACTAACACAGGTTGATTATTCATTCTTATTTATTTCACAAATATTGATTTGTCAATACTATATGCCAGGTAGTATTCTAGGGGCACAGTATAAGGCTGAACAAAGAAGCCAGCTTCCCTCTTTTGGAGCTTACAGTCTAATGGTAAAACAGACATTATACAAATAATCCCTGCCTGTCTGTCTCTGTTTCTCTCTCTCTCTCTCTCTCTGCCACACACACACACACACACACACACACACACACACACACAGAGTTACTGAGAAAAAGTGCAGGATGCAGCCCAGTAGACATATGGAGTATGTGTGGCATGAATTTGACCTCCTCTGGAGAATCAAGAAAAGATTCATGGCAGGGCCCTTCATCACAGCTGATGGGCATGAGTATGATGGGATAAGGAGCAGCAGCAGAAAGAGTGGCACATTCTAAGCAGAGGGTACAACATGTGTGTGCAAAGGCCTGCAGGTGAGAGGGGCATGATGGTTACAGTAGAAAAAGCAAAAAATATAAATGGCATGATATGAGGTCACAGAGGAAGCCAGGTAGGAAACTGTAAGCCTTGTTAGAGATTGGGGGACTTATTCTCAGTGCACTGGGAGCCATCGAAGAGTTCTGTAGAAGAGAGAATCAAATCTGCATTTTTCAAAGATCACTGGAGACAATGGGGAAAACAACAAAGAAATGATTGTATAAAAGAAAACTGTTATGTGGCAACTACATCAGTATAGCCAAAAAATGTTGGTAACTCACACTAGAATTACAGTGGTGGATGTGACAGAAGTGGATATTTGAGACACAATGGTAATCAGATGTAGGAGGTTCTGGCGTGTGCCACAAAAGTTCCCCTTCAGGAACCAGACAGTCATTTCCCCAGCTATAAGGAAAGTTGGTGCAGAGAGCTTACAATTGAGCCACTTCTGGAAAGAGGAAATTCCCTCAGCTGAAAGGCACTGCCTCCCCCAGGGTATTATCCCCCCTGGCTGTAGCCAATACCCAGCATCTGAATGTGAGGGCATGGGGCAGGGTGCTAGCATGCTAGGGTGGCTTGACCCACTGCCTCAATTAGGGACACTGCTGAGGGGCTGGCCCTGCAGAAGAGTCTTGCAGGCCACCATCAGCCCATGTCCAGTCCTGTTAGCCTCCTCTCTTACAGAGGCTCCCAAGAGCATCTTCAACAACTCGCTGGCACATAGTCTCCCTTTTAGAGTCTTTTTCTGGGGAACCCAACCTGAAACAACATACAAACGTTTTTTTCTGTTTGTTTTTAAACCACGCAAGTTATATCACACTCATTACTGAATAATCTGCTTTGAAAGGTAGTGTATTTACAGAAAGGATATTTTAAGATTATCCCAAACCTAGTATTAGGCTGAATCAAGTTAAGTTAAACATAACTCAACATGACAATAGTATGTCAAAGCATTGGCACCCAACTTGCTATCCAGGGAACTAAAATTCGAGACAGAGACCAGCTTGACACAACGAATCCACCTACAGATTCTTCATTTGTTGGTTTCCCACTAAAACAAGTAAACATTGCCATTTAAATATCTGGGAGCTAAAGCTGTTGAGCAAGTTTCTGAAGCTGGTGTGAACCAGCAGACACTAAATGGGCTTGTCTGATCTCTACAACAGAGCGTTCAGCCCAGTGATTTGAGCACATCCTTTCTGCTTCATTGGTCACCAATGAATTTTCTATTAAATTCAATTGAGTCCAGCACTCTTTTTAGCCCTTCTCTTTTGAGGGAAAGACCAATGTTGTTTAAAGGTCTCACTGAAAAGCAGAGTCCTTTGATTGAAACCTCAAAAAAGACTCTATCAAGAGCACACCTTTTAATACAGAGCTACACACTCACTTATTTTAAGCCCAGCAAGGGAAGCCTAATTGTCTGAAGGATTTTTTGTTGTTGTTGTTAGTTCATTTTGACGAAGTGCACATCGCCACTGAGGTGGTTAGAATCTGAGGAAAGGACTCAACAAGCCCACTGATCCAATGTATAAATTTAATGTACTCTGTGCGTCTAGCTCTAACAGCCATCTGGGCAACCACATACCAATTTCTTGCATTTTTTGGTTCTTAGGGCCTACTAACACAGAAAAAAGCCACAGTCTTATAAAAATGTCATAGTACAAAAGTCCTTGGGTTGTGAGGTAATTTCATAAGATGGTTAATCTACTCGTGATAGTTTTTCAGTTTGATAAGGTAAGTGGGAGTAAATGCATCTGATTAATAGTAACAATTCAGGCCAGGCATGGTGGCTTATACCTGTAATCCTAACACCTTGAGAGGCTGAGGCAGGAGGATCACTTGAGCCCAATGGTTCAAGACCAGCCTGGGCAACACAGGGAGACCCTGTCTCTATAAAAACATTTTAAAATTAGCCAGGCATGGTGGCATGTGCCTGTAGTCCCAGCTACTTGGCAGGCTGAGATGGGAGGATTGCTTGAGCCTGGGAGGTGGAGGCCGCAGTGAGCTGTGATCACACCACTTCACTCCACCTGGGTGACAGAACGAAACCGTCTCAAAAATTAATAATAAATCAAATGTCATGCTTTATTGATTCTTTACTTTTATAATCACAACTTTTAAAAATATATATTTAGAGATATGCCTGTAAATAATGGTTGCTTTCAGACGATACTGACCTGCACCATGCACTGTTTCTATCACAGGAAGTCAAATCCTGCAAATAACATTTCCCTAGTTTCCAGTGCTAACTAGCTTCATATCAGAATTCTCTAATGAGAGAAACTGGCAGGATACAGTAAATGGGATGAGAGAGAAGGCTTCTCTGTCCGCTTCAGGAAGCACCTTCAACAATAGTGGCTTCCTTCAAGATCCACCCATGCAACACAGCCTCCCTGAGAGGGTAGCTACCACCTCTGGTCCAGTGCCCAGTGCCCACTGGGCAGCTTTGGCTCCTGGGTTCTGGTAAGGCCACCTCCTCCGTTGGTTGCTCCAGCACTAAGGGTGGTGGTAGCTTCTGGCTACTGATAGTCTCCATCTTAACTAATCCCCAGTATTAAATCCCCTCCATAAAACTATCTGACATAAGATGTGCTTTCCTGATTGACCCTCGTGGACACACAGAGTATCTACAATTAGCTTAAAATCAGGTGCCAATTTACTGCCACATATGGTTCTCAGGTTTGTTTTCAATTCTTTCTGCCAACAACTTGTAGGAAATCTCAAGTCATAAACAACATCAACATTATGGTTAACGTCTCAGATCAGCCCATAAACTCTGTCTGACTCCATAATACACCAGAAATGAAATGTTTCTTTGAGCCTCACTCCTGATGCTCTTCTTTTCTCACCATTGCATTCACTCTTAGTGACCACATCCAAATTGTTTCATCACCAATTTCTCACCAAGTCTACACCTCCAATCTAGACCTTTTTTTCTGAGATCCAGAACTAATATACCTTCATTATCCTATTAGATCTCTCCATCTGGATATCCTACATGCAATACAAATATATTCTATCACCAAATGAACCTATTATATCATCCTGTCAAATTTATCCTTTAGTTATTTGCTATTCAAATCTTCCTAGTAACCAAAGTCTGAAACTTGACATAATCCTATGATCTCCCCTTTTCCTTCATATCCAATCGGCCACTAATTCGTATAAATCATAGATCCTTAAGATTTCTTACCTATCTTCCTTATTATCTATTCCTCCTGCCATTGCCTTAGTTTAGAAATGCATCTCTTCTTGTTTGGGCCACTTCAACAGCTTCCTAACTGACCTCCCTGACTTTGGTCTTTCTACCTTTCCATTCAACCCCACAATGCAACCAGAGTGATCTATCAAGTGGTAAATCTGATTATACCATTCATGAAATTTGTATTTATTTAAGAGATCCCAGGAGCATTTAGAATAAAGGGCGAAATGGTAAATAGAAAACCTTTTTTATCTGGCTCACACCTAATTTTCTAGCCCTATCACTTCTCAATAGCTATACTTCCTGTTAGCCATATCAAACTTATTTCACCAAGTATGTCGCTAAATACTTACTCAACATCACTAATGACTATGGCATGAAATGCCCACACCCACCTTTTTAAACTAGTAGTAACTCCTCATTTTCCTAAAAGCAAGTTTAATAGTCACCTTCACAAAGAGAATGTAGGGAAGTAAGGGGTTTGCATTATGGATCTAAAGTATCTGCTGAAGTGCGTGCCAGCCCAGTGGCTTGTACCATGTCCTAGAAGTCCAGGTTGGCTTTCAACTCACCAACTTTGTCTTCCTCCACTCTCTGTGACAGGTCTGCCTGTAACAATTCTCTACAGGTTCTTCTGTCTATAATTTATCCCCTCTACTTTACAATCTGGATCCATGTCATGGAAACAAAGAGCAGTAGAGTAAAACGGCTTGCTCCTTGGGTCCCTACATCCCCTTGCTCCAATTCATGCCCTTTTCTATTGGAACTTCAGTTCACTTCAGGTAAGCTAAACTGAGGACACAAAATAAATTTATTTATTTATATATATAATAGGTATATATTATATATATATGAGACAGACATAGATTAATATGGACATAAATATAAAGTATATTAGATAGAATACATATATGAAGCCATCTAAGATATCTGTGGAACTAAGCCAGGTACTGTATCACGCAGTCTTATGTCTTTAATCTGCACTCAGCTTCAAAATTTGGTAGATTTTTGGCTTTTCCATTATTATATCCCCAATCCCAAGGACAGTATAGGTACATAGCACATAATTATTTACTAAACTAATAATTGAATGAATGTTCCTGCCAAAAAAATAAGCTGCTCTGACTGAGTCACAGGTAAGAAGTTGGAGGGGCTGATTTGTGGGGAAGGACCAAGGCAGAAGTAGGAAGTGAAGAAAGGTATTTGGTGAGGACAGGAGAAGCAATGCTGTAGCCAGAAAGCCGACTGTAAGTTGTGATAATTGTTAACTTGGGGAATTTTGGCAAAAAATCTTAGTACTACTTTATAACTTTGGATGACTTAAGAATGTAGGGACTTGAGAATAAGTTTTCATGTTTATCAGAGAAATAAAAATCACATAGGCCGGGTGCAGGGGCTCACACCTGTAATCTCAGCACTTTGGGAGGCCGAGGTGGGCGAATCACAAGGTCAGGAGATTGAGGCCATCCTGACCAACATGGTGAAACCCCGTCTCTACTAAAAATACAAAAATTAGTTGGGCGTGGTGGGACATGCCTCTAATCCCAGCTACTGGAGGAGCTGAGGCAGGCAAATCACTTGAACCAGGGAGTCGGAGGTTGCAGTGAGCCGAGATCGTGCCACCGCACTCCATCCTGGCGACAGAGCAAGACTCTGTCTCAAAAAAAAAAAAAAAAAAAAAAAAAAAAATCAAGTAAGATACAAATGGTGCCTTAAAATTCCTTTTAAGTTCCTTATCCTTTCCATGGAGTGCTCTCATTGCTGCTTGGCCAGTTTGCGATTTGGTATCTGACACAGATGGGAACAACGTCGGGGAGAAGCTCTGACATGTCTAAGGACTGCTGGTCCAAGCTTCCACACTGGCGATGAACATGGATCACAGCTGTGCCACTGTCACACCTTGAAACATGACAACACAAAGCCACAGAGACCAGCCTCTGTGAGCTGACAGAAGAGTCTAAATCTTTTTCAAACATTCAAATGACTATCGTTCTCACCAGTGATGAGAAGCTTCTGTGCTCCTCAGGTGGAGTGGAATTTGCCAGCTGAAAGGGATGTGCTTGGGTGGTCTCTTGTGAGAGCACGCCAATGTGCTCTGAATAACCGAAAAATATTTTTGACAAAGGTCAAAAAAGCTTCAGACAGAAATACGAAACAAAGGCTTGTACTTTAAAAGCAAAACTTGGGAGGATGTTGATTTTGCACCCAATCATATAGCATCTTATTGAAAATGTACTCTTATCAGCAAATGGAACTATCTGAGCCCCAGTTATAAAAAGGAAGCCTGGGCTGCTTATAAAGCCCATCAAACTCATATTAAAAAAATGTGTACACATGAAAGTCTTTTAAGGATTAAAGAAATTCTTATTTACTCAGGTCAATTACATGCTAATAGCCAAGGAAAGTTCTTCCCTTTAAATGCACTGTCATCTTGCAGAGCTGTGCTTCTCAAACTGGAGTGGTCAGTCATACTCCTGAGGATATATGGTGGTGTATGGGGTAAGAGAACGTCACAGGTGAAACAGGCCATAACTTTCTGGTATATTAGACATGGAAAACAAAATTAAATAAATTCACTGTAATGTATACATTTTATTTTAGAATGAATTCAGCTATACTGTGGAACAGAATGCAAAATTCACAGGTATTTTAACATAAATACTAAAAGTTCCCAGGCATTTCACTTTCTAAGACTTCAGGTGACCAAACCTTCAAGCCTTCCTTTGCCTACACCAACTTCCAAGCCAGCTCAAGTTCTTGGTCCATGAACCCTCTCCAGGGACTTGTAGTCCATCTAGCACTTTTTCTCTACTGGTTTTCCACTAGCTATCCAAGAAGCACTTTCTTGCTCTATTGTTTCATGTTTCAGATGGATCTTCCAAACTATTTAAAAGCTCGTTGAGAACAGGGTAGTGGTCTTTATATCCCTTTGACCATTACCTGTTTATTGATTAGATTAATTATTATCAGAGGTAGTTTTAATAAGAATATGAATATTGATACTCCCAACGGAAAAGTATAAAATTAATATTGATAATTTTGAAAGAATTATGATGATTGCACTTAAGCATTCATCCTTAAACCTAAAATACTCTAAAATACTATTTTCTTCCATGTTATTTCTTTTTAGTAGTTAAAATTCTTAAGTTGCACATGGATAAACTGTGAAGCTTATCCGTACTTCACTGAAGGCATTAATAGAATTGTCGTGAAGGAGAATGAATGGCATTCAGCTACTGTTGGCTTTGTTTGGGGCTTGTTCACAGCAGCTGCACACTTATTCTGTTGCTCTCTAGGTACACCTTTCCTTCTGTTCTATTACTACTACACATTAGTGTCAACAAGGGAGCCCAGGTTCCATAAATCACTCACACTACCCTGTCTCTATGTTGGCTTATCTGATCCAAATACACTTATACTTCATCAACATTAAGTTTCAACTGTTCACGTCATCCCGTTAAGAATGTATTTCTGCATTACTTCAAAGTCAAACTTCCAATCTTCTAGATTCAGGTCCTTTTATTGAAATGCGGGAAAACGAACGTCATCCATGCATTTAGGGAAATTTTCCCAGAATCCTTCCATATTACTGATAATCTGAGACAAATGTCATGTGAGATGTGGTAAGAAAAGTCAGATGAGAAGTCTTTTAGAACCATTGTGCCAAGCTGAACCTTGAATAGCAGGGAAAAATATTTCAAAGGAGGATAAAATTTCCAAACATATATGAAATAGAAAAATGTACTATGCAGAATATAGCATAAATGTATTCACAGTCTATTCAAATGGATAGGTCTTCTTCAGAGTTATCAATACTTTATTTTTGGAGTACTTTTTTTTTTTTTTTTGAGATGGAGTCTCACTCTGTTGCCTAGGCTGGAGTGCAGTGGCGTGATATCAGCTCATTGCAACCTCCGCCTCCCAGATTCAAGCAATTCTCCTGCCTCAGCCTCCCCAAGTAGCTGGGACTACAGGTGCGTGCCACCATGTCCAGCTAATTTTTGTACTTTTAGTAGAGACGGGGCTTCACTATGCTGGCCGGGCTGGTCTCAAACTCCTGACCTTGTGATCCACCCGCCTTGGCCTCCCAAAGTGCTCGGATTACAGGCATCAGTTACCGTGCCTGGCTTTTTCTTTAATTGACAAAATTTGTAAAAATTTGTGGTGTACACCGCATGTTCTCACTCATAGGTGGGAATTGAATAATGAGAACACTTGGACACAGGAAGGGGAACATCACACACCAGGGCCTGTCGTGGGGTGGGGGGATGGGGGAGGGACAGCACTAGGAGATATACCTAATGTAAATGACGAGTTAATGGGTGCAGCACACTAACACGGCACATGTATACATATGTAACAAACCTGCACGTTGTGCACATGTACCCTAGAACTTAAAGTATAATAAAAAAAAATTGTGGTATACAACCTGATGTTTGATAAATACAGTCAGCCCTCCATATTTGTGGGTTCTGCATTCATGGATTCAGCAATCTAGGATAGAAAATATTTGGGGAAAAAAATTCCAAAGTTCCAAAAAGCAAAACTTGCATTTGCCATGCACCAAGTACTAAGTTGAATCCATGTGAATGAAGTGATGTACAGGCATTGTATTTGCTAGTATATGTTAATCTAGATATAATTTAAAGTATAAGGGAGGACGTGCAATACTATACCATTTTATATCAAGGACCTTGAGCATCCTTGAAATTTGGTATCTGCTGGGGTGCTGGAACCAATCCTTCAAGGATAACCAGGGATGACTACACACACTATGGAACAGCTAAATCAAGCTAATTAATATGTGCATTACCTCACATGCTTATTTTTTTGTGATGAGAACACTTAAAATCTACTCTCTAAGCAATTTTCAAGCAAAAAAAATTCTCATTAACTATAATCACAATAATATACAATAGAATTTCTTGAAATCAGAGTTATCAATTCTTTAAATAATGACATTTTCATCATAGGAAATAAATGTGTAAGGGGATTTAACGATAAAATATGTTTGAATTTAAGCAACTTTCACTTTTTAAAAACATACTTAAGAAAATGTATCTAAATGATGACAGCTGCCACTTTGACAAACTTTTAAATTCTGTATGTTAACAACTGTAGGATGTGACTACAGTATTAAACTATCTGTCATGAATTGGCACTGCTAAGTGCAGTGCTAGACAGGTTTTAGCAAAGTTAGCAATACTAATTACTTAAACTAGGGCCTCCAGAGTCTCTGAAATCACTGTAGTAAGGATTGATGAACCGACCTGGCCCCAGAAAACTTCCAGAGATGCTTTGAAGTACTTTCAAGTATAAAATGAATGCAGTGTGTTAAGTAGTGGTTCACTGCTATTTTGCCAAGACAGACGGATATAAAGGGAATTTTTTTCAGGTTGCAATTTCTTCAGAGATAATACAGCTAATCAAAAAAAAAAAAAAAAAAAAACAGAAATTCACCAAGTTAACACACCACTTCTGAATATTTTTAAAATGAGTCTTTGTGCAATGAGAGATATTTGAATCATGGCATTAAGAAGTGTGCCAATTACCAGTTTCAAAATAAAATGGATACTCTAAAGTTTGCGATCTCCTAAGACACAGAGTCTTTGGAAATAAAGCCAAAATGTCATGATAATGCAGTCCCAAATTCTTGTATGTCTACTGGTCCTTCTATAACCAGACCCCGCCTACCTTGCTTCAAGCTCATCACATGCCTCTATGTTGCAGCTCTATTGACTCCTATTTATTTATTTATTTATTTATTTATTTATTTGTTGAGATGGAGGCTCACTCTGTTGCCCAGGCTGGAGAGCAGTGGCGTGATCTTGGCTCACTGTAACCCCTACCTCCCAGGTTCAAGTGATTCTCCTGCCTCAGCCTCCCGAATAGCTGGGATTACAGGCACATGCTACCATGCCTGGCTAATTTTTGTACTTTTAGTAGAGGCGGTGTTTCACCATGTTGGCCAGGCTGGTCTGGAACTCCTGACCTCAGGTGACTCTGCCTGACTTGGCCTCCCAAAGTGCTGGGATTGCAGGCATGAGACACCACACCCAGCCTGCTCTGTTGACTTCTGATATGCTTTGGCTGTGTCCCCCTCAAATCTTATCTTGAATTGTAGCTCCCATAATCCCCATGTGTCATGGGAGGGACCCAGTAGGAAGTAATTGAATCATGGGGGCGGGTTTTCTCATGCTGTTCTTGTGATAGTAAGTCTCATGAGATCTCATGGTTTTATAAAGGGCAGTTTCCCTACACATGCTCTCTTGCCTGCTGCCATGTAAGACATGCCTTTGCTCCTTCTTCACCTTCCACCATGACTGTGAGGCCTCTCCAGCCATGTGGAACTGTGAGTCCATTAAACCTCTTTCCTTTATAAATTACCCAGTCTCAGGTACGCCTTTATTGGCAGTGTGAGAATGGACTAATACAGCTTCCTTTTCATTTAAACATACCCAGCTCTTTCTCAACTGACGGATTTAGATTTGTGGATCCCTCTGTCTGGAGATATTTCGCTCCTTGGCTTTTGACGGAGCTGGCTTCTCAGCATGGTTCATGTCTCAGAGACGTCTTTGCTAAACAATTCATCTAACTCATCCCCTCTCCCCAGTTCCCCTCTGTCTGTACTTCCTTTAAAAAACTGTTCATGTGGTAAAATATGCAGAACACAAAAAGTACCACCTTAACCATTTTTAAGTGGACTGTTTAGTCACATTAAGTACATTCATATTGCTGTGCAACCAATCTCCAGAACTTTTTCATCCTTCAAAACTGAAGGTCTATAGCCCTTTGACAATAAGTCAATTTTCTCTCCTCCCTCCACCCCCTGGCAACCACCATTCTGTCTGTCTCTATGATTTTGACTGCTTTAGGTACCCCACATAAATGGAATACTCTCAAAGACAGTATTTGTCTTTTAGTGACTAGCTTATCTGACTTAGCATCATTTCCTCAAGGCTTATTCATATAATAGCATGTGTCAGAATTTCCTTCCTTTTTAAAGCTGAGTAATATTCTGTTGTATGTACATAACACCTTTTGTTTATCCATTTATCCACCAATGGACACTTTGGTTGCCTCTACTTTTAGCTATTGTAAATTATGCTTTCATTAACATAAATGTACAAATAGCTCTTTGAAACCTTGCTTTCAATTCTTCTGGAGATATATACACAGAAGGGGGATTGCTGGATTGTATGGTAAATAATATGTTTAACTCTTTGAGGGACTGCTGTACTGTGTTAGACAGCAGCTATATCATTTTACATTCCCACCCACAGTGCATACGAGTTCCAATTTCTCCACATCTTTGCTGACACTTTTTCTTTCTATATTTCCATTTTAGCATGTTTCTATCTACCTTTGCTCATGCATTCATTTTCTTATTTCTGGGGCAGTTTTGGAGACAAAATTGCCAAAGGAGATTGAGAAACCAATCTAAAAGATGGAACAGATTCTTTCTGAAATGGTTTTGATGTAGTCTGTAATTAAAACAGGCAACAGAATCAAGGAAAATTTAATATCCTATTCATTGAGCACTGACTATTGAAAGTGCCAACACTGAAAAGGCTCTTGTTTGTTCCTTCTGTAGAAACCTTAGAACTTAGTAGGGCGTAGGGCCCAGCCAGCACAGAGATCTGCTCCCTCTTTCTTACTTGCTCCAGTGACTTTGGTCATTTTTTGTTTGTTTGTTCTGTTTTGTTTTGTTTTGCTTTGAGACAGGGTATTACTCTGTGGGCCAGGATGGAGTGTGTCTTACTCTGTCACCCAGGATGGAGTGCACGATCACAGCTCACTGCAACCTCAACCTCCCAGGCTCAAGAATCCTCCCACCTCAGCCTTCCGAGTAGGTGGGCCTATAGGCACGTGCCACCATGCCCAGCTAATTTTTGTATTTCTTATAGAGATGGGTTATTCCTGTGTTGGCCAGGCTGGTCTCAAACTCCTGGGCTCAAGCGAGCCTCCTGCTTTGGCCTCCCTTAGTGCTGAGACTACAGGCATGAGCCACTGCGCCTGGCCTGGTCAGCTTTTAACCTTAGCTTTTTTATGAGAAAAATGGAGATAAGGGAATCCACTTATGGAGGTGGTGTGTATATGTGTGTGAGCATTAAATGACCATATCTAGGACATAGAACACACTAAATAAGGCTAGGTGCAGTGGTTCATGCCTGTAGTCCTAGCTTTTTGGGAGGCCAAGGCAGGTGGATCACTTGAGGCCAGTAGTTCAAAACTAGCCTGGCCAACATGACGAAACCCTGTCCCTACTTAAAATATAAAAATTAGCCGAGTATGATGGTGCACACACGCCTGTAATCCCAGCTACCTGAGAGGCTGAGGCATGAGAATTGCCTCGAGCCCAGGAGCTGGAGGTTGCAGTGAGCTGAGTTCATACCACTCCATTCCAGCCTGGGCAACAGAGCAAGAGCGAGACTCTATCTCAAAAAAGAAAAGAAAAGAAAAGAAAGAACTCAATAAGTGGTAGATATTACCTCAAATTATACAACTGATTATCCTTTATATTGTTATACTACAGGATTTTTCCATGCAGTCTGGAAATTTACATACCATCTATCTACTGTCTTGTAGAGTATCTAGATTAAATTAAAATTTAAAAAAACTATATAAACTTGCTCAGCAGTCACGATTCTGTACTTTATCATCTGTACCCCCATCTCTGTCTTGTAGACCATTGTATTCCCAGCCTAGCAAAAAAATTTGACCCAGAACAGACACGTAAATTATCGAATATCTCTATCAGTGATTATAAATATGCCTCCTAGTTATATATGGGAATATTCCAGTGACTCCTAGAAAAAGAGTTAAGAATTTGAAAGGAGTTCTGAAATCTTTCTAAGAGGCAGTGCCAGATCATTAGCAGTTTGTAGAGAGGCAGTGAATTGGAGTGGCCTTTAGGTACCTAGGTTGAAAGAACAGCTTAATTCCTTTCCTCTATACTTAAAGTATCATTTTTATTGTTATTAAAAATTGCTAATGTCAACTGAATGAACACATTACCCAGTTCACGGCAGCCTAAGTTGCTGAGGTAAGAAATTATAATGATTAGTTATTGGAGGGAAAACCATTACATGAATACAATGGAGAGTCACAGAGCAACAACTAGATAATTTCTGTCTAACTATTGGGTAATTAATGCAGTAAGAAAATAACATGTACATATTGGAAATGAAGAATTATAGATTATTTGCACTTACTTTCTTTCAGTGGCAATTAAATTAACTATCTTTGATTTCTCACCTGTTACCATGGTTATTTTCAGTGATCCAGGTCATTAATGTCTTGAATATAATAGTTACCTTAAAATTACAGCTCTTTCAACTTTGTGAAAGATTCTAAAGGGACTGTGAAAGAGAAAGCTGCTGGCTCAGAGGAAGAGAGCTGCCTATTGAAGGCAATGGTTTAAGTATCTTGAAAGCAAAGAAGTCCCACATTGTGTTCCTTCTTGGTGTTGTCCAATAGTATCAGATTTATTTTGAGGAGTATGAGATTTTGTGAGCTTAGGATAGCAATGAATGGGCAGGTGTTTTCACAATAGTGAATTCTAACTGGTGTTTTCACAATAGTGAATTCTAACTATGCTACTGACTAGCTACATGGGAAAGTGTTAATTTTTCCACCCAGTGATGGAAATAACGAGTTCTCTCTACTTGACTACTGAAAATTTTGGGAATAGATTATATATTGATTATATAATGAGAAACAAATACAAAGCAATCCTCAAATGGCTCTTTCTAAAAAAAAAGTTGAATAACATATGGGGCTTCAGTGGAGTCACAACAGCGGGGTCCCACAGGTTCATGTCATGATCATTCCCGTGACCTTCCTCTCTAGAACAAATGACCCAACATTCAGGGCTGGCGGCGGCTAGAGGTGAGAGCCATGCTGTAAAAATCGAAACTCTACTTTGCTAATTCTGGTTTTTCTAGTTGACTTCTCTTTTCAAAAGTTATTTTACTCAGGCACTGATTGGTTTTTTTATCTAGTCAAATATTAACTTGTCTGGGCCTTGATATTATGTTCCTCAGATCTTCATCTTCTGTCCTCTTATTACATACCTTCTCCTTAAAGCTATCATCAAGTATCTCCCTAACATTTGCAGACCCAGGACAAGAGAACAAATGGGTGCCTTCCCTCTCTGTGGCCAGTCCTTCTCAAACAGCTGCCCCTTGGCCATGCTTCAGCCTAGAATTGCACACTCCAGTGGTGAAATATGACCTCTGAAAGACAGACTATGGAATAAGTGTGCACGGGCCTCACTGGAAAGTTGGCAGGTACAAGGTCTTTGAACAAAGAATTATGAGGTATGAGATACCTGGAGCATGTCTAGAATGGGGCTCATGAATTTCTCACATGCCCAGGGGATGGGGGTGCAACCAGAAAGAGCCTTGTAATGCATGAGGTGCATGACAGGGGCTCCAGTTTCCCAGGTCATTACGTTGTATGGAGAATATGATATACTTAAGGTGCAGACAGTAATAAATACCCTGCTGTAACTAAACCCCATTGGTCAAATCTTACCCGGCTCTATAAGCTGCCCTTATTGCCAGGACGCTGTGTCAATGTGCTGTGTCAAGACAGGAATGTGACACTGATTCACCAGGTCAGATCTGAGAGGTGTGTACCCTCTATGGAGCAACCCTTTACTCGAACAACTGGGGAGTCCAGAATCTGGAGTCTTCGTTTCCCGTAAAGAAACTATGGAAGGGCCTCTTCTCTACTCATATTTCCTCTGTAGAACTACACACTTTTTTCAAGAGTGAAGCAACAGGCCTAGAGCAACAGCTCTCACACTCCTCTTCAACCTCAGAGGAGTACAGAAAAGTTTGAAGCTAGGAGTTCAGATGTTTCTGGGAAAGAGAATGCAAAGTGAGGGCAGATGGAGGGGTCGACATTCCTTGCTTTAGAAAAATGATAATGCTTTGCATAGACTAAAAGACTGGGAAGAGTATGTGTTGGGGGTGGGGGTCTTCCTGCATAAGGGAGCAGTTGCTTCATTATTATTCTTTTTTTTTTAGGGGGATGGAGTCTTGCTCTGTCACCCAGGCTGGAGTGCAGTGGTGGGATCTTGGCTCACTGCAACCCCCGCCTCCCGGCTTCAAACAATTCTCCTGCCTCAGCCTCCTGAATAGCTGGGATTACAGGCGCCCGCCACCACGCCCAGCTAATTTTTGTATTTTTAGTAGAGACAGGGTTTCACCATGTTGGCCAGTCTGGTCTTGAACTCCTGACCTCGTGATCCACCTGCCTCAGCCTCCCATAGTGCTGGGATTACAGGCGTGAGCCACCACGCCCGGCCACCTCATTATTCTCAACAAACACTTGAAGAACCTACTATGTACTACTGTTACATTGAATAATGAGGAAATCAGTGGTGAACAAATTAATTGAGATCCCTACCCTTACCAAGTTTATAAGTCTTATAGATTAGATTAAAACTAGCCATTCTATTGATATGAAATTATAGACTGTGAAAAAATGCTCTGGAGGAAAATGCAAGGTATGAGAGCATACACCAGGTAGACCCAATCATGTCTGGAATATCAGAAAATGTTCTCCCAGGGGAATGTCAATTCACCTGATCTGAAAAGGATGAACTAGAGGTGAAGAATCTCCTAGCAGAAAACAAACAAACAAAAAACAAAACAAAAAAATCCCTCAATAGCCCTAAGCTGGGAAGGGAGTGCACCATGTGTGAGAAACTGAAGGAGGCCAGTGGGTCTGCTCTGCAGAAGGTGGGGGAGAAGGATAAGGGAGATCATATGGGGCCTTGCAGGCCAAGCCATAGATTTAGGTCCTCAGCACAATGAAAAGCCATTGATAGTTTTCCATTACGGAAGAGCTATGATCAGATGTGCAGGCTTAAAACCTCTGTCAGTACAGAACATTTACTGGAGCAGAGCAGCTGCTTGGAAAGACTCTTGACTGGGAGGATATTCCAGAATCCAGGCTTTCCTGGACTGGCCCAGGATGAATGGTGATGGAGATAAAGAGAAGCTGACAGATGAACAATATTTTAGGGGGCAAAATCAACCCAGGATATCAAAGATAAATGATAGGAAAGGTGACCATTGGTCTCTAACACAACAGGATGTCTGGTCGTATCATTTGTGTAATAAGCAAGTTTGGATGGGTAGAGAAGAGTTCAGTTTGGCCGCAGATAATCTAAAGGGCGGAGCAGTACATTTTTATTTTAATGATTAAATTTGTGCGACTGGTATCATGAAATAAGAGGCCCAATCAAGGATGCTTAAATCAAACTGGGGATGAGAGGGGAGATTCTTTGACTTTTTGGCATTTTTTATTTGTTTCCTTCTAGTAACTTAAAAAAAGCTAATATAAAACAATGTGTGTGTATTTTAACTAAGTTTAAAATTTTAAAACCTCGTTAATGAAGTCACAAGATTTTAGGGGTGGAAAAGATCACAGAAATTGTATAGAGTTGACAAACTTTGTCCCCCCAAAGCTTATGACTGGACCCAAATGTGTAAATGAAAATGTCAGAAATCAGCCAGATTCATAGAGATCACTGCAGCAGTGGCAGCAATGCTTTGTGCAATATCAGGATAGTGTGGTTCCCAGCCAGCTCATCACCAATATCACCTGGGGTTCAGGAGTTAGCAGGTGTGGTGAGGGGTGCATCTTTTTTTTTTTTTTTTTTTTTTTTTTTTTTTTTTTTTTTTTTTGAGATGGAGTCTCGCTCTGTCACCCAGGCTGGAGTGCAGTGGTGCAATTTCGGCTCACTGTAAGCTCCGCCTCCCAGGTTCACACCATTCTCCTGCCTCAGCCGGTGAGGGGTGCATCTTCTACAAACAGATGCTGGGCCCCCTCCCTGGAGATACACATCCTAGCAATCTGGAAGGGGGCACCCATGGGCATTTTAAAATGCCTTTAAGGTGATTTGATGATAGGCCAGATTCAGGGCCCACTGTGTTTAATATGCCACGATACCTTTCCTTAGATCATTTTATAAGATTATTACATTGATATTTTAAAAACAAACTGTTTATTTTTCCTAATTAAATGTTTTCTGTTCAAAGGCAAACAAAACTGTTCATTATGAAAAGTATTCATCACTGGTATGAGTTCAAAGATTTTAAATTCAGGGTTTGACACAGAGGTGAATGGTAAGAGGCTTATCTATTTCTGGGGAAAAATTACTTATTTCCAGACACAAAAAGATCCAATATAAATAATTCCCTTTTACGAAACAGAAATCCCTGGCTGTGCTAAGATTTTTCTAGAAATTTAGAATAGTTTAGTACTCCTAAGAATAAAATGTCTGATTTAGGCATTTCACTTTGAGCATTTTTTTAAAAAATAGAAAGATGCAATTGGTCAAAATCCAGCCCAATTTATTCTTTGTGGATTTAAAAACATTCAAAAGGATAAAAAAGGGGAGATATTTCACATAAAAGTGGACATTTTTATTAAACAGCATTAATATCAGATTTTCTGCAGAATATAAACAAGATAGCAAACTTGAAAAACTGAGCAAAATTGGATATTACCAATATAGCATAAAATAATCCCTTAAGTATTTATAATCAATCTAGACTCCAGTGAAAGGAAACACAGAGATCAAAGTTAAATGAAGCAATGATTAGGGACATAAAGGAAGGAAAGAGAGAGGTGCAGGGATGGTAGGTAGGGAACCAGCACATCTGGCTTTAGTAAAGAGATGAATATAGTGAGTTATTTTTTGTCTGACTGACCATTATGCCACAGAAACATGCAAATGCTTTTCTGGTTTCTTTCTTTGCAGATTCCATAGCACCTTTGTTTCTCTCTGTTCCTCCTCCTTCCTCTCTCTCTCTTTCTCTCTTGGTGGCCATTAACTACACTGACAGTTTGACAGGCTGAAATAACGAAATAAAACACTTAAACATTGTTTCCTGATGTATGCATTCATCTCTTCTGCCAAACACAGATATTGAGGAGATACTTCACTCCTCCTGTCAGCTCACTAAATTACACCCCAGCTCGCAGGCAACACCATGCACAGGCCTCTCAGTCTCAGCGCACCTCAGTTCCTACCAGAAGAATATGCAAGGACTTCATTCTTTTCACCCAAATCTTTCCTTAATACTGAATTTTCATCAACAAATTGGTGTTTTCTGTAAAAGCTGATTATTTTCCCATTTTTAAAAAAACCTCTGAATGTAATTTTATTTTGTAGGATTTCCAATTACTTGGACTTAAGTAATGGCAAATGAATACTAAACCATCGGTTACATGTTATATCTTTCTATTAACCAATGAAGAGTTTTGACTTTTTAAAACTAGATACTGACCATCCCAAACATTAACCCTTTTGACAGATCCAGTGGCAGAGAAAAAAGGCTGATCATGACACCCCAATGTGTACCATGAATAATAGATGCTTCTTTCATTCTTATTTGCACATGGCAAATAAAGTCAGACTTCTATAGAGCAAACTTTGAATGTCTTACAAATAATAATTTCTTCCAGAGAAGTTTGGTGTGGATTACATTTTGAGAGACTAATAGATAAGTGGGGCATGGTGGGGAGAAATAATGACTTTCATTGGGTTATTTATCTTCCTGTACCGCCATTAACATGAAGGAGGAGAAATTTCGAGGTGAAATATTTAAGAAATTTTTTTAAGACAAGAGAAACAAGACTTTAGGACCTCTTCCTTGCTGCATGCCTTCAACAGCATTTATTTAGTGCCTACCAGATGCAGTGCACGAGTATAGGTTCTGTGCAAAGATGGGAAGGAGAATCACGCATGTATCCTGCCTGCCTCCTCAGAATCCTGCAGTGATGAAGACGCCATCATCACAAGGAATTAGAATGCAAAGCAGGAGGTTCCAACGGAAGCACAGGGAAAATGCTACAGAAATTAAAAGGAGATAAGACTACCTACCCCACCAACCACAATTGAAACTGTACGCCTCAGCCAGGCTCGGTGGCTCACACCTGTAATCCTAGCACTTTGGGAGGCCGAGGCGGGTGGATTGCCTGAGCTCAGGAGTTCATGACCATCCTGGGCAACACGGTGAAACTCCATTTCTACTAAAACACAAAATCTTAGCTGGGCGTGGTGGCGTGGGCCTGTAATCCCAGCTACTCTGGAGGGTGACAAGAGAATTGCTTGAACCTGGGAGGCGGAGGTTGCAGTGAGGGTAGATTGTGCGACTGCACTCCAGCCTGGGTGACAGAGCGAGACTCCATCTCAAAAAAAAAAAAAAGAAAGAAGAAAAAAGAAAGCCTATTGAAATTGTATGCCTCAGTTTAGCCAAAACACCAAACAAATTTTCTATATTTTAAGACTTACATACTTTATTACAATCCCTTGTTTTGGGTTACCTACCTCCTTTGTCTGCCTATAAAATCCATGCCTTGTCTACTTTGTTCATTACCATATTTTCAAGACTGGCACAGTGTGTGGCACGTAACGGGCATCCAATAAATATTTGTTGAATGGATGAGTGAACTATTTTGTGATAATAAGAAGCAACTGAATCTGATTCTCTACAGGATGGTTTTCTGAGTTTCTTACTATCTTATTGAAAATCACCAATAAAACAGATGGGAGGTTTGTGTAAAAATGTGGGACACCTCAATAATTATAGATACTACATTTAATTAGCAAAATTGCTAAAACATAGCCAGGATCGAATGACTATTTTTATATAAAATTGAGGATTTCCTTTTACCAATAAGAAGCCTTCTTTGCAATCCAATAATCATTAGTGATTACAGTATTAATCACAAAGGTGATGCACAGGAAAATTCTCTGAAGTGTTCCTTTCTCCTCTTTGTTTTGTATCTTTCCCAAGAAATAATACTTAACTGCCAAAAAAAATTGTCCTTTCGGCGCCAATGGTCCCAGCTACTCGGGAGGCTGAGGCAGAAGAATGGTGTGAACCCAAGAGGTGGAGCTTGCAGTGAGCCAAGATCGCGCCACTGCACTCCAGCCTGGGCAACAGAGCGAGACTCCATCTCAAAAAAAAAAAAAATTGTCCTTTCACTGTCTTCCAAGAATGGTAATTTAGTTGTTGCTAATAAACATTATCAATAAAAGTGGAAGGTTACTACAGCAAGGATTACAAAGCAATAAATGGCAAGCATAGGTCATTAATCAAATCCACTTGAAGAACAGTTAAACCAGATAAAGTTAATTACCTTTACATTCAACTATTTGCTATCTAAATCATTTTGCTTCGTCAAACATTATCTAAAATAATATTTGCTACTATTTATTAAGCATTTATTTATAGACACTCTGGATAGTATTACATACATGCTTCTTCACTAAAGTCTCACGTTTACCTTAGAAAGGAGGTATATATCTATCCCCACTTCTCAGATAAAGAAAGTGAGGCATCAAAATTGTATCCTGGAAATTGAGGAATCCAAGTCCACCATGCTTTGAACCCCAGAAACATTTCTACTCCAACTATTCCATGCTTATCAGTACATAATGCAGTGACTACGTTTGCTTTGGCTTGAAATTCTCATATATTTCAAAAGGAAATTCTTCTTGGTAGTAGGGACAACTTTAAATTGAGCTTTTTCAAGTCAGTATAATGTGCAAAATACAAACTTAGTTACCTGAGTTGAAAACTATATCACATTATCCCATGAAAGAAGTCTTAAGCGATCTGATTCAAAATATCATTTTGATTATGGTGCAGAGGATTACTCATGAAGTTAAGGCTGGGTGAGGGCCTTGATGCTCCGGTCTTGCCGTTATCTGATGGATGAGTTAGGACACACACCACAGGATAATTTTGACTAATTTATCTACAGGCATCTTGCTCTTGCTTTCTCCCACTGTTCTCTCAAATGTCTTGGCAACATAATACCTTTTGAAATGTTTACAAGGGGCACTAAAGAAAATGGGCATGGAGGAAGAAGTTGTTCTTCTTGCTCCCCCTTAGCCATACTTTTGGGAAGAGATCTGAATAATTCAGACTCCAAAAACTGTACTCTTTCTATTGCAACATATTGCATTCCAATAATTTCTGCTGGTTTTAAGAAGTCAACAGAAACCCTGCTTTTGCATGCTCTCGTGCTCTTTTCTAAATTTAATTAATACATATTTTATCAAGGGATAAGGAAGAAGGCTAAGATTTTTTGTCATCAGCTTCTAAGACATCCAAATGATTCTAGACATACCCTACCTACTCTTGACCTGCAAAGACATTTGAATAGCCTTGAAAACAAAAAAGCTGTCTCTTTTCACCACACTTACATCATTCCCCAATTCTGGATTTAAAAATAGAATCTTCACTCACAACAACTAGATTTTTAGCTTATAATATGGGGAATAAAGGTCATAGGGAGAAAATGAAGAGGATTAGTGGAATTGTATAGAGAAAGAAAAGGAAGAAAAGAAAAAGGATGGCAGGGACGGAGGGAAGGGAGAAGCTGAATAAAATAAGGGAAGGAGACAGAATCTTTTTGTTATCCACAGCCTTTGGTAAAGTTACTTAGAAGTTTGCTTTAAAACAAAATTGCCTCTTTCAGTACTCAGTGATATTTTATTTCTGTGTAACTTCCTCCTCAAATAGGTTAATTACAGAGGCAATTAGTCTAGCTACACACAGGATGTCACTATTCCCTTATATAAATAGAACCAGCACACATGTTTCAGGCAGAGAAAAATATCTGTAAAGACCAAATTTCAAAATGTTATGGAATTCTGTGCAGTGAGATGCACTTTTGCCCAGTTTGGGTGAAATTTCGTGTTTTCATCATTCTTATTTGATGAATAGTCCTTATGTTTTATTATTCTCATGGAAATTCTTTATGTCAACTAGGAAAATCAGCTCAAATTATCATAAAAAGTCCAAAAAGTAGAGGGATCATGGCACTAGGTAACTGAACAGGAGTAAGGCCTTGTTAGCAAGGCAAATAGATAGGAAAAGGAGAGCTAGAACTAAAAAAGCTAATCTTATTATTAGTTTAAGCAAATATTCTGACCTATGCAGCCTCGAGGTTTTTTGTCTGAGTACTTCATTTTACATATTGAAAGTGTGGAAATTAGTAACTACTGTAGTTCTGAGATCTTAGTGGTTCATAGCGCAAGAGGCTTTTAAAGTGAGCTGTTCTAAAAACTGGATATATGTATCCCTGGGTCGCAAGATCCAGACTGAGTGATACACATGGAATTCACAGGAAAACTTGTTAAATCACTAATAATGGCATCCATTTTCGCCTGAAACCCCTAACTACTGATTATTGTTTATACATTTATCAAAACCAAAATGATAAAGTGCTCTTCAAAAGAATAAATTGCTATATCTAGTACTAAATACATATTCATAGAGGGCACTCCGTCCTTCTTGATGGTAGCTACCCAGGATGACAAAATTGAAAGACGCTGATGACACACTAAACATCTATGGTTCATTAACTCGCTTGTTTACTGTGGTTACAGTGAAAGCAAGGTCTTAGGTCAGCTCCTCGTATCGACCAGCACATTCCTTTCTCTTCTGTGGCCATAGAATATTCCATGCAGTTTTGACTGGCTCTCTCAAAAAAAAGTTTGCCATTGGTCACACCATGGCCTGAGAGAGGAAATTACATGACCATTACAACAACAAAAACAATGCAGATCCCATTTCTTGCTCAGTGATGGCCCCAGTGCATTCTTCTCATACATGAAACACTGCATGTTGCTTATAAATCAACCTAGAAAAATGTATGCTCGAGCCCTGAGATTACTCTGCCTGGGTGTGAATCCCGCCCCACCTCTTACTAGCTATTGAACCATGGCAAGTTATTCAATTTCTCTGTCTCCATTTCCTCAGCTGAAAAAGTGGGTATAATAATACTACCTGTTTCATGGGGTACTGTAGGAGGCTTAAATTATATAATACAAGCAAAGCCCAAGAACAATTCCTGGCACAAAGAAAGTCCTCAGTAAATGACAGGTACTCTAAGTATTCTGCACTGAAACAAACAGTGAACCAACAGTGATGAGGCTTTTTCAGGTTTTGTGTGTGTGTGTGTGTGTGTGCGCATGTGTGTGTGCGCATGCACGTGCGCACACGCACATGTGCATAAATATACAGGTCTTGCATTTAAATTTAAACCCCTATAAGAAAAAGTGGAATTTTAAACGATGGTTAAAATTGACAGGACAAACTGAGCCCTGTAAAGACCTCCATCAGCACTAGAATCTCCCCATAGTCTAGCCTGTCTGGTACAGCAGTCTCTCTGGGATTTCAGTTCAGGCTTACCTGAGTGTACAGCAGCAACAAGGTAGAATAGGCTTTCTTCTTCTACTCCAAGAGTCCAGAGCTACGCTGATGACACAGGGATGGGCAGAGACTGGAGTGATCTCCCTTCCAGAAGATGAACAGTGCCACTGAGAACCTAAATAACTGTTTTATAAGAGATCATTGGCTTTACTGCTTCTGTGTGACCTTTCTGTCCTATTTCCTCTAGAGGGTTTGATGGTGGGTGGGTAAGTCAACTATGCAGCTAAGTCAGCTAGGCAAATAAGTGTTTTGACTACAGTGCCTACAAATATAGAGATATGTGCATATGTATATTCTTTCCCATGCATGCACCAGGATAGCTCCAGAGTATGACAATTAAAAGTACGTTACAGAAGTCATAAGGGGCACATTTGGATATTTCCTTCAATATCACAGCCAAAAAAATAATGTTTGTTATTACAAGTCACACATACAGAGTGCTGAATTCAGTCCCATCATCTTTTCACTTGGGGATTTCCTGCTAAGATTTAGTCCTTTTGTGCAAGACAGTAACCTCTAGGTTTTAAAATTACTGGTCTTGTATTTTCAGTCACCGTAACAGCCTATTTGGACTGACTTCACGGGTAACCAGATCAATTGTGTAGACATTAATACTTAAGAGGGCGTGGGGAGAGGGAATCAACTGGAACACTCAGCCTATAAAATGGACGATAAAATCACTATCAGAATAGACACTATAAACAAAATAGAATTCTTCACAGCCCAGTTCTCCCTTACACAAATTAGTGCATAGTACAACTCAAATCAGCCCTGATGACAGGACTCTGTGATCAGGTAAGGAGTCGACACCAGGAAACTAATATTAACCTGGCTGGTCAGTTATAGGCGTGCTACCCTTTCCCCTCTAACTCAATACTTTAGATGAGTTTGATATTTAATAATTAGCTAGATATTTTATTCAGGGATTTTTCTCTCAAATTCTATAGGATCTCAGAAAGAAAATCACAGTGGGCTAAGAAACCACAGTGAAAAAAAAAAAAAAAAAAGGAGGGCTATTAGCATAACAGCATTATACATATAATAAAGTGTCTTGATCCACCAGTAGAATTAAGTGATTTGCAAGACCCAATTCCTCAAATTCATCATTCACAGATACGTAAAAACATGTAATCAAATATTATTCCTATTACACACTATATAAAAATATATGAAATATTTATTGATATTAAAACATTTATAATTATAGAGCTACTAACTTTATCCTTACTGTTATTTAAATAATGAAAATTCACCTGTGAAATAACATCTACTAAATTTTGATAAGTTGGTTTTACTCATGCTTTTTTCCTGTTTGCGCTGCTTTTTCCCCTTTTCTCTCTCACCAGACTCTTGGTTTTACTGAGCAAAAAAAAATTAGTAATAATTTAGATTCATTTTTTGGCTACATATATTTAATAGTTTCGCCTTCCCCTCTGTCTCTTCTTTCTGCCATCACTTCTGGAACACAGCCAGAAGCCATGCTGGAGCGGTGCCAGCATGCCCTGTTCTTTTGCAATTTGATTGCCTCTGTATACATCTCAGTTAGGCTTACCTAAGTCACCATTTACAATATTGAGTAGAAAGAGCAGGTTGAAATAGTCAGCATTTATAAGCCCACTGGTTACATGATACAAAATATATAGCCAAGTGTAGAATTTATAGCAATAACATTTATGTATCATGTTACTCCTAGGACAATCTAATTTATAAAGTGCCTATTGTGTATACATAAGGAATAATCATAAATCATTTACATTAAACAGTGTCAACTGTTTAACCCAACTTTCCCCCTAAATTCTACAGACTGAGATTAATGAGGATTTTTAAAGGAAGCACATGAAAAAAAAAAAAAGTCTGATTCATCTTAGGTGAACAACATACCCATATATAGGAGCAGGTGTCTGTAGTATGATTTAGAATACCTATGGAACATCTCTGGAAAATATTAACTTCCTCTGAAGTAGAGAAATGTCCATGAAGGTGAGGTGGGAATGTGGCAAGAGCCCAAATCTGTCACCAACCTCAAGCTTTCTTTTATTTCCTTCCCAGGAAAGAATGGATTTAAAACAAACAAACAGAAAACCTTCAGGCCCTATTGGATCAGTTGTCTGACATGTTTTCGTCGGCAGGCATTTTTAGAAAACCTGAGAAAGATTATTTAGATTAGATGCTTTGTCTCTTTGACTCCCAGTTAGAGAAAAATCCCAATCAGTGACCGAAGCTTTCAAGAGTCCTAAAGTGAAACTCAAAACATGTATGTGAATTTTCTCCCTCTGTTCACTCCTTAGCTCATGTCCTATTCAGAGGGGCAATTGTCTTTACTAATCTATGCTTTGGGGTTCTCAATGAAACTCATTCTGCTCCTTAAAAGCCCTTAAAATTAATAATAGGAAATGTTTTTACAATTCACATCTGTAAATGCATTTCGTCTTATCTGAAACTCACACCTACACAGCCAAATTGGACATCACATAAGAAAAATATGGTTTGGATTTTTCTTACAGTATTTTGATGCTCTATCTTCTGTCCTTAGAAAGGACTACAAGAATGACATAATCTTCTTGCCTTAACCTACACCCTTAAAAATATCCATTGATTTGTGTCAGCCAAAACTGAACAACTTAACATTTTTTCATATATATATATATATATATATATATATATATACACGAATAAATTTGTTCTTTATTCTTTACATAAGTGAGAAATTCACTTTTCCTCCAAACTCTATTGATGACTGATACTACTATGGAGAGAATCAATTCCCTAGCTAGGTTAAAATTAAAACTGGAACTGAAAATCAAAGGAAGGAATGCATAGCAAGAAAATCTGTAAATCACTTTTCTGAGAATGAACTACCTGCTGTTTTCTACTCACAGAAAATTGACACTATGTAAACATATGTTGTAACCTAGAAAGGAGAACAAAACAAAATCTATACAAACACAGAATGATCAGAAATCCATGAACGTCTCAGTCGAAGCAAGAACTGGTGGCAAACAGAGGTTTGGGGAAAGAGTTTATTTTCTAAATAACATGTTAATCTTCATAATCAGATACACAATGGCCTTTGTATAACTATTTTGAAAGCTGATCATCCCCCAAAATAGCTGTATTTCAGTGGCATTAATTGGTAGGGGAAAAATGATATATTTCTCCACAACTTGGGTATATTAAACTTGAGGAGCAGTAATGACTCATTTTTCTGGTTCAAAAGTTTATTCATTCATGACGAACAGTGCTAAATTCACAGGGTTTTCATTTGTGCAAAGAGACAAAAGGTGACACACTGTAACGTCTTTATTTAACATATTTATTCTTCAAAAATATCTGGTAAACAAGGAATTCTTTCCCATTTTTGAGTGATATTTTGAGTTGCTCAAGAGGAAAAACTGTTATGCTCAAGTGAAGCAACTTAAAACTCCAGGCTGACTCCTTCTTTCAAGAAAGTAAGGAATCTATGTAACAATAAAGCATAATCATGACTTCCATCTTCCATCTCAGTGAGAGCTACTCTTGTCTTCACCTTGTTAAAAGGTTAATTTCTTCCCAATTGCATAGAAAAATAAATGATCACCATGTAGGCATTTAGAAAGTACCCATGTTTTCCTATGATTGACCTATACCTTCTATCAATTCTGTCTAAATTACTCAATTAAAAATAATTATTAAGAAAATAAGTGACTTCATCAACATGTTCCAAAATAAAATATGGATAAGAAGAAAAAAAATCAGCTAATCTGCACAAAATTTGATATAATTATTGAAAATGATTTTCTTTACAAATTAATAAATAGACTTGATTAATACTTTTTTAACTGAAGTTGAAGAGATCTGGGATACATATAGACACAGGCTTCTATAGCAATAAAAGCTATTGAATCAACATTAGGAAACTTCTTTTCCTAATATGTCTTTTTATGTTGCCAGTGTAAAGTGCTTACCTTAAATAAAAGATTTTGCCTAGTTTTTTTAATACAAATACTAGCAAAGAAGCACCCCCAAGGCTGAACCACTCATTTCCACTTTAGTTAACAAAATGATGTAACTTGCTTTTATTCTTAATTTGGTATTATCATTTAAACTACTTGTTACATATTATCCTCATTTTGCCTCTTTATTCAGGAAATAGTCCCAGTAACAACTCATTATCCTGGATGGCTATGGGTATCAATGCTGTTTTTGTTTGTTCTAGAAGGCATCAATTCAATGTCACTATTCGAATTTCTTATCCTAGAACCCACAGATTGCTAGGAAATCCGAAGGCTTCTAGAATGACATGCAAATTTTCATGTATATGTCCCCATTGTGATTTTTCTGGCAACAATCCATTCTTTCTTTGCTACCTAGCATTAATGCAGCCTCTTTCAGTTAATAGTACCCTATTTCCTTCTGGGATACAAACCCAATGCCTAGTCCATGAAAATTACAAAGGTGATTCTGCTCTCTGCTCCAAGAGAGGGGCACAGGATTATTCAGTGATCTAATCAGAATGAATTAGGACAAAGACACTTTTGATAGGGCTTCTGGAAAAGGCATCTTCTCTTTTTCAGCTTGAAGCCTGAGAGGATGTTACAGTTGAAGCAATGCCCCGCCACCATCTTGCTACCAAATGAAGTCAGAGACTGAAGCTGTATTAGTGGAAACTGAGAGATGGAGAGAAATTGAATTCTGTTTACATTATTTTAATTCAGAAGTTAGATCTGTGCCTGGATTTTTCATATGTTAGTAAAGCACATGCACACACATTCATACCATCCTATTCCATAATATTTGCATAGCTGACTCCTTCTTCAGTGTAACTATTACTGGCTTTCTTTGACCTTTCCTATCTAGTGTAAATTCCCCCCTGTACTCTGTACTCTTGACTGCAGTCCCTCCTACCTGTCTTTAATCTTATTACATATTATCAAAATCACATGCCGTATGATGTTCATTAATTTGGTACAGAGGAATTTTGTCAGTTTTCCAGTCCTTTTCAATTAAATTTACACAATGCAGGATTATTTTCTAGTGGAGAAAAAGACAGAGAGAAAGCAAATGGGTAGAGGAAGGAGAAAAGAAAAAAAAAGGAAGAAAAATAGGCTTTAAAAACTGACAGTTCAAATAGCCATGTAGTTAAGTTTCATTTAATGGTGAAACAAATTGAGATTTTGCTTAGACACATATAAGAAAATCCATTTTGCTTAAGTATCTTTAGCAGATATTAGTAGGAAATAATTTTTATGCATTCTGATCTCAATTACAACCAGACTTAGCTGACATAATTATGGGGCCCCTAAAAGTAACTGCTGAGGTTTGAAGCACTTGCCACTTCCTATGAGCTGGCTCTATAAATGCCAAGAGTGAGTATTTTAAATTAAATGAATAGATTAATAAACATCTTTGGAATATCCATCATTAAGGCTGATTTATGTTCTGTTGCCAGCAGTAATTCAAAGAAATGCCACGCTATTCAAAAAATATTGCATGTTGTCCTACCACTTTGCCAATGTTATGACACCACATAATTATGACAATATCTATATTCTTTTGCAATACTAACTATACACAAAAGCCAATAGATATTAAACCACTTTAAGTTTACATGGGCATCAGCATGGGAACAACTCATATTTATAACTCTGATGAATGGCCTTTCATTTGTAAATTTATAGTGTATCCATAATTTCTTAGGAAACCAAGAGGTTCATTCAAAAAATTGCCACAACATTTATCTATGCAAAGATGATGGATATGGTTTATGTAATTAAATGTTTTTAAAAATTAAAATCATATTGCCAAGAAAAGAGACATGTTCTTTCCTGGTTTCCTCATATTTTAAAATGATCAGAACCGCATTCTCAGCAGTTATGATGTTCAATCTAAACAGTGTATTAACACTTATTAAATACATCCAAATACATCCTTGTTAGAGTTGTGTAGCATTTTCTTGAACTACTAGAAATTAAGTTCAACTTAAATTTCTTATCTTATTTTCTAATTCTATTCCCCTACAATGAACTATAAAAGATAGAAAGCAGCATTAGAATATAATAGTTTTTGTTTATATTTACTGCATTTACTATATTTAGTTCTTCAGGACTACTCAAGGCATCCTGCATGGTTACTGTAAGAAAAAACTATTATAATTTTTATTATGACTCAAATAAAATACATATTTTGGCAAAAATCAACATTAATTAAGGAAGGAAAGATACATTTTATCCCAATATAGACTTTGCTCAATTGGAGGAACTGATGAAGTAGGAGAAGATGAAAGATAGCAATTATCAATAAAGTAACCAATAAAAAGCAGAAGAGTCAATGTTTTATGTGTGAAGAAGAAATGTACATTGTTGCTAATGTGTGATGTGCTTTGGTGGCATTTCTAGTCTACTTTCATTTGCCTTCAAATACACACAAGTGTAGGAAGTACAGACATGTCTCAGTGGCTTTTTAAAATTTAATCTGCCCTATTACTACAGAATCTACAAAAATTGAACCTGTTTTTTATTGATTTGGTTATATGAGAAACCATCTCCAAATTACCAACATTTTTTGGCATTAGTACATTCGGTAAAAGGAAAAATTGTGCCAAATACTTGCAAAATTTATTTGCCAAATTCTTTTTACATATTAGCTCTCTACACACTGCTTAACACAAGCATCATATTAAAAATAACAGAATAAACATTGTACATACCCCAGTAGGTCGCTAACTCCTTGTGGGCAGGAACATATTTTTCATCATCTTTGGGTCACCAATGGCCAGCACAGCACCTGGGATATAACACACACCCCATAAATGAGTTTGCATTCATTAAATGGTACAGTGCTGATTGGATTCCATTTGGAAGGTATGAATTCAACGAAGTAACCATCCATATATCAACCTTCTTCCTGTATATCCTACATTATTAAAGGAGCACTGCACATTCTTATAAATCTAAATGACAACTTTATTCTAAAAACTCCATTCTTGAGAATAATTGCTTCTAAATGGTTATTATATTACATATCATTATACTCTTTCAGTTTTGGTGGAAGCAACCCAGTGAAGTGTTTGAGATGTCCTTTGGAGTTAGGCCAACAGAGGTCCAAACCCTGGTTCCACCACACTATATATACAGTGTTGGATAAATTACTTAATCTTGCTAAATCCAGCTGTCTGTAAAGTAAGGGTAACTGTAGTGTCTTTCTAATAATGTTGTTCAAAGGTTTAAAGGAGACAACGCCTAGCATGCTGTCTGACACACAGTATACCGTCTTCATCTTCCCCCTTCCCTCCTCATTGATGGAGTGAAGAATTAACCTTGGCCAAAGAGATGGGCATCTGCCTTCAGCTATGAGAACATGATCTCCTGAACTCAAAATGTCATAGGAGTGTCTTTGTTTGGCTGAAGGCTTTGGCCACTGAACAGTCTAACAATGTGATTTACAGTGGGTGGTTTGGGCCAAGCAGTATCAGTTTTGCCTCTCGAAGGGGCCAGAAACTAAAACTTTCAGCCCAACACCAACATTCAAAAGGGGTTGGAAACTAAAGGTCAGCCATGTAGGGGACAGTATGTAGTCAAGTCCCACTAAAAACTCTGGACACCAAAGGCTCAAGTGAGCTCCCCTGGCTGGCAATGCTCTGTTCATACTGTCACACATCGATGCCTGGAAAGTGACATATCCTGACTCCATGGTGAGGACAACAGAAGCTCTGTCTCTGGTAATTCCCCAGACTCTACCTTACATATTTCTTCTCTTCGCTGAATTTAATCTGTCTCCTTTTCTTAAAACAAACCATAACTGTGAGTATAACAGCTTTCAATGCATTCTGAGTCTTTCAAGCAAATTGCTGAAGCTGAGGTTGGTTTTGGGAACCCACTAAACCTGCAATTGATGTCAGAAGTGTGGATTATATTGTGCAGAGAACTGGCTTCCTCTAATCTTGACACTAACAATAGAGTTAGTTAAACTTGCCCACTTTCCTCCTTTAAATCTACAAAGTCCAAAAAGCTTCGAAAGCTAGCTTACTTTACCACTCAAGTGAACTTACTAACAAAGATCTCACTGTTAAAATTCACTTTGACTTGATATTTACATATAAATTATATCCCATTGCTTATTTTTTCTCACACAAACAGTAAAAGCCATTCCTTCCCTATTCCCAATAATAGATATAGAAATTGTTTTGGGGTTTTTGTTTTGTTTTGGTAAAGTGAATGGTAGTAACATTTAGAAATGAATGAATCACACACAAGTAAAACTTCTAAATATTATTAGTAGTAGATCTGTCAAGGTCAGATGTTAGAAAATAAACTTCATTAAAAGATGTACTGGTTTTTGGCCGTGCGCGGTGGCTCACGCCTGTAATCCCAGCGCTTTGGGAGGCCAAGACGGGTGGATCATGAGGTCAGGAGATGGAGACCATCCTGGCTAACACAGTGAAACCCCGTCTCTACTAAAAATAGAAAAAAAATTTAGCCGGGCGTGGTGGCAGGCCCCTGTAGTCCCAGCTGCTCAGGAGGCCGAGGCAGGAGAATGGTGTGAACCCAGGGGGCGGAGCTTGCAGTGAGCTGAGACTGCGCCACCGCACTCCAGCCTGGGCGACACTGCAAGACTCCGTCTCAAAAAAAAAAAAAAAAAAAGATGTATTGGTTTTGGCCAGGCACAGTGGCTCATGCCTGTAATCCCGGCACTTTGGGAGGCGAAAGCAGGTGGATTGCTTGATGCCAGGAGTGTGAGACCAGCCTGGCCAATATGGCGAAAACCTGTCTCTACTAAAAATACGAAAATTAGCCAGGCGTGGGGGCACGCGCGTGTAGTCCCAGCTACTCGGGAGGCTGAGGTGGGAGAATCGTTTGAACTCAGGAGGCAGAGGTTTCAGTGAGCCGAGATCGTGCCATTGTACTCCAGCCTGGATGACAGAACAAGATTCTGTCAAAAGACAACAACAACAAAATGACTGGTTTCCTAACAAAATATTAGTTAAGTCACATATTCCTTGTATTTCTCCTAAGTGCTTTGGTTGTTCCATGCAAGAAAATGCCTTGTTAATTTTTTTAAACAAATGACAATTTGGTAGAGAGAATAGGAAGAACACCCCAAAGATCCTACTGAAATGTTGAATATGCTCAGGTTAATGCCCAGGAATGTGAATATAATGGATTTTATTCCATGAATAGGTTATATTATATAACACAGGTGATTTTGAGACAGATTATCTACATGACCCTTACCTAATCAATTACGTATGTCTTTTACATTTTAGTCTAGAAGTTGAAGAGAAAATGGAGATCTGAAGCACGAGAAGGATTTGGCACACCACTGATGTCTTCAGAATAGAAAGTACACATGGCAAAGAATATAGGCAGCCTCTAGGGCCTACGGACAAGCCCTAGCTAACAGCCAGCAAGGAAGCAAGGACTTCAGTCCTAAAAATACAAAGAGCTGAATTCTGCCAAAAACAAGTATAAGTTCGGAGACAGATTTTTCCCCCCCAGGGCTACAGACAAAAACTCAGCCTGGACAACCTTGATTTTAGCCTCATGATACCCTGAACATAAAACCTAACCAGGCTGTGTTGGATTTCTGACCTTCAGACCTGTGAGCCAATAAATGGGCATTGTTTTAAGCCACTAAATTTGTGATAATTTGTTATACAGGATCACAGGCTTCTGCAAGTCTTATATCAACTTCTCTTTAGTCTTTCACCCTGAAAACAGGAGTCAGTTATGGGCTACGTTTCCTTAACCATATAGACACCAGATTGCTATTCCTGAAACTGACAATTCTTGTACCCACTCTGAATAACGAATACAAAACAAGGTACTAAGTTGTATGTAAAGAGATCATTTGTGCCAGGCGTGGTGGCTCACACCTGTAATCTCAACACTTCGGGAGGCCGAGACAGGCGGATCACCTGAGATCAGGAGTTCCAGACCAGCCTATCCAACATGATGAAACCTCATCTCTACTAAAAATATGAAAATTAGTCAGGCATGGTGGCACACACCTATAGTCCCAGCTACTCGTGAGGCTGAGGCAGAAGAATGGCTTGAACCCAGGAAGTGGAGGTTGCAGTGAGCCGAGATCATGCCACTGCACTCTAGCGTGGGTGACAGAGTGAGACTCTGCCTTTAAAAAAAAAAAAGAGAGAGAGAGAGAGATCATTTGGAAAACTCAACTGCCTACCTCCTGTGAGAAATGAACTCAAATACACAGTAAATTCCTTCCAACTTTTCTTAGGTCTTTTTAAAAGGTGAAAGTAAGTGGTAACTGCTGCTTCTTTTTTCATATTATTATACTTTAAGTTCTGGGGTACATGTGCAGAACGTTCAGGTTTGTTACATAGTTATACACGTGCCATGTTGGTTTCCTGCACTCATCAACCCATCATCTACATTAGGTATTTCTCCTAATGCTATCCCCACTAGCCCCCCAGCCCCCAACAGGCCCCAGTGTGTGATGCCGCCTACTCCTGTGTCCATGTGTTCTCACTGTTCAACTCCCACTTGTGAGTGAGAACATGCAGTGGTTGGCTTTCTGTTCCTGTGTTAGTTTGCTAAGAATGATGGTTTCCAGCTTCATTCATGTCCCTGCCAAGGACATGAATTCATCCTTTTTTATGGCTACATAGTATTCTATGGTGTCTAATGCCACATTTCCTTTATCCAGTCTATCACTGATGCACATTTGGGTTGGTTCCAAGTCTTTGCTATTGTGAACAGTGCCACAATAAAGATACATGTGCATGTGTCTTTATAGAGTGATTTATAATCCTTTGGGTATATACCCAGTAATGGGATTGCTGGGTCAAATTGTATTTCTAGTTCTAGATCCTTGAGGAATCACCACACTGTCTTCCACAATGGCTAAACTAATTTACACTCCCACCAACAATGTAAAAGCATTCCTATTTCTCCACATCCTCTCCAGCATCTGTTGTTTCCTGACTTTTTAATTGCTGCTTCTTTAAACAGACTTGGGGATGGGTGCAGTGGCTCACGTCTGTAATCCCAGTACTTTGGGAGGCCAAGGTGGGTCGCCTGAGCTCAGGAGTTCAAGACCAGCCTGGGAAAAATGGCAAAACCCCATCTCTACCAAAAAAAAAAAAAAAAAACTGCTGGGTGTGGCGGCACAGGCCTGTGGTCCCAGCTACTTGGGAGGCTAAGGTGGGAGGATGATGTAAGCCTGGGAAGTGGAGGCTGCAGGGAGCCGAGAACGCACCACTGCACTCCAACCTCAGTAACAAACCTGAGACCCAGTGTCAAGAGGAAAAAAAAAACCAGACTTGGAAAACAACCATATGTTCAGTGCAAAGTCTAAGTATTTGGAATGTGGGGATCATTGAAAAGGAATCTCTTCCAGTAGTTTTTCTAGAATATGTTTAGAATATGTTCCTATAGTTGCTCCCTATCTCATTCTCTTTCTATTCACTTACTGCAACACTACCATATTTTTTATAAAACACTAATCTTATCGTGTTGTGTCCTTGCTCAAAATGACCAAGTTAAATGACCTTCAAGATAAAGTCATTCATTCATTCATACAATATTTCAGTGTGTACAATATGCTAAATTCTGTGTTAGTTGAAGTCAGCATTCTTCAAAGAAATTTAGTTTCCTTTTCTTAAACATATGCAAGGTATAACAGGCAACTGGGTTGAAGCTGTATTTTTATCACCACAATAAATATATTCTTATTTTAAAATTGATATTATTTTTGGTTGACAAATCATAATTATATTACATTTATAAAGTAGAATGTTATATTTTGATATATGCATATGGGTGTATAGCTATGCACACAAACACAGATATCAAAATGGATATATATAGATATCTATATGTAAGTAGATATAGATTCTTAAACCATGACTAAAGGAATATTGAAATTATTTACTTTTTGAAACTAAGGTGACTGCCACTCGTAACAGATATGCTACTTTCTGAAATATTTCCAGATGCAGTTCCATATCATGTAAGTCTTATTCTTGCTGTCCCTAGATTAATGGCCTTTATCCTTTCAAGAGGAGGTTGGCCACCCTCTAGAACAGAGGGGCCACTAATCGGCTTTGAGTTTCAGAGCTAACCTTTGGAAATCTTAGATAACAAACTCGAATGACAGAATTTGAGAGTAAAAAGCAGTGAAGATCTCCAAGATATGTCCCTTTACAAAACAAAAGCAAAATGCAGATCATAAACAGCCAGTGTGGGAGCTCTCACACACCTAGGGAGGAAGAAGAGAGAATATTGGGCAAAGAAAGAGGTAGAAGAGGGATGAAGAGCTCAGAGGCGGGGTTCAGGCTTCCTCCATATTGGTATTAATATTTGGCTTCCAGGGCAGTGGTGCAGAAGCCTGTGAGTGGCACAAAGGAATCCGCAGCCCTGTGGGCTGACAGTCCTCTTTCATTGACATTTCTTGGTGGCAGGAGTTGAGGGTGGCAGCGAGAGCACAGGACTGTCTGGGAATCCCTGTTTTTAGTCTTGTGTCCATCTAACCTGGTGAGAGAGAAATAAAAAGCCACCGCTAAAGGAAGGAAAACGTCTGGATTGACTGAGTTAAAGTTGGTTATTTATTCCTCGTAGTTGGTGCCCATGTGCAGGGAAACTGAAAAGTCCTATGCTCTGTTCTGCCCTCTCCAGACCACCACACACACACACACATACACACACACACACACACACATGCATGCACAAAACAGAGGAAGACTGAGGAAGCCCTGGCATGGGGAGAAAAGGGGGAACCTCAAGTCCAAAGGCAATGGTAGGTCAGCAACAGATTCACTGGCTCAAAGTCCAGGTGGGGCCAATTGCATCAGCAGCTGATCCAACAAGGACAGAGCCCCTCAGGGTAGAGACCAGATTAGGGTGCAGAATCCAGGAAGGACACAGAGGTCAACTCAAGGACCAGCATGAATAAATGTGACAGCCCACACTCCCAGCCCTAGCCACAGTGATACAGCCTCCCCCAAAGATGGTTTCTTTAGTTGGGACAGAGGCAGGGCCTGCACTAGAGTGAGATTTGTGTAGTCACTAGGGTGACACGCAATTAAAAGAGGCATCATTGTTCTCAGGGCCCTGTGGGTGCAGGGTTGGCACCTGAGAGTGGTGTCTCTTATTTTTATTTATTTATTTTTTTGAGACAGAGTCTTGCTCTGTCACCCAGGCTGCAGTGCAGTGGTGCAATCTCGGCTCACTGCAAGCTCCACCTCCTGGGTTCACGCCATTCTCCTGCCTCAGCCTCCCGAGTAGCTGGAACTACAGGCGCCCGCCACTACGCCCAGCTAATTTTTTTGTATTTTTAGTAGAGACGGGGTTTCACCGTGTTAGCCAGGATGGTCTCGATCACCTGACCTCGTGATCCACCCGCCTCAGCCTCCCAAAGTGCTGGGATTACAGGCGTGAGCCACCGTGCCCTGCAAGAGTGGTGTCTCTTTACATTTTGCATCCTAGGCCCCTCCTTCACTCCATCCTGCTCCTGGGCCTGAACGGGGAAATGGAAAAACTAATAAACAAAGAGGATTTGACACAGCTATTTTGTGTTCACTTTTTATTCCCTTTCAACCTGCCCAGTAAGGTGAGGGGTCAGAAGCGAGAATAAGGCCGGGTGCGGTGGCTCACGCCTGTAATCTTAGCACTTTGGGAGACCGAGGCAGGTGGATCACCTGAGGTCAGGAGTTCGAGACCAGCCTGGCCAACATGGTAAAACCCCATCTCTACTAAAAATACAAAAAATTAGCTGGGCATGGTGGTGGGCACCTGTAACCTCAGCTACTTGGCAGGCTGGGGCAGGAGAATCGCTTGAACCCAGGAGGTGGATGTTGCAGTGAGGCAAGATCACGCCATTGCACTCCAGCCTAGGCAACAAGAGTGAAACTCTGTCTCAAAAAAAAAAAAAAAAAAGTGAGAATACATTATGGAAACAGCTCTATTTTTCTTTGTATATTAAAGTGGATGAACTTTGACCCCAATAGATGTGTCTCAAAAATTATTACACTATTTTATCAAATATTTCCCTATTTAAATTACTCCAACCGCTTTTAAAAAGTCTTTTTTTTTCTTTCCACCTTCTCTAAGTATATCAGGTCCACTTCTTCCCATGCTATTGAAAATTACATGTTATCTCACTCAGCATACAAAAGGAACCAAGCACTTCAATTTCCTAAGATTCACTAAGAAAGATGACCACTTCTACGCACTGCCAGCCTGAAGCGTATTTCCTAGCATCCTCTTCTGAAGTCTGCCAAAAAGATGCACAATCTAAAATCTAAAACTGTCATAAATCTGAGATACTATGGCAACTTGCCTAATTTAAACTTTTAAAATGTGCGTCATTGCTCCTTTTACAAATTCCAAGAACTTTTGCATTTTTTATCTAACACAGAGGTACTTGTGGAGGTAGCAGTGTTGCATTGGAACCCGCAGCTGGAACCCATGGGCCTTATTCTCTGGGTTTACCAGTTAGCTGAGGGTTCTTGGATGAGCCACTTGATCTTTCAGGGTATTACGTTAATCACATGAAAGAGCTGGTTGACACAACCTCTAAAGTTCCATCCTGCCCTAATATTTCTATCTTAAGTAGATGATAACTTCTGATGGCATCTTAACCTTGCAAATTCATGAATATAGGCACCAAAAAGCTAAACAATTTGCCAATCATGGTAGGAGAACTGGTAGCATGAAAAGACAGAGATGGTAAATGAGACTCAGATGGTCAATAATAATCATAAAAGCAAACATTTAGATATTTTATAGTAGCTCCTATGAGTAGGCAATGTGCTAAGCATTGTCATGTGTTACCTGGCTTAATTTTCAGAATGATGCTATGGGAGAGATACCTTTTTTTTTTTTTTTTTTTTTTTTTTTTTTTTTTTTTTTACAGAGTCTCACTGTCACCCAGGCTGGAGTATAGTGGTGCAATTAAGACTCACTGCAGCCTTGATCTCCTAGGCTCAGGTGATCCTCCCACCTCAGCCTCCTGAGTAGGGATTACAGGTGTGTGCCCCATGCCCAGCTAATTTTTTGAATTTTTTTTTTTTTGTAGAGATGGGGTTTTACCATGTTGCCCAGGCTGGTTTTGAACTCCTGGCCTCAAGCGATCCTCCCACCTCAGTCTCCCAAAGTGTTGGGATTACAGGCATAATCTCGACATGGCCCCACTGGGCCAGCCATCCTCTGCCCTAAACGTCTATCTTTGATGCATTTCTCCTCTTACAGATGTAGATTTGTCATGTTCCGCATCATTCATCTGACTGAAAACCAATATGCCAACTACAGCCCATACTGTGTACTACAGCAAAAGCACACTGCTCTTATCCATTGGAATATGGCTCCACAATCAAAAGTTTAATTTTTGCTCCTTTCCAACATACACTGACAGGGAAAGGTACTTTTATTATATTCATTTTATAGATGAGAAAACTGGCACAGAGAGATTAAGAAATGTGCTCAAGTTCACACAGCTAGAAAGTCTTCAGCTAGCTCTGCTCCCCCATTCATTGCATCCAAAACAATTCAATTAAAACATAATGAAAAGTGCATGACAAACAAAATTCTAGAATCACTGTACATTACAAATATTTAACATAACCATTTCTGAAACTAAAACTAACTAAGAATGCAGAAAAATGTTACTGAAAATTTACTTTCATGAGGTATCAGTGTATAGACGCAAAGTTGAAATTGGAAGACATAATCATGTGTTCATTTTATTCTAAAGATAAGAAAAATGAGTTGACTTAGGGTAGTGGCAGGACTGTGCCTGGAACCCAAGTACCCTCTTTTCCAGCCTCGTGCTCCTTCCACTGTTTTCCTAATACATATTTTTGGAAAGACAACAGGAATTCCTGTTCTCATTCACTAGCTGTATAATCTCTTGCCTCAGTTTCCACATCTGTAAAGTCTGAGAAACAATAATACCTACTGCATGTGGTTGTTGGGATCCTCACATCAAACACTTAGAACCATCCCTGGTACCCAGTAAGCCCCTAATGAGTGCTGGTCTTCATTATTACCACAATAGCAATAGAACATTTGGAAAATCAGAAGGTCAAAAGGTCAAGAGCCACTCAACAGCTTGGCAAGGAGAGCATAAAAGGCATGTAAATCGCATATGAGGTATTCCAGACTTTTCATGTAAAAACTCCATTCCTTACTCGCCTAAGCACACCATGGAAACAACAGAGGTAAATAAATTGTTGTGGGGACTAGAGATGCAGAAATCCTAAAAGAAGTAATTTTACTGGCAAAGTTTTAGGTAGAATTCCTAGCTTCCAGCCTTAGCTTCATCATTGATAGTTGAGCTGTGGAAAGTCAAATTTCGTCTTTGTGTCTCAGTTTCCTTCTTAGAGCTTCCCTATCCAGGGATACTTTTCAAAGTTTCTCAAATTTCATTAATAACCGGGGTCTAAAAGGAGATTCCATATATTAATTTTAAAAATTCTAACCAAATGAACAATGTACAATCTTGATTCCCAAAACTTTTCTTCATTCTATTTTGCATCCGATTTCCTGCCATTATTAACTCGGTTCTGATTATAGAAAAACATACATAATTTGCAATTCAAACAGTCTTTAATCTTAAAAGGGTTTCCATTGTGGAAGAGAGAACAAGTTCCCCTAGCTCTGTCCTTGGCATAGCCCATCACTTGCTCAAGGGATCTTAACTCATAAAGGAGGAGCACTGTATAGCTTTAAAATGACTTCATTCCCATATTTACATATTTTTAATAGGGCTATGATGAATCTCCTTCCGCTTGACTCCTATTTTGAGCTGTGATATTTTAATCTCCATTCTTGCTGCAACTTAGCAGATGAATGTGCAGTGTGACAGAGCTCAGAGGAAATAGTATAAATAAAGCAAAGTGGAGCTATGACATCTCACATTTTATAGCTTTTTTATTGTAGCCGAAGCATAAACAGAGCACAGCTGTGTTATACTTACCGCTGTGAGCACTCCCTCAATCCGCACCCCCTGTTGCTTTTAAAAAGACAGTGCTCTTATTCAAAAAGCTTTGGCTGTGGGTAACATGGCCCCACCGGGCCAGCCATCCTCTGCCCCAAACCTCTACCTTTGACGCATTTCTCCCCTTACAGATGTAGATTTGTCATGTTCCGCATCATTCATCTGACTGAAAACCAATATGCCAACTGCAGCCCATACTGTCCTACAGCAAAAGCACACAGCTCTTACCCATTGGAACACGGCTCCACAATCAAAAGTTTAAATTTTGCTCCTTTCCAACATACACTGCACCCAAATAATTTATGCACCCTCTCTTACTAGGAGACAGGAAATTAGCTGAAAGTATTCAAAACAGTGCACTCTCTTAATGAGAGCCCCCTTTTAAAATGAAGAAGTTGTATTTCTCACTTTCAAGTTAACTCTTAGTCATGTTTGAGTGAAAGTTGGAAATGCCAAAAAGGCCAAATAGAGTGAAAGTTAAAAGAGTGGTGTTGAGATGAACAAAATAATTCTACGTGCTAATGCAATCATCAGGTTTTAGAATGTTTCAGGCTGGTTACGTATTTCAATCATTCTGAAGAAGACAGTATGACGGATAGCATGCACCCTCTATCCCCTAGCAATTGAGATTATATAATATGGCTGATTTGTCCAGAACAGGCACCTGATCTAATCCAAGCCAATCAGAGTCTTTCCTTAAGATATCTGATTTAAGGAGAATGGATAAAGCAGTGAGCTATAAAATTCCAGTGCTGTCATCAATGGTGACATTTCCTCCCATATGGAGAAATCTCTATTGCAGCAAGAAAGAGTGAAGCCGACATTCAAAGTGACACAGAGACAAGAGAAAGGGATCAAGCCCTGACAAAGTGTGACTCCCGGGTTCCAACTGTTCCTGAGGCCCAACTACATTCCTGTCCTTTCCCCTCCTTGGTTATTTGCCTTCCTTGTATTCCTTTACCCAACAAATTCCAGGCTTATTTCTTAAACTTCCTCAAATCGGATTTTTACCACTTTAAAAAAAAAAAAGAGTCCTAATTATTACACCTTCCAGAAGATTCTTTTTTTTTTCTTCAGATGGGTTTAGATTTATTCTTCCTTTTTCAAATACCACCACACTATTTATGGGAGGGAGGGAAAACCCTCTGGGCTTGTAGAGGAATGTGTAATGAAAATTCAAAAGACACATGCATCCAAGTGAAAAGAATATAGGGGCATAGTAGCCTATACACCAGTGAAGTGAAATGAAAGACAGGAAGATTGATTTGCATCATCATTAACATGGAGGGAGAAAAGCACAAGAACACAATAACTGCAAGAACCACCTCCATTGACACACGTAATTGTTTCGAAACAACAGACTCAACTGGGCTAACATAGGGGCAAAGTTGGTATCCCAAGCTTCTCAGCTATCTATCCGCCCAAAGTTGCTCTTCTGCCAAGCTCATTGTTTACCAAGCTGCCAGCCCAGCCCAGGGATCTGATTAGCAATTTGCACTTTTGTGAGAGGATTAACAGAATTCCTTTGTTTTGATGTCGGATTATCAAACTGCATCTTTAAAGAGGTGTGACCTCATCCAGATTCATAAGCCTGCTCCCTTGAGAATGACTTGAATTTTACTCCACTTGCGCAACATATAATTTCATAAAGGAGTTACTGTCAAAACATGGTACTCAATTCTTGATGTGTGTGAAGAAGCACATTTGTAATGTAAATAACCTCAGAAGTTTTGTGATATTTTAAAATAACCCATCTGGTGGGAAAACAAGGATTTTCAACCCATTTGGTTCCAGCACTAGTAAATTAGTGTGCCTCTAACTCATAGAACCCAGAGATAAACTCCATCGCTGGGCTGAGCCTCATGTTGCTTTTATTTTAAAGGGCATGTATTTTAATTGTCCCAGAGTTCTTGATATATTTTTTTTAAAGGAGGGCACAATGCATAAGTGAGTAAACTGAGGAAAACCAAAGAATTTGGCTGCAAAGTGACAATGATATCAAATCATCTACAGCATAGTTCATATGAAAAAGGAAAATCAAATCAGAGTTTTGTATTTCTAACTGTATTCTGCAACAGTCAGCTAATCAGAAAAAGAAGTCCCTAAAATCTCCATCCAAATTTGAAACAAATAAAATTTCCAAGGGGGGCATCTATAGGGCAAGATGCAACAAATTAAGTGCAGACTTTGCACTACTGTAATCCTTACTTGAGGGGCACTCCTGAATAGAATGAAAAAGAACAGTGTGGCCTACGGAGGGCATGCATTACTAGTGTGAAGACCTTATCTTTGGAAGTACGTAAAAGCACAGCCTGGCCATGACAAATGCCCAAAACGCCAGACACGGCTGCAGATCAAGTTGTGGCTTTACTCATTGACCAACGAAAAACCAAAACAACAAAACAATAAAAACATTCTGTTTCATAAAGAGGAAACAAGTATAATTAAATATGTATATTTACTTTTAATATCAATTAGACTGTTAACCTAAAGTTGATAGATTTTAGAATGTTTCTTTCAATTAGCAAACTTTCAATTATACAGTGAGAGTACTAGGCAGGCCCTGATAAATAAGGCAGAAGGTGTGTTTGTCTGAAAGCATAGTACATACACACATGTCTGTTACATCAATAGTTCTTAATGGGTGGTTGTGTGGATTAATTAAATCACATGGAAAATAGTTTTTAAAATACCCAAGTCACGTATTCCCACCTTATAGCCAGTGGATGGGGTGAGAGCATGTTTTTCTAAAAAAATCTCAATTAGTATTCAATGAATGCCTCCTTAAACAGCTCTCTCTTATATTTAGAAATTGCCCTTCTACGTGGATTATTTCCTAGTCTTGCCTTACTCGTGAAATTGGAGAAGTCTTTAAAAAGGTGGATCATGTCTCTTATGAGCCTCATACAGTGACCCACACATAGTTTTTTGTTCAAATATCAAGTTGGATAAATAAATTCAAAAGACAGTGGTTAATTAATATAGATGTGATAGATGTATCTTAGCAGAGAAAAACTTCAGGGAGAGTAGGAATGAACACTAAAAATAACTAAGAATTTGACTTTAACCCCAAAGCTTCCTACATGGAATTCAAAAAGAAAACAATGTACATTATTTATGACTTCTCTGACCATAAATACAGAACACCAGCCAAAATCGGCCTGAGATTATTCATGTATGCAACAAGTATTGTTCCATTTGCGAGGAACTATCCTGGGCTCTAGAGATAGACCAGTAAACAAAACAGAACAAGTTCCTTGCCCTCACGCAGCTAATATTCTTAGGGAGATCAAAAACAAACAAGATAAATGAACATATGTATATACACACATTAAGTTAGGGAAGTGCTAAGGAGAAAAATTAAAGTAGGGAGAAAAGCAAGTCTTTGGTAGTAGAAGGGAGGGCCTCCGTAAGAAGCTGCCATTTGAGTCAAGATTGGAAGAAAGTGTTGGAATGAGTCACGCGGTTAACAGAGCAGAGACCACCACAGGCTGAAGGAACCTGGAGGAGAGCAAAGGCCCCAGGAGAGTTGGTGGCTTCCACCACATAGGAGAAAGAGCAACGGGCAGTATGGTAGTATGGTAGGGAGGAAAATGGCGGAAGGGGAAGTCAATGAGGAAAGGGGGTATGGAGGAAAATGGCGGAAGGGGAAGTCAGTGAGGAAAGGGGGTAAGGGCTGACTCTGCTCCTCAAGGGTCATAGTAAGGACTCCCCTGAGGTAGGAAGCCATTGGAGGTCACTGAGCACAGGATGACATCTGACTAATCTGATTTACACTTCAAAGGTTCACCCTGGCCACGATTTGTGAGAAGACTAAAAAGGAGCCAGTAGAGGAGAAGTCCAGTTAGGAGCCTATAGCCACAATGAGAAATGATGGTGGCTTGACCAGACAGGAAATAGCGGAGGTGGTGAGAGGTGCTCAGATTCTGGAACTATTTTGAAGGTAGTTTTGTTGAGGCGTTAGATGTACAGTAAAAGCAAAAGAGAGGAGTCAAGGATGATAATGAGGTTTTGGTTCTGAGCAATGGGAAGAATAGATTTACCCTTAACTAAACAGAAGACTTCAGGGAGAGCAAGTCTGAGGGACACATCAGGATACCAGTTTTGCATGTGCCAAGCAGAGCTATCAGGTAGTCATGTGGATACGTGTGTCTGGAGTTTAGAAACGAGGTTGCAATGTAAAAGAAATGTATATCCCCAAATAAGAGTTGTCCTAGCTCTGACCACTACAAGTGGCAGGTTCCAAATGAGTATATATGTATGTATTTATTGATTGTGATTGATTGAGAATGCGATCTCCCTATATTGCCAAGGCTGGTCACCAACTCCTGGGTTCAAGCTATCCTTCCACCTCTCCCTCCCTAACAGCTGGGATTATAGGTGTGAACCACCCCGCCTGGCCCAAATGAGTCTTTATTTAAAAGATACAGCAGAATTGACAGTGTCTTTGATGATGGTCTTTAAAAATCACAACTACCTTTATGTAACGATTTGTTTTTAATAGAGACAATTCCTTAAAGCTAATTCTATACAGATAAATCATAAGGAACTAAATTCACTGTCCACATATGTAGTTACATGGGTCCTCCCTTATCCATGATTTTGCTTTCTGTGGTTTCAACTAACTACAGTCAACCACAGTCCAAAAATCTTCAATGGAAAATTCCAGAAATAAACAATTCATAAGTTTTCTATTGTGGGAGTAGCATGATAAAATTTTCCTGCTGTCCCACTCTGTCCTGCCCAGGACATGACTTCTCCCTTTGTCCAGCAAATCCCCACTGTCTATGCCACCTGCCTGTTAGTCACTTAGTAGCAGCTTGGTTATCAGATCCAGCGTCATGGTATCACCATGCTTCTGTTCAAGAAACCCTTATGGCAGCAGTCCCCAAACTTTTTGGCACCAGGGACAGGTTCTGTAGAAGACAATTTTTCCAAGGACTGGTTGGGGGGTACTGGGGCTTGGGGAGTGGTTTCAGGATGAAACTACCACCTCAGATCATCAGGCATTAGTTAGTGATACGGTTTGGCTGTGTCCCCACCCAAATCTCATCTTGGATTATGGCTCCCATAATCCCTAAGTGTTGCGGAAGGGAACCTGTGGGAGGTAATTGAATCAGAGGGGCAGTTATCTTCATGCTGCTCTCATGATAGTGAGTTCTCACAAGATCTGATGGTTTTATAAGCGGCTTTTCCCCCTTTGCTTGGCACTTCTCTCTCACGTGCTGCCATGTAAGATGTGCCTCTTCCTCTACCGCCATTATTGTAAGTTTCCTGAGGCCTCTCCAGCCATGCAGAGCTATGAGTCAATTGAACCTCCTTCCTTTATAAATTACCCAGTCTCAGATATTTTTTTCATAGCAGCATGAGAACAGACTAACACAGTTAGATTCTCATAAGGAGTGCACAACCTAGATCCCTCGCATGCACAGTTCACAATAGGGTTTGCGCTCCTACAAGAGTCTAGTGCCATGGCTGCTCTGATAGGAGGCGGAGCCCAGGTGGTAATGCTGGCTCACCTGCTGCTCGCCTCCTGTTGTATGGCCCGGTTTCTAATAGGTCACGGACTGATACCAGTCTGCATCCCAGGGACTGGGGACTCCTGCCTTATGGTACCTCACAATGTGCCCAAAGCATAAGAATCATAGTGATGCTGGCAATTTGGATATGCAAAAGAGAAAGGGTAAAGTGCTTCCTTTAAAAAGTGAAAAGGTGAAAATTCTTGACTTAAGAGAAAAAAATCTTATGCAGAGGCTGCTACGGTCCACGGTAAGAACTAATTTATCTGTGAAATTGCAAAGAAGGAAAATGAAGTTAATGCTCATTTTACTGTTGCACCTGAAACAGCAAAAGTTATGGCTACAGTGCATGATAGGTGCCTAGTTAAGACGAAAAAGGCTATGAACTTTGTGGGTGGAGGACATGAACGGAAATGAGTTCCAACTCATGGGAATGTGTTGCCCCTCAAAGTATTGAGCTTAAATGAAGATTTCAGCAAGGGATCTCCTGAAACGAGTAATATCAAACCATTTACTGGAAACAAGGGATGGTTACACAGATTCTGCAATACAGAAGGTCAGTAGTAGCCTAAGACTAAGTCACAATACTGACGGCATTTATCTCGCTTCATCTCATCATGTGGGCATTGTACCACCTCACATCATCACAAGAAGAAAGCTGAATCCAGTATTTAAGATATTTTGAGAGAGAGAGAGAGAGAGACAGACCACATTCATATAATTTTATTATGGTATATTGTTATAATTGTTCTATTTTATTATTTGTTACTGCTGTTAATCTCTTATTGTGCCTAATTTCTAAATTAAATTTTATTAAAGATATGTATATGTAAGAGAAAACACAGTACAGACTGTCCCCAACTTACAATTCTACTTATGAAGTTTCCACTTTACAATGGTGCAAAACCATTCTGTTTTTCACTTTCAGTAATCAATAAATTACATAAGATATTTAATCCATTATGACAACATAGGCTTTGTGTTAGATGGTTTTGCCAAACTGTAGGTTAATGTAAGTTTTCTGAGTACATTTAAGGTAAATTAGGCTAGCTATGATGTTTAGTAAGGTAAGTTTACTAAACGCATTTTTGACTTAACAGTATTTTCAATTTACAATGGGTTTATCAGGACATAACCCCATTGTATGTCGGGAGCATCTGATACACGACTAGAGTTAAGATAATCCAGAGAAATAAATGTTAGCAACATCCCTGCACATGTGTGTCTCACACCTTTCCAGGAATGGCAAAAAAACTTACACTTTGGGTTCTGAGGGTATGTTGGGACGTCATGCTGAGTACGCTTTAAATTTGATGTTTTATCTTTAAGATTTATATGGCAGCCGGGCATGGTGGCTCATGCCTAGGCTGAGGTAGGAAGATCACTTGAGCTCAGGAGTTTGAGACCAGCAGGGGCAACGTAGTGAAATCTCATGTCTACCAAAAGAATTAGCTGGTCATGGTGGTGCATTTCTATAGTCCCAGCTACTCAGAAGGCTGAGGCAGGAGGATCAATTGAGCCCGGGAGGTAGAGGCTGCAGTCAGCTGTGATCATGCCACTCCAGCCTGGGCAACAGAGCAAGACCTTGTCACAAAAAAAAAAAAAAAAAAAGAGAGAGAGATTTATGTGGCATTTTAAAAATAAATTTAAAAGATCAAATGTTTTAAAATCTTTACTAACTACAGTAACCTCTCACTTAACATTTTTGATAGGTTTTGGAAACTGTGATTTTAAGCTAAACAAAGTATGGTATATCCTCAAATAATATTGTCTAGTTCAACTTCATTTCATTACAACATTAATGAGGAAAAAAATTGGTTCCATTATATGCTGTTTCACTTAGAGTTGCAGTTTTCAAGTCTATTGACAATGTTAAGTGAGGATTTACTCTACCTAACTTTCCCAAAATTACTATAGTAAATTAACTTTGATAATTGCCTGCTACTTTACAATCATTATCATCACGTCATCACTATCATCATCATCATAGCTGTCTTTTATTAAACCCTACTAGGTTCTGGGCTTTATATTTTACTTTTATAGTACCTCAAACCAGGCCCTGTGTATTATATGTATTAAATATAAGTGTAATTAATACTATTATCAATCCTATGTTATTCATAAATATTTCTAACACTAAGGCCAGACGCTTCATGAAAACATCTTATAAATAGAAAAACTGCTTTCTCTCTATATGAAATAAACAACAGTGAAGAATAAAACAACATACATAAATATATGAAATTGGCAAGAATTGAGAAATCTGTACTCCTGGGTACTTGTCATATACTTGGGGAATACCTGTCAGAACAATAGCTTTTTACAATATCCTACCCCAGGATCCATACAGTATATCAACAATCTATTTATTTGACTTGCAAGTTAATTAAAATTACAATAGCACTTGTAGAAATAAAGAACAAGGAATCTAAAACTATTGGTCTTTAGTAAATAATGAAACAATGTAAAAAATATTGAGGCAGGAGAATTATGTAATTTCTAAAAATCCAAGTAGTCTTTAATCAAGTATTTGAGATATAGCTGAAGGTCCAGAAAAAAAGATAAATAGAAAAGTATATTTCTACAGGCTTGAGTATTCCTTCCAAATCCCACATCCATTTAAGTTGGCAGGGCATATCAGTGGTTTATTTGGACATTGTCCACATTTGTAAATGAGCATCTTCGTTTCTGTATTTTGGCACGGGGCCATGTAAATGATTATACTGGTATATATTTAATGTAGTAGATATAAAACATGGCACAAAGTAGAAGTACCAATTTTAGAAAACCATAAAACTCATCAAATAACTTCTCAAACGTCTTCAACATAAGTAGCCTGCAAACCATGAGTTGCTGGATACAGCATCTCCATTAACATGGTCATTTGAGTAACTTTCCATCCTCCTCACATATCAGTTTCATCCTATCCCTGTAGATCAAGCTTGTCCAACCCACAGCCCAGGACGGCTTTGAATGTGGCCCAATACAAATTTGCAAACTTTCTTAAAACATTGAGATTTTTTTGCAATTTTTTAAAGCTCATCATCTATCGTTAGTGTTAGTGTACTTTATGTGTGACCCAAGACAATTCTTCGTTTTCCAGTATGACCCAGGGAAGCCAAAAGATTGGATACCCCTGCTGTAGATCCTGTCTCTGCAAAAGGAGTGATGCATGGCAGAGACTCAGATGTGCATTCCCTGGGGGTCTATTCTGTCACCCTCTTCAAATCACTCCAGGAGATGGAGTGAGTCTTGGTGAAACATGCTGGAGAAAAGACACACAAGCTTCTCTGACATCTTTCATGAAAGATGACGATAATTTTCTTACAGGGAATATTAAGGCCTTTTTACTGTCATTTTAAACTAAAAAGGAAAGTAGGACTAATATACATAATCAGTAAAATTGTTAAGTAGGCAAATTTTATTTCTCCAAATCCTACATCTTCTTTGATGACAAGCTTCTTTCTTTTTCTTCTGTCACTTCTCTCCCCAGACTGTCTCTGGCCACAGTTAAGTCCAATTTATTTATTCACATGGGGTTGAATCCCAACTGAGCAGCTCATACTCAGAATATTCCCTCTGCTTTCTCACTCTCCCCATCAAAATGCACCCACTTAATGGTCTATTAGCCAAAGCCCAAACTTTGAATTTCCAAGATCACAGCTGGCCAAACGATAATACAATTGGTGTCAATATGCCAGTGGTTAGAGGCAGAAATAGAGTTTGCAAGGGAACTTCAGAAGTAATTCAATCCTTCACTTAAAACTGGAATCTTGTACGTAATTTCACCATCACCATCTCAGATTTTGTCAGACCCTCTTTCCAGAAATCAAAATTCACTTCATTTGGAGGTAACACATATAATTCTAATCTTCCTCTACTGGTCTCAGTTTTGGAGTGACACAAAGTCACTTATCTTCACATCCAGATGCAAGCTCGACCCTTTGCCCAGCTTGGTGCCCTAGGATGCTGACTGCCATGGATCACATCAAAAGACGCCCCTGTTCCAGGCTTCTGATTGGGTTTTGAAAATGGGAGGCATCAGAGGAGATTAAACAGTAGAAGAGTGAGGTCAGGCCATGCATTCCTGCAGCCCTGCCTTGAAGGTGACTGTCAGAGCACGGTGATGTCTCTCCATTCAGATGGGCCTCTCCAATACAGTGCTTTTTCTGGTTCCTTCAGGCCCAGGGGTGGTGACAACAGCCTGCTATCATTATCCCCAGAGTAGGGTACCAATCCTCATTCTCCTTGGTTTGTTTTCTTTAAAACAACTTTTTTGAGATGTTTATATAATACAATTCACCCATTCAAAGCATACAATTCAATGACTTTTAATATATTCACAAAGTTGTTCAATCATCACCACCAATTTTTGAACACTTTCGTCACCCCAGAAAGAAACTCCATGCCCCATCAGCAGTCATTCCCAATTTCTTGCCAACTTTGCATCCCCAGGTAGCCATGAATGTACTTTCTGTCTCTATATATTTGGTTGTCTGGATATCCATTTCATATAGATGGAATCATACAACACGTGTTCTCTCTTGTGACTGGCTTCTTCCACTTAGCATAAAGTTTTCAAGGTTCATCTACATTGTAGCATGTATCAATATATTATTTTTATTTTATTTATTATTATACTTTAAGTTTTAGGGTACATGTGCACAATGTGCAGGTTAGTTACATATGTATACATGTGCCATGCTGGTGTGCTGCACCCATTAACTCGTCATTTAGCATTAGGTATATCTCCTAAAGCTATCCCTCCCCCCTCCTCCCACCCCACAACAGTCCCCAGAGTGTGATGTTCCCCTTCCTGTGCCCATGTGTTCTCATTGTTCAATTCCCACCTATGAGTAAGAATATGCGGTGTTTGGTTTTTTGTTCTTGCGATAGTTTACTGAGAATGATGATTTCCAATTTCATCCCTGTCCCTACAAAGGACATGAACTCATCATTTTTTATGGCTGCATAGTATTCCATGGTGTATATGTGCCACATTTTCTTAATCCAGTCTATCATTGTTGGACATTTGGGTTGGTTCCAAGTCTTTGCTATTGTGAAATTTTATTGTATGTGTACCTCTTTTTTCATCAACTTTTAAGTTCCAGAGTACATGTGCAAGATATGCAGGTTAGGTAAACGTATGCCATGGTGATTTGCTGCACAGATCAACCCATCACCTAGGTATTAACCCAGCATCCATTAGCTATTCTTCCTGACATCATTTCTTTTCATTGCCTAGCAATATTCCATTGCATAGATATACCACATTTTATTTATCCATCAGTTGATGGATATTTGGTTGTTTCAATGTTTTGGCTATCATGAATAATTCTGCTATGAACACTGTATATAAGTTTTTGTGTGAACACATGTTTTCATTTTGCTTGGGTGGATACCTAGGAATGGACTTGCTAGATCATATGGTAACTCATGAGGTTTAACATTTGAAGGAGCTGCCTGACTGTTTTCCAAACAGCTGCCCATTTTACATTCTCAATGGTGGTGTATGCAGGTTCTAATTTCTCCATATCATCACCAAGACTTGTTATTTTCTGTCTTTTTTATTGTAGCTATCCTAGTGTGAAGTGGTATCTTACTGAGGTCTTGGTTCTTAAGCCCTGTCTATATTCTTATAACTACTTCCCTTATTAAATTCTCCTCAAATCATTTCCTTTAAGACCATCATTTGTTTCTTGCCTGACTCTGATGGACTCAAAGGTGATACTTTTTTGAAGGCTGTTTTGAAATCCTCCCCAAGTTTCTCGTTTTCCAGCTACTCAACTCCTCTTTATATGAACTCTCAGTTTCTAGATTTATCCTCTAATTCACCAGCTTTAGACATTAAATTGTCAAGGTCCTTCCAATTATTTTACACACGTAACATTATGTGAATTGACCAGGATACATTTTACTGGGTGATTATCTCATTGGTTATGAACACTATCTTCTATTAATGACGTTAAAGGTGACAACACCTCTTGCTTGAGCAGCTATGCCTTACTGTTGACTTATATTGAACATAAAATCAACCAGAATATTTTGACAGTTGAAAATTAAACCTGTAATTGACCAATGAATTTTTAGATTACATGTATAATGTTTTTATAGATTTAGGGGGTACGCATGCAGTTTTCTTACATGGATATATTGCATAGTGATGAAGTCTGGGATTTTAGTGTACCCATTGCCCAAATAGTGTACATTGTCCCCATTAAGTAATTTATCATTCCTTACCCCGCACCCTTCCAAGTTTCTAATGTCTATTATTCCCCTCTCTATGTCCATGTATACACATTATTTACCTCCCACTTATAAATGAGAATATGTGGTATGTGACTTTCTCTTTGAATTATTTCAATTAAGATAATGGCCTCCAGTTCAATTCATGTTGCTGCAAAAGATAGGATTTCATTCTTTTTGAGGGCTGAGTAGTATTCTGTGGCATGTGTACATATGTGTGTGTATATAAACCACATTTTAGTCATCCATTAATGGACACTTAGGCTGATTCTATATCTTTGCCATTGTGAATAGTGCTGTGATAAACATGCGAATGCAGGTATACCTTGGACATATTGATTTATTTTCCTTTGGACAGACATCTAGTAGTGGGACTGCTGGGTCAAATGGTAATTCTATTTTTAGTTCTTTGATAAATATACTGTTTTCCATAGGATTGTACTAATTTACATTCCCACCAGCAGCATACAAGTGTTCTCTCTTCTTCCCATTCTCACCAACATCTGTTGTTTTCTGACTTTTTAATAATAGCCATTTTGACTGGTGTGAGATGGTATCTCACTGTGGTTTTAATTTGCATTTCTCTGATGATTAGTGATGTTGAACATTTTTTCATGTTTGTTGGCTGCTTGTATGTCTTCTTTTGAAAAACGTTTCTTCATGTCCTTTACCCACTTTTAAAAGGAGTTACTGGTTTTTTAAGTAGAATTATTTTAACACTATTAAATTTTATCTCATTATGTTTTGACCAACTTAGATCCTATCACAAACTTCCTGAACACCAAATGAGATAAAATGGGTAAAAGTACATGTATAGGTACATGCTTTCCAAAGAAAGGAGATCAAACTTTTACTTTCTTCAACTTCTTTCATAGAAGTTCTTAATAAAAATAAAGAGGATAACCCAATGAATAAAAACGGTGGCACCTAACTACAGACGTCTCTTTAGCTTGATAGAGATATACTAATCTAGTTCCCTTACGTACAGTTCTTCGGCTATTAATCCATATTACCATACTGTCAACTAAATCAAATGTTATGATATATTATGAATCTACCTTTTACAAATCATGATATTGGATAACAGGATGGCTCTATTAAAAGAAGTAAATTAATTTTGCATTATTAGATCTTTGAGAACCCATACTGGCTTCTGGTGAACACTGCTTTCTTTCTAAGTGGTCAGAAATGATCTGCATAATAACACAATCTAGGATTTCACTAATTTCTTAAAAGGTAACATATAGAAAATATAAACGTTTCCTTCATTTTAAATTCAGGGTAACATTTACTCAACTTGAGTCTCTTGATGCTTTTCTTCTACAGGTTATTTCAAATGTTACCAACAATAGGTCTTCAAAAACAAGTTAGTAGCCACCCCACCCTCTCTTCTTTCCTCTCCCAATGAGTATGACTTAATTATGGGTACTCACACTTTCAATACTGAAACTCAAAGCAACTAGCTATGGAACTTGACAGTTCTCCTTTCCTCATCTCCTGCATTCAGCTAGATCTATTCAAAATGGGAGTAGATCACTTTTCACATCTTGACTTCTCACAACTCCACTGCTGTCACTCTAGTGCAAGCTTAAAGTCCCTCTCACTGCGCTATTGCAATGGTCTTTCCACCTATCTCCCTGTTCGAGTCTTATCCTCCAGTCTGTCTATTCTCCCCACAGTAGCCACAGTAAGCTTTGCAAAATGTTCATCTGACCAAGTCACTCTCCGACTTACAATGGGCTTCCCATCACACTTAAGATTAAAATCCAAGTGATCTTACTATGCCTTCCTTTCCACCCTAACGCCCCCACCAGCAGCAGCTCTTTTAACTACTCTAGCTTTCTTGCTGTTCCTGGAAGTTAAGAAGCTCAGTGTCTCTTCTGGGTTTTTGTCTGCCATTTTCTCTCCCCAGAGTCTCCCCACAGATCTTCACATGACTTGTTTCTCATCATTCAGGTCCCAGATGTCATCTCCTCAAGAACTTTCACTGGTCTCATTGTCTAAATCAGTACCCCCAACCCTACCCTCACCCTGTTTTATTTCTTTCATCTGATTAATCGCTATCTTCACCTATTATATATTTATTTATTTCCATCTCTACCCCTAGAACCCAAACGCTTTGAGAGCAGGGACTTTTGTTTTGTTCATTAGTATATTACTGGCATTTATATTAATAATGGACACATAGTAAACACTCAAAAAATAATTTTTAAATGAATTGAATGAGTACCCCAAAGGAACACATCTAAGACTATAACTTATAATAATACATTTCTCCCTGTGGACACAGGGAGAAACATGTAGGACTGGGGACAGATTCGGCAAGTCTTCCCATCACACTGGGCTTTAGGGCCCCCATGTGAGAGCCTAGAGTCTTCATGTACTAACTACATCAATCAATAGACCAACAGTCCAGCCCAAACCCTCTGTTATCAAAGAACAGCAGCATATGAGAGGCTTCAATCTTGAGTGTGTGGGGGCATAAGTATTTTTTTCTTTTCTATCTCAACCACCACTCTCCCAATTATAATAAATGAATAAAGTAGATTGAAGCTAAGAAAAAAAATACAGCAAAATTAGAAGCTGGCAAAAAAACAAACCCACTGCCTGGGGCAGCCTGGGGCTGATGGATGATGACAGCTAGCAGACAAATCCTGTTCCCCATTCTAAATTCTGTCTACTAAACAAATTAGCAAGCTCATCAATAACTGCACGGCATTTACCTTCTGCAGCAACAGCTGCTGCAAAATCATGCTGCTGACTTTTTGGGTTGTGGTCTTGCCATTGGGACACAATTACAGGCCAATCAGGGTCGGAGATAACAGAATGACAATCCAGTATGACAGAAAAGGGTTTTGCAAGGGCTTGGAGGATAATCAGCTTTAGGGTCATCTGTACTGAGTCTACCACCCACCCCAAAATAAGTAGGTATCTGAATAATGAGATCTGTAAAATTGATTCTTGCATTAGAAATTTACTGTGAAAAACTTACAATAAAAACATTAAGTAACTAAGCAAAAAATTATGAAATAGATAATCTTTTATACGGATTACGCTTTAAGACATGGCCCTTGTCATGGAAACTAGTGCTTAATGTAGAAATTATTAAAATTTGGCAAAACTTTTCTATTCTTTAAAAAATTATGACACAATACTATCTTCCATTTGGGGATGAAAGAAACTTTGTTTCCCATCTTCAAAGAAGTGGGGAAATTTAAGACTACATATTACATATGCAATACAACACATACCTCTTTCTTCAAAAGTTTAAAAGAGAATAGCAAAAGAGAAAAGACTAATTTTACATAGAATGGTTTGTATGCACACCTACATGAAGATAAAGATGGCAAAATATTCTTAAAATACCCTGCGTGGGGAAAAATAAAACCGTGAGTGGCTGAAGAACACACAATAGCATTCAGAACAGAGACCTGACCACACTATTAATTAATTAGGGGAAAGGTGGCTGAAAGAAATCGGAAGAGACTGCCTGGGTCTATTTCAGGCATTTTTCTCGTTAGAGCTCCGAAATTCATCAGAGTGGGTTTTATCACACACAACAAGGGAAGCCTGCATTTCTCTTGGGCTAATCATGCCCCATCATACTAAGAGGTCACAAAGCAGCAGGGCCATCCCATGAGAAGGCGATCTCATCCTCACCTGAGAAGGAAAAAGAAATTCATCAAGAACCCTACTATAGCCGAGAGAAGCCAAGAAACAGCACAGAGAGGTGCCAGGTACATATTAGTTTCCCAAAAGTCTTCAGCAAATCCTACAGATTTCAGGAATCATTGCAGAGGCTGCTTCCCAAGACTGATCTGCAGGAGCCCGGCCGCCACTGATGTTGCTATTCTTAGCTGACATTTGCTGACCTGACCATCCAGACCAAGCTGAAGGAGGAGCTGGCTGATGCAGGGGCTAGACATCAAGGTCTTTACCCTTTGAAGAGGTCTCACAGGACAGATGTGGTGATTTCCACCTCTTCTCTGCTCTAAGCATTGGGTATCTATCTTACTAAGGCACTTACCAAGTTGTGCAATTAATATTTGTACAAATATCCATATCTCTATCTGATTGTGATGAAGTATGCTTAATTCTTTTGGGGGCACAGGTAGAACAATGCCTGAAAAAGTTGATCAGTGTTCAATAAGTGGCAAGTAAAAGGTTGTTTTTATGTTCACACTACCCTTAAGTTAAAATGAAGATGAAAACAAGACCAAAGGGCATCATTTCGAAAAATAAAAATTGTAGTTCAATTTGCTCCCAATCATGTTGTGTTATTCTTATTGGCTTTTGGCAGAAGCCTAACTTCTTTTATTTTTTTCAAATTACGATACGCCTTTTCACTACATGGTAGGCTTCAAGAGGCCAGAGACAATTTTCTTTCCCCTAACACAAAGCTTGATGATCTCAAAGATTCTCAATAAATGACTGTTGATTAATGAGTATTCTACTATAGCCAGCCCGATATTAATGATTCTCCCATTTCCTTCCAACATTTATTATACATTTCTTAGAAAAAACAAACTTGTTTTAAATGATCAGTCCTTTTCTTCTTCCATGAATAAGAACTTTACCTAAAATGTCCTACCACAGGGATGAGAACTTCGCAATCACTCCCCTCAGGTACAGAGCCTGGAGAATAAGGATGGAGAACACAGATCTATTAAAAAAAAAAAGAGCTACCATTTTGTCAGTAGCCCTAAGTCTTTGGAACCACAAATCAGTGTCTGGTGTAAGCCTTCTAGAAGGCTCAACCAGGGGAAATTTTGAGAGAAGAGTTATTTTAGAAATGAGAGCATGAGTGGTGATTTGACAGAAATAATTGGCCAAAAAAATATATTCTTTCCCAATTGCTCTCTAATCTGTTGTGTGGCTGCAAGTATATGAGCAAGTTCCCTGTGCCTTACTTTCCTTACCTATGAAGCTGGTGGAAAACCCACTGAATTCTATTAACTGGCAATAATTCTAATAGGACTAAGTTTAACATGTCTACATTTTGTGATCCTCAAAATTCCCAGTGGGTGTAAACAAAATGAAAATATGCAATATAACATTCTCCTCATGGAAAGAAACCATCAATAAAGCATAGCCAGGGTTGAGATCTGCCATAATATCTATGCTAGGGTGCTAGAAATAAATAACTTACATATGTTATTTCATGGACCCTGACAGGCTGGTGCCTTGTCACACCCCTGCTTCTAATCTTCTAGAAGTCTCTAGCTGAAAACTACTTTCAAACCAGGATTTCCTGGGTACTGCTAGCAGTGACATCAAAGCCATCAGTTCAAGGGTCACATCTTCTCTCCCACTCCCCTGACATCTCTGTCTGGCCTGCCCTCACAGAATGGAATGCCCTCTTTATCTCTAAGAAGTGCATGCTGCTATGAGAAGGAGGCTGGCAAGGGAGGTTATTGGTTGCAATTGTTTAAGAGAGTCTAATAATTGCAGCTAGGGATCCATCCTCTCGTGTCACATAAGTTGGAAAATGGGTCAGACATAATGCATTTGGTTAAGTGTCTAAACTGAAAAGGTACTATTTTATTTTAAATGGCATAGTCTTTACAAAGGCTAAGGTTACTGGTGCAATGCTCTCTCATTTTAAAACGTATCAGGGACATGCCCTCTGAGGGTAAGGCTTTCATTTGCTGATGTTAATTCTCAGCTGCCTGCTCCTCGTCCTTCATTGTACCCTGTGTCTTAGCTGGGCACGCTCCTGATTCCCTGCTATATCCAGACGGTCCATGTAAATAGTGTTTATGTTAAGGAAGTCATGTTCAGTGTGACTGGAGCACACAGAAACTGATGTTGTTGTCACTTTAGATTAAGCTCTTATTTTAGTAAAGGAGGCAATTGGAGCAGGCAGCTGAGTGGCCGAATGAAATATTCAGCTCATTTCATTTAGAGCTGCCCGGTTCCCATTGTTCATGCTGGCACGGCTGGTTAACCCCGTTGGTGCCGCATGGCAACAGCTCGCGCTAGCTCCTGCCAGCTCCTGCCTCCACTCACAGGCTTCCTCCAGCTGACACTTTTTAAGTCGTCCATTGACACACATAGAGTTAACCCAGTGAATCTTGTAGCACAAGTTAAACCCCTGGATGTGTCTTTGCAATCTCCTATTTTTGCACCCAAAATGGATGTGTTAAAAAAGCGTTAACTATGTGTGTAGAGTAGGCCTAAATCTCCAGGTACAGCTAGAAGATTGGTGAGCACCAAGATGCTTACAACAGAGTGTTTTTGTGGTGACTGCAAAAATGCAAAATGTGTCTGCCAGAGGGAGATGTTTGGCTTAATTCCTTGAAATATTTTAAGTACTGCTCTATAACAAGGAGTTGGTTAAAACACAAGTTGAGGGCCATGATCCCATAACAAACATGCTGAAGAATACTAATTACATTCATTTATGTTTGAAACTTACTATTTGTAAAGACTTACATATAGAGAGTTGTGTTAGTACTTTGCCACCTTCCTGGAAGTACCATCGCATCCTGCTCACTTTTGAGAATTTGAGGTGCGTGTTTAGAAACCCTCCAATCATTCTAACATGATCATCTAGTAATATCAGAAAAAGTCTTCTGACTTCCAAGGCTTGCTTTCATTCTTTTTCTTTTTTCCTTTCTTCCTCCCTTTTTTTTTCTTTTTTGACAAGTCAAACCAGAAAAGGTGATTGAGGGAAATGAAAAAGTAAATACTATTTCCATATATCAAATCCCTGGTTAAATGAAAGACTCGTGACAGTTTTTCGACCATCAGAAAATGCTTTACAGCATAAGATCTTATCGCCTCAAGATCCTGAGAAAGTAGAAATTCTTCTTTACAATTTACAGATAGTATTTAATGTACATATAAATTACCAGTCATCACTGGACAATAATAACTATTTGTTATTATGAAGATGCACTCAACTCCTAACATAATAATAAGTACATGCCAGGCTAAAAGTGACCCTTACCTTTATGGTGTCTAAATATTTAGTAAGTATTTATTCTGTGGATATATGTGTATTGTAGAGGGGCCAAAGTTTATACAGTTTTAGAAAGAGAAGACAAATTATAAATTTAACATGAAAATGAGTATTCATTTGCTATGAAAAAAAAAATCAACAAACTTTAAAATGTCAGGAAGGGTCCCAAACATCACAAATCCAGAAAAAAAATAGATTCATATTATCTCCCTGACCACAACTCTTTAATGCTTTTTCCCCTACACTTATGAGTTGCATATTCTTTGCATCTTCATAAATATTATTGTTATTATTATTATTTAATTTATTTATTTATTTATTTTGAGACAGAGTCTTGCTGTGTCACCCAGGCTGGAGTGCAGTGGCACGATCTCGGCTCACTGCAAGCTCCGACTCCCGGGTTCACGCCATTCTCCTGCCTCAACCTCCCAAGTAGCTGGGACTACAGGTGCCCGCCACCATGCCTGACTAATTTTTTTGTATTTTTAGTAGAGACGGGGTTTCACCATGTTAGCCAGGATGGTCTCTATCTCCTGACCTCACGATCCGCCCACCTCGGCCTCCCAAAGTGCTGGTATTACAGGTGTGAGCCACCACACCCGGCCAAATATTATTTTTTATAGAAAGAATAATCATTCATTCTTTCCTCTGGAATATTTCATCAAAATTTGTTTTTAGGCCAGATGCAGTGGCTCACGCCTGTAATCCCAACCCTTTGGAAGGCCAAGGCGAGAGTATCACCTGAGCTGAGAGTTTGAGACAAGCCTGAGCAACATACCAAAATCCTCATCTCTAGGAAAATTTAAAAAACAATTAACCAGGTGTGGTGTGTGCCTGTGGTCCCAGCTACTCGAGAGGCTGAGGTGGGAAGATCACTTGAGCCCAGGAGGCTGAGGCTACAGTGAGCCAGGTTTGCACCACTGCACTCCAGCCTGAAAGACAGAGTGAGAACCTGTCCCCCGTCTAGAAAAACTGCTTTTATTTATCACTGAGATTCAGAAAACATGCAACTACACACACACAGTGGTACTTGTGTTTCTATTACTGCTACAGGTTTGTGCCCTAAAAACAAAAGAATGTTGAGAAAAAGAAATCTATCAAAAAAGAAAAAAAGATGCATTAATAGTAGCATGAACTGCATTAGTCATTAAATTCCTGACAGGAGAGAACTTCTGTTTTGACTATGCATTGATAAACCCACATCCTCTGCTATTATTGCACATCTAATAACAGGAAGGGTTTTGCAGAGAGTAGCTTCTGTCTCCGTGTATTTCAAACCTAGTTTCACTCCCGCCACCCATGAGCATACATGAGATACCAGTGCTGTGGACACGTGCACTGGGTATTACCATGACCTCGGGCTCCACACCTGTGTCAGAATGCTCCAGGGAGTTGCCAAGGTGGACAATTATCAACAGCTTCACTATACATGGAAGTGTTTACAAACAACCAAAATAGAACCCACTTAATTTTAGACCACAGCAGCCCCAGTTTGATTCTCCCTTTTTTGGACCCCCACCAAAAACGGCCACGGTCTTTCCAATGCCACCCCAAAACATGACACTAAAGGAAGGGCAGTCAAAGTCGAAGCACTGGTCTTACATGATTGCAGCTAAAATAGCTTTCTTTTCAAATTTTACAAAAAAAAAACCAAACAAACAGAAAAACACGTGAGCATCTGAGCACACTGCCTACAGCGTCTCCCCATACCTGGGAAAGGACCCATAGGAGTGAAGGACCCTGAGGCTTAGTTTCTCCTCTGGTAAAACAACTGATTTCTTCTCTGGTTGAACAAACTTTAAAAAACCAATACATATCAGATATTTGTCAATAACTGTGATTATAAAGATATACTAAAGGAATTTTATTTCAAGACACAGGGAGTCCAGAAGATACTTAACAATAATTAATTTCATGAAAAATATAAAAGAAAGAGTATTTAGAGCAAATTCTGTTCTTGGAATTATAAAACCGTGAGTACAAATTTTCTAGAAGCACAAAGATCTTTCCATGTCTAAAGTATAATGAAAATGTGGAATTACACAAATGAATACATTGCCACATATTTCAGTAGCTAAAAAAACAATTGTTGAGAAGAACGCACATATAAGTCTGGTTATTTTGAATTGCCAGTAGCAGGAAGACTATGGAAGTATGCATTTGGAAGCTTTGCTTTCCAAAGAGCCATGGAAACATTAATAAATGCGGAAACAATTCCAAAATTTAATTTTGATGAGATTTTCTCTTGTGCTCCCAGCAACATACAAATTGTAATCTAATAACATATTATCTCTAAAATATATGTAAAACATATTTGTTGAACATATAGGTATAGTACATTTCTCCATTCAACATAATACCAAATCAAAATATCCTATGTACTGGTAGCGTAAGGAAAATTTGCTCTATTATCTACAATAAGGTTTTCATATTAAGCTCATTCTACTTTAATTATCTTTGATTATGCCTTAGAAATATACCCATTAAAAGATAAAACATAAACTTTCAATCTGACCATTAGCATTAGGAAATCCAGTCCATAATTCAGCATATTCATGAAAGTAGCTAAAGTAACTCAAGTTTTAATAGACTTCTCAAGCCATTCATTAAGACTTTAGAGGAAAAATTGGTCTTAAATTTAGAAGTCAAATTTCAGTTGAAACTTTCAAGATAGATGGCACAATCTCTGAAGTGGGTGAAATAACTAAAATGCTAATTAGTTTTTAAATTTTTTCATAACCTTCCATTTTGTTTCTTTTCTTCCTTCTTTTCATTCTTGACACCCAAGTAACTGAGTGGCCTTGCCACAAGAAGCATTAGCAAATGAAATGATTTATAATAAATTATTTCAAGACAACAAGTTTGTGAGGAGGGCGGGGGAAGAATTTCGACTTTTAGGAAAGTTGCTGAGCAACAGCAATGTTAAAGCAAAAGCACAAAGCCTGAAAAGTTAGCAGAAAAAGAAATTAATAGCCAGTACCAAGTCACAGTTGACTCAAAGTCAGCAACAGGGAACATTCAAAATTATTCCAATGCATGCATTAACAGATGAAATTTAGACCTACTAAGTCTGGTTTCTTGTTTCTCTTCCCGAGTCTCCTTATCTAAATAGACAAAATGCTTCAGTGTAATAGTCCTGCTGCCTCAGGTAGACTCCCAAATTCCATTAGCAATGCAGAATAACCACCCCCTCCATGCTCCACACACACACTTTGCTGAGTTTGCAAACTGTAGATACCAAATAGGTTCAAATAAGGTATGTGACAGAACTGAAACACTATCAAACAAAATATGTTAACAAAGTCTAATAGGCAAATGACTTTATAAATGTCAGTGTCTAAAATAAGTGTTGGCACAGTATGGCCTGTGGTCCAAATCTGGCTCACTCCTTTGAAATAGAAATGGAGATTTTAACAGATGACCACTTACAATCAATTTGGTGACAGAGACATTAACTTTGAACTCCCAATTAAGAAAAATGTCCTCTCTCCAAAACCTGACTCATAGTGTAAAAAATGCACTTTGTTGGCCAGGCACGGCGGCTCATGCTTGTAATCCCAGCACTTTGGGAGGCTGAGGCGGGCAGATCATGAGGTCAGGAGTTCAAGACCAACCTGGCCAACAAGGTGAAACCCTATCTCTAATATGAATACAAAAATTAGCCGGTCCTGGTGGCGTGTGCCTGTAGTCCCAGCTACTCAGGGGGCTGAGGCAGGAGAATTGCTTCAACCTGGGAGGCAGAGGTTGCAGTGAGCCGAGATCGTGCCACTGCACTCCAGCCTGGGCGACAGAGCAAGACTCCATCTCAGGGGAAAAAAAAAAAAAAAGTTATTTTTTGTTATTACTATTATATTTTGAACTATGTCCATTAAAAATTTGTACTGGCCAGGTTTGGTGGCTCGCACCTGTAATCCCAGAGCTTTGGGAGGTCAAGGCAGGAGGATCACTCGAGGCCAGGAGTTTGAAATCAGCCTGGGCAACATAGCGAGACCTCGTCTCTACAAAACATTAAAAAATTAACCTTGCATGGTGGCATATGCCTGTAGTCTCTGCTACTGGGGAGACTGAGGCAAGAGGATGAATTCTGCCCAGGAGTTGGAAGATGCAGTGGCACAATTGAGCCACTTCGCTCCAGCCTGGATGACAGAGCCAGACCCTATCTTTAAAAAAAAAAAAAAAAAAAAAAAAAAAAATTGCAAAATATTTTTTTCACTTAAAGTACTTACATAATATCCTCAGTTTTGCCTCCTAGCCTACAAAGCCTAAAATATTTACTCTCTAGCCCTTTTCAAAAAAAGTTTGCCAACAGCTGGTCTAAATCTGATCTGCAAAACTGTTTTAGCCTCACCTATTTCTAGCTTTTATGATCTATGCATGTATGTATGTATTTAGAATGTATAACATAACTACTCACATAAAGGATTTACACCTACCTCCTAATGCTCCCTAAATCACTACCAGGAAAAGACTACATTAACTACCCCCTGAAAATAGATGCCTAGAGAGAGTTCACAATAATGGATGGTATTTATCTCACTTCAGAGTAAAATGAGGAGGTGCCATTTTTACCTAGTAATTTAGCTTGAAAAAATTAAAATTATAATGCCCAATGTTAGTGGGAGTATGGACAAGAAAATCCATTTCTACATTAACTGCAGCAGTGTTAAATAGCACAATTTACCTGGAAAGCAATTTGGTAATAGATAACAAAATCCATTAAAATATTTACACACTTTGACATAGTAAATCTACCTCTGTAAATCCAGAAATATGAAAACACACACATAAAGATGTTCCATAAAATGTTATTTACAATAGTGACCTGTCCCTACCACTTTTTTCCCCTATTAATGGTCTTAAGAGAAATATTGGTACAATCCTGTTCCTCACACCAACATAGCCATTAATTCCTCCGCCTGCCTCTTTTGTATCTTTTTCTTCTTCATCTCTGCAGCTACTCTCTTGTTTTAAGAACCTGTCATGTCTCTTCTGGATATCACCTTGGGACTGGATCTGCATTTAGGAGGTTCTAAAGCTTATACAATTTGGGGGCCCTTTTAAAGAGAAAGAATGCAAAATTGTGAATGCAAAATGTATGTGGGCACTTTGATGTCACCTAACATTAATGGAAACATAACAGAGGTGTAGCAGTATAAAAAAAGAAAGCCTGAGTTTTTAACTGGTTGAACTTAGAAATTTGTACTTTTGCAACATTTATAAAAACATATGGCTGCAGAAACACAATTTAGGGTCCCTACTAAAATACTGCTAGGAACCCATGCAAGCTTCGTTTATTTAAGCTTTATTTCAGCTTCTTGGTTTATCTGGCTCCTTATCAATCTCTTAGTTCCTAAAGCTTGTAACTTCTAATCCGTCTATCCAATCATAATGCTGAAGGTTAATTTTTCTAAAATGATATTCTAAACATACTCTTCCCCTACATGAAAATCTTTCTTGCCAATAGGATAACAGGCACAAATCTTCCCATGATATCACTCCCACCTACTCCAATCCCATTCTCTGTTATTCAAGACATGCTACATTATTTACAGTTCCTTGTAATATTATTTCCATCTTCTCATACCTGAGCAGATGTTCTTTCTTCCCTGGAACTGAAATTATTTTCTCCTCTTTTCTGGCTAAAGCATTTCTGAGCAACTTTCTATTTCAACTTACCTTGTGAAGCTTTCCCAGAGCTGACAATAAAGTTGATAGCAACCTCTTTGGCCACTCTCCCTAAGTATTGCACTTATTCCCTATTATAAAGACTCATTCACTGTGTGTTTCCCCTGATAAATCAAATCTCCTTAAGGACGGAAACCTTGTCTTAACTATCTTTATTCCCTAAGTGCTTGCACTGAGTAGGTGCTCAGTAAAGCTCGGTTGAATGAATAAACAAAAAAGGAGGAGAAGCAAATATACCAAAAAGCTAGTTTTGTTGCTTTCAGTTCTTACACTGTGAGCATTTTTTTACTCTTATTTTAAAATATTAGTGTGCAGCTGTATTTGTTTTACAATGCGAAATTCAATTTACAATAAAATATTTCTTTGAGCCTGACTCTAATTTTCATTAGCTCTCCTACCCAATTCTCTTAAAACCCTGCACACCTGTGCCAAGCTTATTTACATGGCCAACAGTCTACTTTACTTAAAATCACGGTTAGATCCCTGTACACAATTAGCTAAATAAATATCATTAGTGCAGCTTCATTAAAGTGTATTTTTCTTAAGCATTTCTCAATACGCATATTTCTCAGTAAGTAAGCACCTATTAGAATTTTGGCAAGAAAAATCTTATCATGGACTTGTTTCTGTAGGTATATACTTCAGGTCTTAACTGAAAGGAATAATAAAAGAATTTTGCCATCTGGAATAAAATAGTGACAAATACTACAAGACTCAAATTATGTTCATATACATAAAGCCATGTTTCCAAATCACTATAATAATTCCTATCTCCCACCTAGGAGGCACTAAAGAATTGTTTTTAAAAGGAAAATATCAAAACAATCCGATAATTCTCCTAAATATAATCCCCATTGAAGCTGAACATATTTTATCCTTTTTTAGCTAAGCTATCATTATCATTATCCAGTAAATGCCTGCAGGAACTTTATAGCTAACAGTTTACCCTTTTCCTTTTGCATGATTTAAATATGTTGTTTTATTACACATTGTTTAAATATGCCCTACGTGAAGCCGACCACACACACACACAGCATATTTAGATAGGAATATAGGTCAAAAGCACCAAAAAAATGCAAACCACAAGTCATATGAATAACACCACCAAACTCAAGTTGACACTATTTTAGTAGCTTCAGGAACATTTGAACCCTGGCATAATTTATACCTTGAATTCAGGCAGAAATTCATTTTCTAGCCAATGGTATGATGGTGATAGATTGGACCTCTCTACAGACAGGTGCCATTTCCCCTTTGTGCAAGGCTTGCTGTTCTGAGTTCATGTGATGGCACCACCTGATGTCTAAGAGCTTTTTCCTAGATGGGTCCATACTTCTGCTAGCCTGGTTTGATTGTTTAAAAGAAAGCCAGCATTCTTCTTGTTGCATAATCCTGCGTGTAAGAGCTGAGATGAAGTGTAGGATAGCAGAAAGAATGCGAGCTACAGAGTCACACAGTCATGGAGAGGAATTGCATGGGAACTTCAAGGTCTGTGCGACTTTGAAGTAATTGCGCTCCTCTGAACCCTGGTGTTATGGGTTGCATTGCCCCTTCCCCCCAAATTCATATGTTGAAGCCCTAACCCCAGGATCTCAGAATGTGACCTTATTTGGAAATATGGTCTTTGTGGATGTAATTAGTTAAGATGAGGTCATTCTTGTGGGCCTTAATCCAGTATAACTGGTGTCCTTATAAAAAGGGGAAATTTGGACATAGAGACAAATATGCATAGGGGAAAAATAATATAAAGAGCTACAGAAAGAAGACAGCCATCTACAAGCCAAAAAAGAAGGGCCCAGAACAGATTCTTCGCCTGCAGCCGTCAGAAGGAAACTACCCTTCTGTCAGCCTTGATTTCTGACTTCTATCCTCTGGAACTGTGGGACGATCAATTTCTGTTGTTTGTCACCCTGTTTGTGGTACTTTACTATGGAAGCTCTAGCAAACTAACACAACTGTTTTCCTCAAATGTCAAATCCTTAATATAAATTATGCGGTGCCATTTTTAGGATTAAAAATCACATGGTAAGTTCCAGAAAGAAGGCAGGCAATATATTTTATCATGGGGGGGTATACTATTTGAAGTATTTTATCTCATTTCCTTGAATCTTGCTTCTTTCTCCAGTCAGCCAAGTAGCTATACTCTTCACTCATGGCGTTAGAAAACTGTTGGCAAGGAAGGGAAAACAGGGCACTGAGGGGGTGTCAGTTAATAAATTGTGAGGTTCGAAAGCCTAATGCCCCCTAGGAAACTGGAATGATTCCCGCCCATAGAAAACAGGATCAGAAGAGACCTTCCTACATATAAAATAAGCTAAGGGCAGATGTAAACCCCTTTGAGTGCAAAATAAGGTAGTTAAGGCATGTGTGTACATCAGTGGATCCAGGAGCAAGATAGAAGTGGCTAGTTTCATCCTATTCCCCTGCCACCCTGATCCCAGGCCCCACTGCCTCGACTCTCCCTAATGGGAGCAGAATGACAGATCGGGAGATTCAACTGAGGTACCTTCCTGAAACAAGTATGAAATTTCAATGTAAATGACCAGGTCAAAATGCAGATTTTAAAAGAAATTGAGAACTATGGATGGCTCTAAAAGTTATAAAGGATCAACAGAAGGGAGAGGAGGGGAAGAGGCTTTAAGAGGCTATTGGATAGAGCTGCTGCTGATGCCAAGTCCCATCTTTCCCTGAGACAGAGACAGAAAGGGCTACCTTTTCCATAGGTCTTTAGAGAGGCTTCAGAGGAAACCTTTAGTGGGCCTGTATGTACCCCCTGGAGTTTGAGAGACCCCATGGACTGCAGCCTGGCTCCCATCCTGAAAATCCAGAGGACAAGAGAGCTGGGCTAGGAGCAGCTCTGCAATCTGAGAAGTGCCCGCAGCCTCTCCCGCCCATGAAGGTTCATAAGAGGCATGTTTTCCTAGAGCAGGTGTGGGCCAGGTGTGAGAGAGCCAGCCTGAAGCCCAAGAGGATCAACGGCGGTATTCACAAGACACCAAATCAGAGGCCAGAGGGAACAGACTATCTGAAACCAGGTGCTGAGTGGGGAGTAGGGCGCTGAAGGAGAAGCCCTGCCCAAGTCAGAAGAATTGAAGCTGCGTGGGTCCATCGGAGGGGCCATGAAAGTCTCCCAAAAGTGATCAACTGAGAGTCAGTGTTAAGCAGCTTCCTGGCCCAGAAAACACAAAGCCAGCTTAATATAACATTCGTTCAAGTGAGAAAAATCCCTGAGCTACTTTTCCCCTCTTCTTTCCTGTGCCCCAACCCCTGAGAGTTCAGCAACAGCAACTAGGAAGTGGGATAGGAGGTGACAGGTGAAGAGAGGAAAAAATGACAGACCTTTTCCCTCTGCAGTAGTCCAACTCAAAACTGGGCCCCAGATGGGGGAGGGTAGATCTTCTGATATTAAATTAACTTTGAAGCTATGATTATGATTTGATATTGGACATAAACATTTCTGAATGTAGATTATTTCTGTAACTTAAAATGTCCAGAGGACTTTTTTTTAAAATCTAAGAATGAACTTGTGAAGTATGGAGTCTGCCTGAGACCTAAATTTCACCCGAAGCAAGGGAATACCTGCCACCCTTCTCCAATGCATTTCAAAGAAACAGAAGGAGATGAAAAATAAATTGTGTTTTGATTGATTTCCTAAGTTGTGCTTGTTCAAAATACGATTAAAGAAACCCCAAATATGTTGGGGGTAGACAGGGGTGATGGGCAAAAGAGTTTCTTTCTTGGGTATAGTCTGAACTTCAGAAACAGCCTGGTGGTACATCCAGGACTTAAGCGGCCTTGCAAAGGATCTCGTGCCATAGCATAACACAGGAGCTGCTGAACAAGAGTGGCAATGCAAAAAACAAAAAAAAAGGGTGGGGGAGCTTTTTAATCCCAAGAGTTTCCTCTGGGCCTGCAGCAGTGATAGCATGCCCCTATGTGCCCAAGAAGTATCTAGAAGAAACTAAGAGAAGGAGAACAGAAGATCCTCGAAGATAGATCGAGGTGTGCCCCGGCAGCAGTCCACAAGTACTGACAAGAGATGGTAAGACAGACATGACTAATGGAGAGATGACAGCCAAAGAACTGGGATCCACCCCCTCGAGAACTTGGCATCTCATAGCCTTATCCAGAACTTCAGTGCAACCTCAGGCTGCTGATATGGTTAAGCAGAGGGTCCGAACAGCATTTAATTTCAGGTTAACTATGGAAGAATAAAGAAAGTTACATTTCTTGCACCCACAGACAAGAGACCCACCTGCCACATTTGGGGAGGCTTGTCCAAAACTTCTGAGGATCCTCCTGAAGTATGGCTCTACACCTTGGACCGTTTAAAAAGCCTAGAAAAGAATTAGAGCCCAGTCATTTATAGGCAGATTCATAATGTACGGAGATGGGGTTGACTGTCTGAAGTCTTAGCTATTTTAAGAAATATCACTGGATTGCAATAAGCTGAGTGTGACAGAATACAGTATATATACTACTATAGAAGCCTTAAAATCTTAAAATTCCAACCAGACAGATACGGAGTGATCAGCAGAAGGAATGGAAATAGAGTGAATTTGCCTGTTTCATTTACTTTTGAAATAAAATGCTCCAAATCCAGGAACAACGTATAGAAAAGAGGAAACGTAGTAGGGAATTTCGAGGTTTCTATCCAAGACTTGGAATTTTTTAAAGCGTCCAATCTGTTTCTGATGAGAGAAGAAAAATAAACCCAGGTTAGGGAATCACTCATGACAGGAATGGTACTGTAGACAGACTGTTCAAAGAAAAACCTTTCTGATAAGGTGATGTTTGAGCAGAGATCTCGATGAAGTGAATGAGCAGGCCAGAGAAAGGAATGTTCCAGACGAGGAAATGGCAAGTACAAAGGCCTTGTGGTGAGAGCTTGCTAAGCGTGTCCAGGAACAGCAAAAAAGGCTCTGCGACTGCCATATGATTATCTGAGGGCAGAAAGAGGGGACATGAAGCTTTCCCATGGAAAGCGCCAAAAGACGCTTTCAGATTTTAATCTAGAACACTTTACAGAAAATGTGATGCTTTCAGATTTTAATCTAGAAGACTTTACAGAAAATGTTGTGTTTAATTAAACATTTTAATTTAAAATAATTGTAGATCCACATGCAGTTACAAAAAAACACAGAGAGATCCTGGGCAGCCTTTACCCAGTTTCCCTCATCGGTAACAGCTTGCAGAACTATACTACATTGTCACAACCACGATACTGACATTGACAGAGTCAAGATACAGAACATTTCCAACACCACAAAAATCCCTCAGGTTGCCTTTTTATAGCCACACTTGTTTCCGCTCCACCCCACCCTCCTTAACCCCTGGAAACCACTGATCTATTTTCAGTTTCTATAATTTCTTCACTTCAAAAGTATTATATAAATGAAATCATACACTCAACAGAACTTTCTAAAGATTCGTCTAGGTTCACGTATGTATCAATAGTTTATTTTTGTTGCTGAATAGTGTTCTATGGTATGGATTGTTTAATCATTTATTGAAGGATGCTGAGTTGTTTCAAGTTTGAGATTAATTCACACCGATTAATAATTTGGAATGGCAATTATTAAAAAGTCAGGAAACAACAGATGCTGGTGAGGCTGTTGAGAAATAGGAACGCTTTTACACTGCTGGTGGGAATGTAAATTAATTCAACCATTGTGGAAGACAGCATGGTGATTCCTCGAGAATCTAGAACCGGAAATATCATTTGACCCAGCAATCCCATTACTGGGTATATACCCCCAAAATATAAATCATTCCACTATAAAGACACATGCACACAAATGTTTGTTGCAGCACTATTTACAATAGCAAAGACAGGGAACCAACCCAAATGCCCATCAATGATAGACTGGATAAAGAAAATATGGTACATATACATCATGGAATACTATGCAGCCATAAAAAGAAATGAGATAATGTCCTTTGCAGGGGCATGGATGAAGCTGAAAGCCATCATCCTTAGCAAACTAACACAGGAACAGAAAACCAAACACCACCCACCACATGTTCTCACTCATAAGTGGGAGTTGAACATTGAGAACACATGGACACAGAGAGGGGAACAATATACACCACCAGAGCCTGCTGTGGGGTGGGGAGTGAGGGGAGGGAATTTAGAGGACAGGTCAATAGGTGTAGCAAACCACCACGGCACACATATACCTATGTAACAAACCTGCACTTTCTGCACATGTATCCCTTTTTTTTTAGAAAAAATAATTTTTTTTAAAGTTTGAGATTATTATGAATAAAGTCATAAACATTTATATACAGGTTTTTGTGTGAAAATGTTGTCTTTTCTCTGAGATAAATGTCCAGGAGTGCATTGCTAGGTTATATACGGCAGATGAATGTTGTTTTTTCCTCCCCCAAATCTACCTGTTTTGCAGAATTTTACATCCCCACCAACAATGTCTGAATGAGCTAGTTTCTGTACATCCTTGTCAGCATTTGATATTGTCACTATCTTTTATTTTAGCCTTTCTGCACTTGTCATTGATTAATGATGTTGAACATCTTTTTACGTGCTTAGCTGCTATCTGTATATCTTCTCCCAAGAAATGTTTCTTCAGGTATTTAGCCCATTTTCTAATTGGATTTCTCTTTTTTACTATAGAGTTTTCAGAGTTTATATTCTTGACACTAGTACTTTGTCAGATATATGGTTTGCAAACACTTTTATTCCAATCTGTAGCTTGGTTTTTCGTCTGTAGCTTGGCTTTTCGTCCTTTCAATAGGATCTTTCACATAGCAACTTTTTTTTTTTTTTAAACAGGGTCTCATTCTGTTGCCCAGGTTGGAATGCAGTTGTGCAATCAAGGCTCACTGCAGCCTCGACCTCCTAGACTCAGGTGATCCTCCCACCTCAGCCTCCCACATAGCTGGGACTACAGGCACATGCCACCATGTCTGGCTAATTTTTGTATTTTTTGTAGAGGAGGAGTTTTGCCATGTTGACCAGGCTGGTCTCCAACTCCTGAGTTCAATTGATCCGCTTGCCTCGGCCTCCCAAAGTTCTGGGATTGCAGGAGTGTGCCACAGTACCTGGCCTCAAATAGCAAAATTGTTCATTTTAATGAAGTTCAGTTTATCAACTTTTCCTCCAGCTTTTGGTATAAAATCTAAAAATGCTTTGTCCAGACCTAGTCCCTGAAGATTCTTTTTACCCCTAGAAGTAGTATAGTTTTGAGTTTTACATTTAAGTCTGTGGTCTATTTTGAGTTACTTTTTGCATAAGTTATAAGACGTAGGTCAAGGGTTTTTTTGTTTGTTTTCCCTATGAATGTCCAAATCACTCCAAGAATGAACTGTTGAAAAGGCTGTTTTTTTCTGTTGAATTGCTTTTGCACTTTTGTCAAAAATTGGTCTAATATGTTGTGAGTCAATTTCTGGCTTCTCTGTTTTTTTCCTCCATTGATATAAGTGTCTATTCCTCTGCAAATATCACAGAGTGTTGATCACTACAGTTACATAATAAATTCTGGAACTGGGTAGATTATTCCCACTTTATTCTTCTATTTCAAAGTTCTTTTAGCTATTCTAATTCCTTTGCTTTTCAGCTGAAATTTCAATATAAATTTTTCTTCTCTGTATCTACAAAAAAGCCTTGTTGAGATTTTGATAGTAATTGTGTTAAGCCTGTGTGTCAGTTTGAGGAGAACTGCCATCTTTGCCATGTTGAGTGTTCCAGTCCATGAACATGATAGAGCTATTTATTTAGATCTTCATTCAGCATTGTGTGGCTTGCAGCATACACATCCTTTAATGTGTTTTGTTAGATTTATACCTAGGTATTTCATTTTCTGAGTGACTGTAAATAGTATTGCATTTTAAATTTTGATGTTCAGCCATTCATTGCTAGTATTAATATATACAAATATAACTGACTTTCGTATGTTTATATCTTGCTACCTTGCTAAACTCAAATTAGTTTTGGGAGTTAGTTTTTCTTTTCTTTTTTTTTTAATGTTCCATGAGATTTTCCACATAAACAATGATATCAAATGAAAAATAGGGACAGTTTTATTTTTGTCCTTTATAATCCATATGCTTTTAATTACAATTTTTTGCCTTTTTGCACTGGCCAGAAATTCTAGCACTGTGTTGAAGAAGGGTCATGAGAAGACATCCCTTGACCTTGTTCCTGATCTAAGAGGAAACACTCATGTCTTTCATCAAGTATAATGTTAGCTGTAGATGTTTTATAGATGTTCCATGTAAAGTTGAGAAAGTTTTCTATCTCAATTTTTCTGAGAGTTTTTCTCATAAATGTCTGTGGAATTTTGTCAGTGCACTTTTTGCAGGAATTTATAGCATTGTGTGATGTTTCTTCTTTAGGTTGTTAGCATACTGAATTACACTGATGGTTTTTCATATACTGAGCCAGCCTTGAATCCCTTGAAATAAACTAGCCTTTGGTCATGATGTATAATATGGTTCTTTTTACATATTGTTGAATTCTATTTGCTAATATTTTGTTAATATTTTTTGTACCTGTATTTATGGGGGATATTGGTCTCATTTCTTTTTTTGTACTTCGTTTTAGTATCTGGGTAATACTACTTTCATAAAATGAATGGCTTTCTGGGGGAGATTGTTTAGGGCTGGTTTCAATCCCTCTTTAAATGTTTGGTAGAATTATCTAGTAAAACCATCTGAAGATTACTTTTTTTGAAAGTTTGTTAAGTTAGGGATTAAATTCCTTTAACTGTTGTAAGGCTATTAAAATTATCTATTTAATTATGGGTGAGTTGCAGCAGTTCATGTTTTTTGAGGATTGGATCCATCTAAGTTGTGAATTTATGTGTGTAGAGTTGTTTGTAGTAGTCCCATATTATCCTTTTGGTGTCTGCAGAGTCTGCAGTGATACATCCGTATCGTATCGATACGATCGATAAATCGTATCGATTACTGATATCGATAACTTGTGTTTTTTCTGTTTTTACTCTGTTAGTCTTACTAGAAATTTGTCAATTTTACTGATCTTTTAAAGTAACCTTAATTTTTTCATGGATTATTTTTCTGTTTTCAATTTTATTGACTTTTGTTCTTAATATTATTTCCTTCCTTCTGCTTGCTTTGGATACTTACAGCTCTTCTTTAGGTTCTTGAACTATGAACTTAGATTACTGATTTGAGACTTTTCCTCTTTTCTAATGTACCTGTGTGGTGTGCCATAAACTTCCCTCTCAAAGTTGCTTTAGCTGTGATCCACAAATTTTTACGTGTTCTATTTTTATTGTCATTCAGTTCAATATATTTATGTCCCTTGAGACTTTCTTTGTTACCCATGGATTATTTACAATGTATATTTCTCAGTTTCCAAGGGTTCAGAAATTTTCCTGTTCTCTTTCTGTTATTGATTTCTAATTTGATTCCATGGTGGTCAAAAAATATATCCCATATGATTTTAGTTCTTTTAAATTTATTGAGATTTGTTTCCTGGCCCAGGATATGATCTCTCTTGGAATATGTTCCATGGACACATGAAAAGAATGTGTGTGCTGCTGCTGCTGGGTTTCCATTAGATTTTCTTTTTTTTTTTTTTTTTGAGAGGGAGTGCAGTGGCGCAATCTCGGCTCACTGCGAGCTCCGCCTCCTGGGTTCACACCATTCTCCTGGCCTCAGCATCCCGAGTAGCTGGGACTACAGGTGCCCACCACCACGCCCGGCTAATTTTTTGTATTTTTAGTAGAGACAGGGTTTCACCGTGTTAGCCAGGATGGTCTCGATCTCCTGACCTCGTGATCCACCCACCTCGGCCTCCCAAAGTGCTGGGATTACAGGCTTGAGCCATCGCGCCCGGCCTCAGTTAGATTTTCTTGGTTACCAACGTTGAGGTTCCTCTATATCTTTGCTGATTATCTGTCTAGTTTTTTTACAAAGTGATTAAACTTGGGTGTTCAAATCTTCGAATAACATTGTGAGTTTGTCTATTTCTCCTTTCAATTTAATCAGTTTTGCTTCATGTATTTTGCAGCTCAGTTATTTAGTACATACACATTTAGAATTGTCATGTCTTTTTGGTGGAGCAATGTCTTAATAATTATATAATATCCCTCTCTGTCACTAGTAACTTTCCTTGCTCAAAAGAATATTATATCTGATATTAACATAGCAACTCCCACTTTCTTTGTATTAATGTCTGCATGATACATATTTTTCCATTTTTTTCTTTCAATCTGCCCACATTGTTACACAAGGCCACAGGTGAATCAGTGACGGGGCTGGGTTAGCAACAACTTCTGATGACAATGAACTACATAATGAGAAATAAAAATATTAACTTTTTATCTAAAGTGTGTCAACAGTCTGCTTTGAAATGCAGTTATGCCTCATTTCCTTAAGGAAGGCAAAATAAGAACATGGCAGATGGAATATTATCACTCATCTACATTGGAATTTAACCAGGACACTAGGGTTTCAACTTACCCATTTGCCAAAAGTAGCAATAGATAACAAATAAATGGCCCAGTCATCGATATTATTGCAGACACTAGCCCACAAGAGGTTCCAAGCATGAAATTCTAAGAGTGAGCATGTTGTTTTTCATCGTGCGTCAGTGATTTTTTTTCCCATCTATCCAGGCTACCAGAGTGGCAAATTTGAAGGACACAGGCATATATTCCACATTATGCAGTTTTGCTCACTTTAAATGTAAAAACACTTGAGTGTGTGCAAAAGAGACTGTCCTCAATTCCCAAAATATTTTCTATATTCCCTGATTCATTTTATGAAGGATCAAACCTCTAGCTTGTAGCTCTGAGTGATAGACTTCCCCTTTTAGTCATGAAGTCTTCTATGATCCAAACTGAAGGAAAAAATTCTTGTTCATCTCCCATTTATATTCACAGTCAGATACTATAATTAAATAATAGAGTTTCATTTACTTGGGCTCAAATCCATTAATTTTTTTTCTTATTTTTACTCATCTCTTTTCTCTGAAATGTATCCCAGTATTATTATTATCCTTGAGCACACAAATACACAGATCTGTGAATCTATAATGAGATCTTCCTATTTTTTTAGACTAAATTTTGCTTTGGTTAAATGTCTAAATTGCCTCTACTTAGATGCTGCCTAAATATGAACAAACAGTGGATCCCATTGGGGGAAAAAAAATCAGCTTTGAAGAGCTGACCTCCTAGTCAAGTTCATGTATTGTTTATATTCCAGGGAAAAAGTTGGTTCACAGGCTAACTTGGGGTCCTTGGTCTGCTGCCAGCAGAGGGTGAATGTGCTAATACTCTGCATCAAAGTGCAAGTTCAAATGCCCTTCCATTCCAGCCCCGTGTACTGGTCAAAGGATAAAGCATCGTTAAGCATCATGTCCAGAGACAGCCATCTGCCTGCCTCTCACCCAGAGGTGCCACATGTGATGACGGACAGGAAAAGAGAAAGGAAGTGAAGGTGCAAAACACTCCAATAGGGAAGTATCTGAATTAGAAAGAAAAACTAAGCTCGACAGCTGCCACTGAGTCCAACTCTTTAACCAGACAGAACTACCGCATTCTTAGACTGTTGTTTTTAGGAAAAGAGAGGAAGCTTGCAGAATTTGTATTGCCATGTCCAATGCTGTGCTCTCCCCACATGCCTATGAAACTCTCCTGTCAACAGAGCTTTTACCCTTGTCTTTTTCTCCTTTTCAGAATTTCTACTCCAAATCCCCAGCACACTTACAGCAGTGATCTCGGAGGCATTTCTATAGCCAATGCAAATTATATTTCTTTGTTTGCCTCCTAGAGATGAGATGGGAAAGGGAAAGACATGTAAAAGCCCCAAAGTGGCAACTCAAACCAAAACAGAGGATGAAAGCTCATAACATTTTTCACTAGTTCTCTGTGTAAATCCCCCCCTGCTAATTTAGAAAAGGCTTTGTGGTTTTTAATATTAAAAAGTAAAATAGATATATCCCTCTGCTGATGTTCATGAACTAAAGGTAGTTATACTTACTTTGCCAGTTAAAAAACATAGGTGAACACAACAAATCCCTTCAGGATAGACCATAAACTGTAAATAGGAAGAAAGTATATTAATCCATCTTTTGTTGTTAATAGGCCACATTTTTATATAAGAAGACTTGTTCCTCTTTCCAGCCATGGTACCACTGTGGAGTGAATGTAAACTCTGAGATAATTGACATCTAGTTTGAATAAAAGCACATAATATTTTAATGTTTTTTTTATACACATAAAGCCATTATTCCTGATTAGAAGCAAAAACCCTGAAAATACATCAAATTCTATATTCCCCTAAATCCCAAATTAGTCCCCTCAGCTGATAAAGAATGAATGGATAAAGATAGAAAGATCAACATACCAATTTGTGAGTTAGGCTGGTAAACTTTGCTTCATCCTAAAGCTCTTAGCCCAAACTGGAAGTACACAGTAACAGCCAACATTCAAGCCCCCTCTATAAATAAGATGAAATTTCAGGTCCTAATATTACTGTCATAGACAGTCTCAATCCATCTCTGAGTATGAAGTCAAATAAAATACACACGTAGTATTGTTGAGCAATATCCGTAACGTACTTTGTTAGATGAGGTGGAGAAAACAAAGTCATTAAAACTTGCTAATAAAGAAGCTGTGATCTAACTACATCAAAGTTGGAAAAGTCATTAGCAGAGAAAGAAGTAAAATGAGGATGCATTCCAGAATGACAGGAAAGGGGCTTAACAACAAAACACAGGTTGTGCGTCAACACATGAAAAATTACATCGCGTCAAAAATTCAGTAACATCAAGACTTACAGAAAACTTATCCTGGACATTGAAATTCTTGGATCAGAAGGAGAGAAACGGGAAGACTTGGAGCTGCAGTGAGACAGTGGGTGGTCTCTCCTGGGTACTGAAAGGGCAAGAAGAACCTGAAGAACAGGCCCTGCTGGCAGGCCCAAGCAAGAGCGGGGCAGGCCAGGGATTTTTGAAAGAAGCCAGATAACAGGACTTACACATTTTCATCTCAGGAGCTCTAAGAAGCAGGTCTTCTGCATCCACAGCTCGGTCAGTCCTGGTTTATTCTCCCCAGGGTGACCAAATGTCTCTCTACTGAGAGATCTTGGACTAGCCCATGTAACATACCCATGAATCTCCAACTTGTTATATCCAGCCACTTCCTCAGGCAATGGAGGGAGATTTCACTGACTGACCAACCCAGTTTTCCTCTACCAGTATCTCAGCATCAGCAAACTAACATCTGAAATGTCATTGTTGAAGCCACAGGAGCTACGAATGTATTCAAAAGCAAAGACGTGGGTAAGGAAACGTGGTGACTGAAATACAGCCTTAGGAAAGCAAATCCAGTCACTCAACTAATGTAAAAATATGAGCTAATGTTTCAATTCCTGATTTGGTAGAAAAAATGAGATTATATGAGGAACTAGAGGCACCGAGTATTCTCAAGAGGGCTGCTACTGAAAATACACACAATGAGGTCCACACAGTTGAAGTTATTTGTACTTTGAGCGATGATAGTCAAACACAGTTTGAATAACAATATTACAATGTAGCAAAGTTGTTACTAGCAAAACTCTGAAATTAGGCTGAGTAAAATCTCCCTATCTGAGTGATCTTGGGCATGTTCCTTAGTCTCTAAATCCAGGTCTGATCTGTCAATTTGAATTAATGCTAACCAGAATAATTGTCTACTCAGCATCTCATTGAGAAACCATGCTGCTTGACTTTCAGACTTCATGGTTCAGGTGGAGTTGGCCTGTGTTTCCTCCCGCTGCATCGTAGGGGTGACTGCTCAGACCTTGGCTATCAGTGACATGCTCTGGCAAGCCATGTGAGGATCCCCATCACCCCAAACATTGTTGCAACTTTCTCTTTCTCTGTTTCTCATTGGGGTTATTGAGGACCATTCCAATCTGGAACTGCCCATTTGTGTAGAGATTCTTCCTGCTGATCAAGCCAGGTAAGAACGCAAAGCTACGAGACTGGACAGAGTGAGAGACTGATGCCTAGAGACATCCTGTGAGCTTAAAGACTGTTATCCAGTGTTACCACAAGAGTCCATTTCTTGGTTCTCCTATTTTGAGGCAGGTTTTTGTCTAACCTAGCACATGGAGTTTTTGTATGTGTATGTGAGGAAGAAATGAGATAATGCTTATAACGTTATTTGTTACTGCACTGGGCATATAGCAAGTGCTTAATAAATGTGAGCTATTTTTATGTCCAGAAGGAAAGGCTCTTTATACTTCCCTTTCCAAGATGATACCATGAAAGATGGATAATTTTCATGAGACTCAAGGGTCTCTACCTTAAAAAAGATCATAATCTACAACAGACAATGTTAAGAACAGCTCAAAGACATAAAGTAGAATTCCCAAAAGGTGACAGATGACTTAACTGACAAATGAACTGAACAGAATATAATATTTAAATGTCACTAGAAGAAAGACCTTCAGGCAGAGCAGGTCATTGAAGGGCTTCATAGAAGTAATCATTGAGCTGGGTTTTTAGGAGCAGGAATAATCTGGAAGCCTGGAGAAAAGGATAGACAATACTTTAGCCATGGGTCAAGAAAAACATGGTGGTGGTGGTGCTAGAGCCAGGACACTCTCTGACCTGGAACACAGGGTATATGAGAAGAAGCCAGGGAAGAACAGCTGGAACAAAATGTTCAATGCAAATGACATGTTTTAAGGGCAAGTTTAATCATATTTCACAGAAGCTGGTTTTCACTGAGCTCATTTAGAGGTATAAAGGGTTGACACTAGGTACTCATGTAATTCATACTCAGTGAAATTCTAAAAATAATAAAAAATCAGAGGAATTATTTCAAAGATTTTTACAACCAAATCAGACATCTTTGGATGCTTTATATCATATTGCCGTTTTTTTTTTCTTTCCTTTTTCTTACTCCAACTGTCATGGTTCATTATTTACTCACGTGCTACAGCCAAACAAATAAAAATACATTCACAAATGAGCCCTAAGACATAGTGTAATAGATAATATTGTGGTTTTCTCCTCAATATCCCTTTCATTCCTTCCTCAGTATGTAAGAGCTATGCAGTTTGAGGGACTGACTCCAAACCCTGAAGTAGATTCTGCAAAGTTTAAGGCAACCATGGTAATCCCATCCTCCTTGCCAGTGATTGGTTGTAAATCCAGGCCTAAGCCACTCTATAAATAGCATTCACTTGGAAATGAGGTTTGGATCCAGGAATGGGCATACGACACTATGTGGGCCAAGGAAACAGGAATGAGATTTGCTTCTGGAAAACATTGCCTTACTGTTAAAGAGAGCCACTGGAAGAGATGGTCTCTTTCCCAAACTCTGTGGTCATCAGACCTGGAACTGCAGATGCTATCTGCATCCAATTCAAGAATATTGCTGATATACAGAGGAGAACAGAAATTAGGAATTGCAGAGATAAGGAGCTGAAACCATTGGAAAAGGCCAGCCCAATAATCTGCCCCATCTTTAATGTCTGGTTATGTGAAATATTACCTTTATTATTAAACTGGTTTGACTCTTTTTCAAAAAATACCCCAATTTCTTCTAAAAATACCCTGATGACTCAGTACATTTGTGATCTAATAATATATCGTATTTTTCTGCTCTCTGATTTGTCTTAGAGCTCCCAGAAGAAGACTACAAAAACTGGGCATCAGGGCAGGTGAACAGGTATGTATCTGAAAGCACCAGTCCAGGTTGATCCATTTCAGATCAGTAGAACATCATTCTCTGAAAAAATGGAGTAGTTGTCAGAGTTACCTAGATTGGCCCAGAAATTTCTGTCAAAAGAGGATCCTCCAAAATTATAGCACAACAAATGTTGTGTGTTTTTTTCTTTCATGAACACAAAACACTGGATCCCACACCTCCGCTAGAGTCCTCATTCCTCCTACATAGCACCTAGGAGAAGAAAGATTTTTTTTTTTAAGACAAAGTCTTGCTCTGTCACCAAGGCAGTACAGTGAAGTACAGTGGCACCATCTCAGCTCACTGCAACCTCCACCTCCTCGGTTAAGCAACTCTCCTCCCTCAGTTAAGCAACTCCTCCCAAGTAGCTGAGATTACAGGTGCACACCACCATGCCAGGCTAATTTTTTTGTATTTTAGTAGAGACAAGGCTTCACCATGTTTTGCCAGGCTGGTCTCAATCTCCTTACCTCAAGTGATCTGCCTGCCTTGGCCTCCCAATGTGCTGTGATTACAGGTGTGAGCCGCCATGCACAGCCGAGTAGGGGCATTTTATTCCCTAGTCATATTAGTGAAAAGAGTTCCTGAGAGATGAAGTCTAGACTCAAAAGAATTTTCTGAACAGCAAATGTTACAGACTCTAAAACTTTCTGTGTTTCATCACCAGTCATCATTTTGGGGTGCACTCTCTAAGAGTACAATTAACCATTTTAGTCAATTCTGCTATAGATTAGATTAGCTCAAGAAAATGATGCTAGCTATGCTGTGCTAGTGCTTACTCCCTTATTTCTAAAAAATAATTTTAAATGTTTAACCACAGAATGTATACATTTACATAAAGGTAATATCTAGAATGTATATGACAACTTCTAAGGGAGTTACTGTAGAAGATAAACATTGGCAAATGGTGATCAAAATAAAACAATGCATATCCAACTGAAATACCATGCTAAAAAAAAGTGAAACTCTATAGATAAGAGGCTGTAGAGACAGTAACTTGTAGCAAATTTGATCAGCACTTACCAAAAGGGAGCCAAAGATAAACTGTGAAAGAAGACTCTGCTATGGCATTAAGCCAAAGAAATGCTAAGATCAGAAACTGTATAAATGTATACATTATGGTTGATAGCTAAGAGATGATACTTTTCCATGCTTGAGGTGTGGTTCTCTAAAAATATCAGTAAAGCTTCTAACAGGCCTCACATGTACTAACATGATTTTAAATACCTTTATTTTGACAGGAAATTTGATAGTCCAAAATTAATACGTATTAGAGCTGAAAACTTTAAGCACATACAATAGCTCTGTCTATTTAGGCCTATAAATAAAGACAAAACCACTGACAATGAACATACCTAGTAACCAGAAAACAGCGCTTCTTGGAGAAATAGATGGAACAGGCTATGTACAGATGAGCTTAGAACATCTTAACATACCCAGTACACGCGAAGCTATCAAAGATAACTACAGCCATGTGAAAATACTCAAAAGCCAACTTGAAAGGGTTCCCATTGTCCAAAGATGAGACCATTTGAGCCTCAAAGGGTAAGGATTACAATAGACCTAAGCTATTGGAGAATGCTTAAATTCATGAATTCACAATGATATTTAAAAGGAATTACTTGGTTACTTTCTGAGGATGACAGGAAGCTAATTCATTATTTTGAGAACTGGAAAAATAAAAAGATATAATCAATTATTTATCCTGCCTTTCCTATATGAACTGTACAACTTGGTAACCAAATAGTAGACTGAGAAGTAACTGTCTATTTATAAAATTATCACAGTTAGTAAATGAAAACAAGATGATATAATTAGGTTATTTCTACTTTGCAACCCCTAATAAATTAATGAATCTAAGTAGTGAGTATTGATAACTAATATTAAAAAAAGAGTGATAAATGCATCACTTCTTATAGTCTTACAAAGGGATCAAACTTATCTGATCAACTCTCTGGAGCCAGCTGCCAGTCTTTCAGAAAATATGAAGGACAGAGGAACATGCTAAACCACACCATGAGTATGCCACCAACAAAATCCATACTGTGGGAAATTCTTTAGGTCAAACAACTTGGATTCTTTAGCAGATAAGTTGTAAGGAAAAGAAAGAAATGCAAGGGGCCCTACAGACTATAAAAGACTTCAAGGACATATCAAGAATTTTTAATGGACAAAATTCACTATATGCATAATTGGATTATAAAACATAATGAAATGCAAGAATTATTATGGTGAAAGTTCAGATATTATTTCTAGAGAAAGAGGTGAGTCTGTGATTAGCATGGTATACATGGAGAGGCTTCTGGGATTGTTCACGCCTTCTACTTCTTGACCTGGGTGGTGGTTACAAGACTGTTTATCTTATAATGAATCACCACAGCATATATTTGTTTTGTGTGGTCTTTGATATGTTCATTATAATATGCAATATAAAGAAAAAATGACAAGAAAAAAAGTAGGATGGTATGTTACACGCTTGTATGTCACTAATTCATTTGTTACTAGCAGTTAAAATAGTTTCATGATGTCAATTATAATAGACACTAAACAAGTAATATCCTTAACCAATATGCTTCCATACTTATAAGAATAATGTTCTTACACTGTTTAATTAAAATATTAGGGACATCCTTTCTTTACCTGATCAGTACTCTCTTTGGTGGTTTTTACTATTAATATCTCTCTTGGGGATCCAGTTATGATGCTGTTTTACCTAGTGGTAAAAGATTCCTCTGCTCTCAGTTCAAACACATTCCTGTTTTCTTCTTGTTTGCTACCCAATAAAAATCAAATATGATACAAACGTTTGTAATTGTTGCTAAATGTCTATTAGCTCCAAATATTTTGCTTTGTTTACAAAGATAATGGCACACTTATTGTATTAAAAGTGTGCTCATTTTCCTTTATATATCCTATCGGAATGAGTTGAAGAACAGACTGATTCTAATGTTCCCTTCTTTTGCAAATCAAATAACCCTCTTTCCAACCCAGGAAACTATTAGCAGTATTTAATATCACCGGCCTTCATCAAACCTGGACAAAGGGCATTCTTTCAGCAATGTCTGTCATTATTGCAGGTTGGCCACAGCTGCAGTTTAAAAGCTGACTATAATCCCATCTGTAAAGGTTGACTGCACAATGACCTTGGTCAAGGTAAAACCTGTTCCATAAAACCCAAGAATAGCAAGGTGCGTGGAAGTCTAGACGAATGGGGGCATCGATGACTAGGAGGAAAATGCTTATTGTTCTTAATGAAAGCTATTCATTACACTCATTGCTGTAGTTTCACCCACATATCATGAGTAGTGTCTCATATTTCAAAGGCATTTTCAGTAAGTAGAATAAATCAATACTGGATATGATCAACATTACTAATATTGATCAATATCTGCTTCTCTTCTACATTTCCCATCCCAAGGAAATTAGGAGGGACCATATGAGTAATTCTATCAAAAAAATATGAGAAGTGATGTTTGTCACTTCTGGAATAAAGCATTTAATTCCCAGTGCTCAACTCTGCAGCCGTCTCTTCCCCAGCCTGGGAGATCATGGAAGCAGGTATCGAAAAAGTCTAGAAAGCTGAGCCATCATATGTAAGATAACTGATCTGCAGAGTCACCTGAACCCACAACAAACCTTGTAGATGAAATTTTAGGGTTGTCTGCACAGTTTCATAACTTATTCTAACCCAAATGATGTGTGGGAATTCTGCATGTTTCCAAAAATCCTTTCCACAGAGATCTAATGAAAGTTACCTACATATATTGATTGCTTGAGGCCAACCAAATTAGTTGGATTATAAAAAAGGTAACAATTTAGAATATTTTCAACCAGGCACAGTGGCTCACACCTGTAATCTTAGTACTTTGGGAGGCCAAGGAGGGAAGATTGCTTGAGCTCAGGAGTTTGAGACCAGCCTAGGCAACACAGTGAGATCCCATTCCTACAAAAAAATTAAAAATTACCCAAGTGTGATGGCACATGCCTGTAGTTCCAGCTACTCAGGAGGCTGAGGTAGAAGAATCGCCTGAGTCTGGAAGATCCAGGCTGTAGTGAGCTATGATGGCACCACTGCACTCCAGCCTGGGTGACAGAGTGAGACTGTCTCAAAACAACAACAAAACAACCAAACAAAAAAGAATATTTTCAGGATTGTGAATTGTTTGAAAATGTTATCTATATTTGGTAAATTATGGCTAATATCAGAAGAAATCTGCACTCCTATAAATAGAAGTATATTCTAAGACTTCCCTACTAAACAGAGAAAGGCATAAATGTACTGTGCAATCACCTCACTGAGCCCAGCTCTCCCTTAAGAACTGTGGAAGGACATAAGGTAAAGAGCAGTTGTTGGTGACATTTATAAAGTCTCAAGTCTCAATTGATTCTGAAATAAACTGATAAGGCTTATATTTTCTTGACCTCTTAATCCTTGGAACCAAAAGTACTTAGTAAATGAAATTTGTCTTTTGTGATTTCCTCAAATCTACTTTCTATGATTAATCTACTATACACTATCAAAGAGTATTAAAACTATAAAACGTCCATTGTGAGATTTCAATGAGGCTCAAAGACGGGTTTTCATGCTTTCTATATGTAGGAATACTAGAGAATTTTTACATCTATATCATTCCTTCTACACGGAGCATTTCATATAACAAAGTATGTAGAAATCACACAATATTCCCAGGAAATATAATCGTCTTTTACCCAAAGCCTCAGCAGTCAACAGTTTAAAATGCCATTGCTGGCTGAACACACAGGTATTTACCTGGGTCATGAACTAAAATGGCAATTGTCCCAAATATTTCTATTCATCTGATGGGTGCCACAGGAGCCTCAAGGGGCATGGTGGTGACTGCAATGTACGGGCTATTGATCTGAGTATGACTGAGGACAAATGGAATCACTTCCGCAGTCACAGAGGTGTCCTAGGAGGTCTGCTAGCCCAAAATGACCTGTTGGCTTTGAGATGCATAGGCACCACTGGACACTGCGCAGCAATGACAGAGCTGCATGGAACGAGGAGATAAGGGCCCCAGCATGCATCTTTGGCAGGAAAATTCACTCCATTTCATTTTTTTAAATAAAAATGACAGTGGGCAATAATCACACAATTTAATTATTCCTTTGGGTTCCACATAAAACTCAAAGAATATAAAATCACCAACCACTGATCTGCTACCTGTGGCAGCTGAAAAATATTACAGTGGAATTTCAGGGGCAAATAGCAAAATGAGCATCTCCAAATTGTTTAGAAAAGGATCTTCAGTCTGAGAATTGACGGCACAGCTTTAAGAATAGATAAAGGACTGCCTGAAGGATCTGTCTAGCTTCCTGAGTTTTTTAAAAGTAATACCTTCATTTGCATAGTAATAACCCAATTATCGTAAGATTAGGTGACAGGAATCTCATTATTGCTATTTCCACAAAACAGTCGATATTTTATTCAATATCTTTTAATGTTACACACCTTAAAACATAATTATTCAATATACCCTCATTCATCTTTAATGTAATTTTCTTTTTTGAAAACCTTGCCATAATTGTTAGTTTTTATGGCATATACTAGTGTTTAAACAAGCACTTTTCCCCCGCAGGCTGCTATGAGAACAAGCAAAAGCAACCAACAGCTTGGGGGCACTTGTCTTCCCCCCACCCCCCAAGTTACTAGTAAGTTCACCAAAAGATTAAACTCACACACAGGACTGCTAAAAATCTGTTGTAACGACCTCTGCACTCTTCCCAACACTATAGTTTCCCCTCCTTTTCTGTCACTTCATGCTCCACAAAAGATGCTTCCATAATGAATTTTGATCTTAAGGCAACTCTGAAAGTGTTAGCAAATACATTCTGTTAAATTTCAAATTGTATGATCTGGGCTCTTTTCTTTGTGAGTTTTTTTTTTGGGGGGGGGGGATGGCTGTTTTTCCCCCTAGACCACATTGTAATACACACACACATACAAAAAAATCCTTCTGAGACAGCTGACATACTGGGGAGACCATCTGCCTGCCATAGGTTTACCTGCCATAGGCTTTTACAGTTTCAATTACAAGATAATCAGTACGATAAGTGGCTGGTTACCAGATTAACGGTGGAAACAAAGCAATGAAATAGGGGGGAGAGAGACAGAACTGCCTACATTAAGAGACTACAGAGCCATACATGCTATTACTTCAAAATGATATCAGAATTAATGTAGAGTGAAAACAGCAGTTAGACTTTGTCATGGGAGGAAACAACATCAAAGGGCTGTGGTTTGGAATCTGGGGCTAACACTCCTTAACTGTGGCCCTAGGGACTATGTCTTCTTCGTGATGTTATCTCTCTATACTTTATGAATGAACACTCATTAATCATAGGTATAACAATTAATCTGTAGAAAAGGACCCTATGCTTCTTACTCAACACACAACTAAGTTTTCTCAGGATTTCATCGAATCACCAGCACAATTCATTGGCATTTTCTAAATGACCTAAGAAACTTCGACAGGCATCAGATGCTCCTAAGAGCCCACCTGACTACAAGCTCACCACTGCATACCCAAACCATCAAAACCACACTTCACTCTTCCCAGGCCTGATCTTTGGAAGAGATTGCAAAGCTGGCATAACATTACTTGTTTACATGTTTAATGAATTTTGGGGGGTACTGACTGCACTTTGTAATTTTTTTACAACAATCGGGAAACCACCATTCTTTAAAATGAGTTTAGTTGCTGTAGACAATTTTCCCCCAAATAGAAAATGTAAAAGAACATTTCTGATTTAGTAAGGCTTTTACTGGAATTAAGTTGGGTGGTTTATGTCTTTCAAGTCACCGGGCTGTTCCTCAGAAACTATGCATAGCAACAAGTACATGAGTCAGACATTTGGTCCAAACCTCTTCTTACAGAGAAAAATAAACTCACAGGGCACACTGTGAGTCAAGATCACCAGGCAGAATTAGAATTCAGGTCTCCAAACATTTACTGAAGAGTTCTTTCAATTTCCTCATCCACATCACCTAAATCCCAGACCTCATGAAAAGAATGGCAGCTGTGCTCCATTGATTGAGTGCGGTCATATGTTTAGCCCTCAGTGAGAAACACTACCAAGGAATGGTCAACCGAAAAAAACAAAAGAGCAATAATTAAAGTCATCATTATAGACAAGGCACAGTGGCTCGTGCCTGTAATCCCAGCACTTTGGGAGGCCAAGGCGGGTGGATCACTTGAGGTCAGGAGGCAGAGGTTGCAGTGAGCCGAGATTGTGCCACTGCACTCCAGCCTGGGGGATAGAGCAAGACTCTTGTCTCAAAAACAAACAAACAAACAAACAAAAAAAACACTGCATATTCTCACTCATAGGTGGGAATTGAACAATGAGAACACAAGGCGGGGAACATCACACATTGGGGCCTGTCGGGGGGTGGGGACCTGGGGGAGGGATAGCATTAGGAGAAATACCTAATGTAAATGACAAGTTGATGGGTGCAGCAAACCAACATGGCACATGTATGTATACCTATGTACCAAACCTGCACGTTGTGCACATGCACCCTAGAACTTAAAGTATGATTTTAAAAAGTCATAATTATACACTAAGTATCAGACAATGTACTGTTTTATATTAAATATCAGAACTCACATTTATCATTGAAGGTGAGGTCTGAGAAATTTAGAAATTGTAAGTTAGGATTCAAAGGCAGGTCTGTCTTAAAGAGAAAGCATGGAAGTTGCTGTCATAAAAACAAAGTTTACAGATACAATTTACTTTGCTTTTCTTCCAGAATTTCATATCTTAGTCTTCGCTGAATACTCCAGCGTACTGCCCCATAGTACACAGAAAGCGTCCAGGACAAGGGTGACTGCAAACAAGTTAGAGTTGCAGTACACTACTAAGTCTCGGGGAATCTTCTCTATGGGCATATTACTTCCCTCTCTCTGGAAAGCCCTTGTCTTTTTCCCTCGTCTTTACCCCTCATTATTTATCTAGTAAACTTTGATTCATGCCTAAAAGTCTTGATCACTCATCACTCTTCAATGAAGTCTGCCCTACTACCCAAGCACCTTCCAGTAGAGTGAATCTGCCCTCTCTCTGCTATTCCTGAACTTTTAAACTATTTATTGTTTTTAAATGCAATTATTTGTTTACATGCCGTCTCACTTGAGGAAGTCTCCTTGTGGAATGGGTTCAATTCATCTTAATATCCACAGTACCTATTAGCGATATACCTGAAACAGGTGTTTTATAAATATTCAACCATTATTGAACTATAGATACTTGTCAAACCTTAGTTAGAGCAATGATCACATTCTATCTGGCATGAAAAGTTTCTGCTTATGCCTTTTCTATATAAGAAACAGTTCTTTGAAAGATGTCTTATTCCCCCTACAGCACCAAGAAGAGTACCTCACAGACAGTAAGTGTCCCAGAACTGTTGGTTTAAATCACTTATTTAACGGGGTGGAAGTGTAAATAACTAAAATATTGCAAGTTTCTTTAAACCTAGTTGAGGATAATAGCAAATTTTTCTCTTCTTGAGTCACCTTCAAAGCATGGGATTATATCACATGGGAGATAGAATAAATGCACTGTAGCTAAAAATTAGATGGCTGAATCCATGGCTAAAATGCTACTTTTCTTCAGGATTAATTGAGTGCAATCTTTTATCTGTTTCTATTCAGCATATGTAGTATATATCGGCTATGCATCTGAGGACAGCTGCCATTCTATTTACAGCATTATCTAAAAATGGCAACATTAAATCCATCTTCCATCTCTTTGAGATCTTTTTCAACTACAGAATCATCTCAGATGTTCTGCTTTTAGAGCAAAATATATGAGGTGTGAATGTGTGTAACAGTAAAAGACTAACAGGCAGAAATCCACGACGGTGGAAATATCTACCAGCGCTTGATAAAACTTTCCTCCTTTCCCCATCTCAAGAAAAGCTAGGGCAAGGAAGCTAGAAAACATCAGGGGGCAAATTAAAAAGGTAGAAAACCCTGCCCTTATACCCCCATTCAGAAGTCTAAGAACCTAAATATTGATTTTTCAGGGCTTTTGTTGCTGACTGTAGAGATTTTGAGCCTAGACTGAAAAACAAACAGCAGAGGTGTGTGCTGACAAACCTCCCAAATACTATACTGCATTCCAGATTTTTTTTGAGAAAGTTAAAATTCATCTTTCAGCTTTTTTAAGGTGAAAAAGCTGTGACCGTGCTAATTATTTATTGTAAGTCTCCATATTCTACATCTTAACACAAATTCACTGTTAACTTCACTGAAGATCGTTAAAAGAAGAGGTAAAACAAACCCAAAAACCAAAAAAAAAAAAAACCTGAGTTTACAGTAAGAACATACAGAAATGACCTTGCTGGCCAGTCTGAACGACTTGGGAAAATGTGCACTCTTTCAATTGCTCTTCTCTTCAAATTTCCAGACTCTACCTCTTCTGTTTCACCAAGCTTCAAGTCCATTTTTAAATTCAATGTGCCAACTAGACAGGACAGGAAAAGAGAACAGTCCTTTCATAGCAAAGATCAACTAGACTTGGAAAAAATTAAAAGGCCATTTACATTTTTCTTTTAAAAAGCTAATTTGGCCAGATGCGGTGGCTCACACCTGTAATCCCAGCACTTTCAGAAGCCTAGGCAAGAGGATCGCTTGAGCCCAGGAGTTTGAGACCAGTCTGGACCACAGAGTGAGACCCTGTCTCCATAAGAAAATTTAAAAATTAGGCATGGTGGCACATGCCTGTAGTCCTAGCTACTCTGGAGGCTGAGGTGGAACAATTGCTTGAGCTCCAGCCTGGGCAACAGAGTGAGACTCTGTTTCTCAAAAAAAAAAAAAAAAAAAAAAAAAAAAAAAAAGCTAATTTCCTCATCATGTTATAGGTCTTATAAGTTCAGAAACCATCATTCTACAACGATTTTGCAACTTCAAGACAGCATAGTGAGCCGGTTAATGGATTATGTGTATGAGTGGGTGGAGCCTGACTGAGTTCAAATACCATTTATATCACTTATTAAGTATGTGATCTTGGACAAGTTGTGTGGTCTTGGACAAGATAAATAACCTTTCTGTGCCTATTGCTGTGGTTATGAGCAACAATTAAGTCAGTAGGCATAAAGGTGTTGGAATAGTATGGCCGGGCGCGGTGGCTCACGACTGTAATCCCAGCACTTTGGGAGGCCAAGACGGGAGGATCACAAGGTCAGGAGATCGAGACCATCCTGGCTAACACGGTGAAACCCTGTCTCTACTAAAAATACAAAAAATTAGCCGGGCATGGTGGCAGGCGCCTGTAGTCCCAGCTACTCTGGAGGCTGAGGCAGGAGAATGGCGTGAACCTGGGAGGCGGAGCTTGCAGTGAGCCAAGACTGCCCCACTGCACTCCAGCCTGGGGGACAGAGCAAGACTCCATCTCAAAAACAAAACAAAACAAAAAAACAAAAACAAAACAACAACAAAAAAAAGGTGTTGGAATAGTATGAAATGCTATGTAGTGGGCAATCAACTGTTATTCATTTTTATTAGAATGGTTCTTAACATTTAGTAAGTGCTCATAAATTAAAGATAAAATTAATCGATTTCAACATTTCTCAGATGTGGATGGGGTGGGGGAAGAAGTATAGAGGGGAAGCTTCCATATAAAATAAATTAAAAACAATGATTTATTTACTTGGTGTTGCTTTCTAAGCTATTTTCCTGGAAACACACATACACACACACACATACACACACACACACACACACACACACCCCATGAGCACAAAGCCCTCCAACTCAAAACTAAAGTGTTTATAAAAATGGTATGTTTTGTAGATCATTCAATATGTTCTACTCAATATCTAAAGCATAAATACACAAATGTTATTTTGTCAGTACAACTCTAAATTATTCTTATTTGGGTAAACAAATGAAAAAATTAAAGGATTATAAGATAACATCCAATACAACAGGTTACATATATATGTTCATACCCTATATGACCATGGCGTTTTCACCTATTCCACAGATAAGTCAAGTGAAACTGAAATTACTAGCTATCAAATTTTCAGATATAAAATTTGAATTTTTAAAGGTAGAATTAAGTTATTCCAAAAGGCAAATCTATTAGCACAGTTTTTAACCTTGTTTTACTCTAAAACTTATATTACTATCATTCATTAATCACTTTTGAAAATCTTAGGGGTATAATTTAAGCACATACCAATAGTCTATCTGAAATGTGAACTAAAAGTAAAAGAATTGAAACTGGAGAATAGACACGATGCTTCCTTAAAGAAAGCCTAACGCATAATTTTTGCAAGATGCCAAAATCATCAAATCATTCATGTTCTTAATCTTTGGTGTTTGCTGACTGGCCAGGCCTTCCAGAGAATCTGTCACCAAAGGACTATAAAGCTTTCAAAATACCATTATGAAAGTGGTAAATCCACACTTTCATCACCACTAAGACAAGAAGGCATGTTTTCAAAAACTAGTATAAGAATTTAACCATGACAAAATTATATTTAAGAAGATTCTAAATGTATATTTATGATATTTATGAGGGTATATATATAATATATATAAAATTCATTAAACTTAACAGCATCAATAAAATTGAAATGAATATCCACTCTATGAGGTAAAACAGTGAAAAGAAACCACACACACACATAAATGTAGTTATGATCTTTTTTTGAGAACAACAAGTGCACTTCCTTACAAAAACCCTAGTCCTGGGAATTAGGAGATCATTTTCTAATTTTTTTTTCATTGTTGATGTATAAGCAACTATATTTCTAGGACTCAAATATTCACTTGGATTATAGAGGCCAATATTGCATATCACTTATTTTCAAGAACCATTCACTAAATAAAAGTTTGTACATTTTATCTCCTTTGTCAGCCACAAGGAGTAACTTTATTATTCCTACCAAGATACTGGACCAGACAGTAGAGACGGTTCTGCCACCAATTTATGTTACAATTCTGAGCCTCAAATCTACTCATCTTTAAAATTGGAAAGTTGCACTAAATTATATCCGATGTCTCTTTATTCTTGAAAATTGTATAATGCTATCAACACTTTCCATATTGGAATGTAACCAAAATTCAGCTTTATTGCAAAAGAGATGGTCAAAATATGCCCCCCTTCCCATAGATGAGCAAATATAAAGCAGAAGGTTGTCATATTTTTAAAGAAGACTTCATATTGTTTATTGTAGACCAGGCAGTGTATATGTCTGTCTATATCTATATGTCTATACTGCAAATGATAAAACTGAGGCTCAGCGAGATTAAGGAATATACCCAAGATGAAAGAGTGAGTAAGCGATAAAACTCAGGTTCAAACTCACACCCTTCTGACTATGATGCATGGATGCTTTCCATCCTAGCAACAAGTGTATTGAGAACCATGATAATTGAGAGGCAATTCTATTACAACTATCTAGTAAATAGTCCACTGATGCTAAAGTCCCCATCATGCTCTGCATTCACCTTTTTAGCTTTATTAAGGCAAAATCAATACATAAAAATTGCACACATTTGATAGACACATCACGATGAGTTCAGACATATGCCTATACCCAAGATATCACTACCACAATCAAGAACTAAACATATCTATCACCTCCAAAAGTTTCCTTGTATTATTTTGTGTTCTTTTGTTTTTTGATCAGAACAGTTACCATGAGATCTACCCTCTTAACACAGTTTAAAGTGTGCAATACCACATTGTTAAATGGTGGTAGTAAATTGCACCGTAGTTCTCTAGCACTACACATCTTGCATAGCAGAAACTTCATACCAGTGAGCACATTTCTTATGCAAATTCTACACACTGCTTGGTACCCAAGAAGGGAATTTATATCTTTAACAGAGAAGTAAAATGCAAGTATTTTATGCAAGCTGCTGACACCTGACTAAAAAGGCAAGAATTAAGGTATCTTGGTAGTTGACGATGCATTTCTTGATGATAATGGCACCTCTTGAAAATTAGCAAGATCTATAGGCTTTGATGACAGTACACAAGCTGAGAAAGGAAACAGAAGAAGCATTTTAGGGAGTTTTCCTAACAGGACTTCAGGATCTTCTCTCTCAAACATCAGAGGAAAATTATTCCACTCTTTCCATTTGGCTTAGGGTTTCCTCGCAGCCTCATGACAGTGTCACCCCACCTCAGGAATCCCAAAGATTGGCAGACTGGGGACACTGGGCAAGCAAGCATGCCCAGCATGACACCTTACTATATATTTTCTAAATGTCCTTGGTGTATTCTGTTGTGGGTTTTAGCACAGACTGGAGGCCAAAGACCTGGATTTGAATTTTGGTTGTGCCACTTTACTGGTGCTGTAAGTCTGGTCAAAATAGAAATCTCACTGTGCTTCACATCCTTGTCCATTAAAGATGGATACTTCCAGTAAGCTCATGGAGTTCTTGTAAGGAGTCCAACAATATCTGTAAACCACTGAGCACAGTGACTGTCACGTGAAAAGCCCCCAATAAAAGTAACCTAGCATTATATTATCCCAAAACAAAGGGAGAGGAGATGTACATTTATAGTATCCTGAATAATAGGATACTATCCCTAGTAGCAGTTCTCTGAGGTAGTAGAAAATTCTAAAAAGTTACATATAAAATCCAGGATATCAGCTGGGTGCGGTGGCTCACACCTGTAATCCCAGCACTTTGGGAGGCCAAGGCAGCAGATCACGAGGTCAGGAGATCGAGACCATCCTGGCCAACATGATGAAACCCTGTCTCTACTAAAAATACAAAAATTAGCTGGGTGTGGTGGCACACACCTGTAATCCTAGCTATTAGGAAGGCTGAGGCAGAAGAATCCTTTGAACCCAGGAGGCGGAGATTGCAGTGAGCCAAGATCGCACCACTGCACTCCAGCCTGGTGACAGAGCGAGACTGTCTAAAAAAAACATCCAGGATATGCATGTTTTGTTAAAGGTGTAAAATACACACACACACACACAGAGTATGATCCAACTCTTATTTTTTTAAAAACAAAACCATTTCTAAAGAAAAGTTTAGAAAGTCTAGATGCATGTAACGGTGGCTATTTGTGAATATGATTTTATTTGCTTCTTTTTAGCTCAGCAGTGATTTCTAAATCTACAGTGATAATGTATTTTTATAACATAAGTATTTTTTATTTGGAATTTTCTTAAAATAAAGACCATATGCATGCTTTAAAAATTAAAATAAAAAACAATCTATATGAAGATAGAATTTTAGCTAGTAAAATATTTAAATGCCCTGACATGATTTTATGGCTTACAGTATAAATAAAAGAGGGCTGAAAATTGAGGTGATTGTTCTCAGTAGTTAAAATGTTTATATCTTTGTTTTAAGCAAAATAAATGATAAAAGACATAGCAGAAGGTTCTATAAAAATGAATTGGAAAACTACTAAAATTGTTGTCAGTGGGACTGAAGAAAAAGTAATCTTAAGTGGACCTTTGAACAGGTTTTTTGAAGCAGTCAGTAAGTGACACTTCTTTTGACAAAAATTGTGGAAGTTAACTTGATAAGAGCACTCACTTGATTAAAGATGAACTAAGTTTGTCTTGATTTGGGCACTACAGAGTGGTAAGGATAGACATTTGATTAAAGGTAATGGTATGGTAATTAATATTGAATGCTTTGATGTTGTAAATGTAAAACAGGCAAAGAAAACTGAGGGGGAAAAAATCACAGCAGTAGGAACTAAAGTCTATTTTGTAACCATAACGTTGAAAACACAGCAGCACTCCTCATCATCTTCCTGAAACTTTCTTGAGTGTTGGCAAGATATGAATTTTAAGTTAAAATTTGGAGTGACAGCAGTGAGAAGAAGAAAATGGATAGAGAAAGATCTCAAGGGAAATGTTAATTTGTGATCTGTATAGATCCCAGAGTTTGGGATCGACAGGGAGGATTAGAACTCTGACAGTGCCATGGGTGCGGATGAGCAGGGACAGGTAGTCACAGATGCCATGAGAATGAATGGGATTGACCAGAAAGGAACATGTCAAATAGCAAGAGAGCTAGGCTTGTGTTCTGGGAAAAAGAGACATTAAGGAGAGGTCAGAGATAAAAAGGCCAATGGCATTGCCTCAGGAAGAATGCTCAGGTAAGCAGAAAAGAACCAGGAGAGAGAACAGTCTCTCGGAATCAAGAGAGGGGAAAGTTTCCAGAACTAAGGTGTGAATCACAATGTCAAACTCAGAGATACCAAGTCAGATGGTGCTGCAGAGGCCAGATTTGCAGATTAGGAAGTTACCAATGACCTTTACCATATTAGTACAAATGACATCATGAGTGGCATCGTGATCACAATGGGGAGGGGAAGGAAAGAGAGAAACTGAGGGAATGATTTCAGAGTATGGATTACTTTCAAGGTACTAGGATATATAGAGAAGAAACTCATAGAGTATGAACTGAATTTGTTTTGAGCTTTGTAAATATCATGGTTTGGTAAGTCTGCCTGGGAGAGAAGCTTCTTCCATGGCCTATCAAATTCTCTACTGAAATGCAAAAAGCTCAGCTATTACTACCACCAACTCCTGTATACGCTCTACAGTCATGAGAAAGGACCCCTCCCTTCTCTGTACTCCTAAAGTTTTAGTCTGTGATATGATTTGGATTTGTGTTCCCATCCAAATCTCATGTTGAAATGTTTTCCCTAGGGCTGGAGGTAGGGCCTGGTGGGAGGTGATTGGATCATGGGGGCAGTTTCTCACAGTTTAACACCATTCACCCTTGGTGTTGTCATCATGATAGTGAGCTGTCCTGAGATCTGGTTGTTTAAAAGTATATGGCACCTCCTCACTCTCTCCCTTCCTTCTGCTCCAGCCATGTAAAGTGCTAGCTTTGCCTTCCACTATGATTGTAAGTTTCTTGAGGCCTCCCCAAAGCCGAGCAGATGCTAGCATCATGCTTTCTGTCCAGCCTGCAGAACCGTGAACCAATTAAACCTCTTTTCTTTATAAATTACCCTGTCTTGGGTATTTCTTTATAAGCAGTGCAAGAATGGACTAATACAGTCTGTGTCCCTCAAATACCTAGCAGAGCTATAGTTTTGCTTGCATCCTTTCTCTCCCACTGTCTCACGTAAAAGAATGCCCTTTCCTTTTGGAGACTACATTGCAGATACTTTGACTGAAAACAACCACTTCTGCCACCAAAGAGAAGAGCACTTCATCTCCTTTGCCACAGGAAGGGCATAGAGCCCAAAGTGGGCCAGTTACAAAAAATTTCCTGGGCCTGTGAGGGAAAAAAAGTATACAGAGTTTTCTCTGGAGATACTAGCTAAGAGGTTGGTGTGGCCTAGAATGGCTTCCACAGGAAGAAAGCTGCCTGTGCATGAAGCTAGTAGAAAGGTGAGCAGAGTAGAGTGATGGGAAGATGAAGATGTACCCCTTTCTGACGGCATTAGCTGGGCCTGTAGTGTCACTCTCTACACTTCTGCACTTCCTAGTACATGAGCCAATAAAGCTCTTATTTTTTAAGTTATTTCAGATTGGGTCACTATCATTCACAATAAAAGATTCCTCACTAATACAGTTCACACCTCACTAATTACATGCTTCTAAATATTGCAGCAATCTGCACAAAGGAAATCTCTTTCTACTACTAGATTATACATTTCTTGAAGGCAGGAAAGACATGTCTAGCACAATGTCCTGCACATAGTTCAATATGTGTTCAATAAATATTTACAAAAGAAGCAAATGAGCAAAAGAAGTTATTTTGTCATAAAATCAAGACCTAAAATTAAACAACTTGACAAGTGAATGAGAAGATCACAATGAATAATACACAAGCCATAATATAGCTCATTTTATTGCATTTCACTTTATTGCACTTCACAGATACTGTGGTTTGTTTTTTTGTTTTCTTTTTAACAAATTGAAGGTTTGTGACAACTCTGCGTCAAACAAATATATTGACACAATTTTCCCAACAACATATACTCATTTTGTTTCTGTGTCACAGTTTGGTAATTCTCAAACTATTTCAAACTTTTTCATTATTATTATGTGTGATATGGGGGCCAAGATCAGGGATCTTTGATGTTATTTTTGCAAGTGTTTCAGGATGCAACAAACCAAGCCCGTATAAGAAGGCAAACTTAATTGATAGATATTGTGTGTGCTCTGACTGCTCCACTGACCAGCCATTCCCCCATTTCTCTTCCTCTCCTTGGGCCTTTTTTATTCCCCAAAATGCAACAATATTGAAGTTAGGCCAGTTCATAACCCTACAATGGCTTCTAAGTGTTCAAGTGGAAGGAAGGGTCTCATGTCTCTCACTTTACATCAAGACCTAGCAACGATTCCGGATAGTGAGGAAGGCATGTCAAAGCCAAGACAGGCTGAAAGCTAGGACTCTTGTGCCAAACAATTAGTCAAGTTGTAATGCAAAGGAAAAGTTATTGAAGAGAATTAAAGGTGCTACTGCAGTGAATACATGAATGATAAGAAAGTGAAACAGACTTCTGACTGATAAGGAGAAAGTTTGAGTGGTCCGGATAAAAAAAATCAAACCAGCCACAACGTATTCCCTTAACCCAAAGCCTAATCTAGAGCAAGGCTCAAACTCTCTTCAATTCTTATGAAGGCTGAGAGAGATGAGGAAGCTGCAGAAGTAAAGTTTAAAACCAGCAGAGGGTGGTTCATGAGCTTGAAGGAAAGAAGCCATCTCCATAACATAAAAGTGCAAGGGGAAGCAGCGAGTGCTGATGGGGAAGCTGCAGCAAAATATCCAGAAGATCTAGCTGAGATGACTGATGACGGGGGCTACACTACAGAACACATTTTCATTGTAGATAAAACAGCCTTATATTTGAAGAAGATGCCATCTAGGACTTTCACAGCTAGAGAGGAGAAGTCAATGCCTGGCTTCAAAGCTTCAAAGAACAGGTTGACTCTCTTATTTGTTAGGGGCTAATGCACCTGGTGACTCTAAGTGAAAGCCAACGCTTATTTACCATTCCAAACATTCCTAGGGCCCTTAAGAATTGGAGTAAATCTACTCTGCCGGAGCAGTAAAAGTGAAACAACAAAACCTGCAGGACAGCACATCTTTTTACAACGTGGCTTACTGAGTAGTTTAAGTGCACTGTTGAGACCTACTGCTCAGAAAAAAAGATTCCTTTCAAAATATTACTGCTCATTAACAATGCACTTGGTCACCCAAGGGCTCTGATGGAGATGCCAAAAGAGATGAATATTGTTTTCAAGCCTAACAACATGACACCTATTCTGCAACCTGCAGATCAAGCAGTAATTTTGGCTTTCAAGTCTCAATGTAAGAAATATATTTTGTAATAAGCAATGGGGAAATGATTTCCTATTTAATAAATGGTGTTGGGAAAACTGGCTAGCCATATGCAGAAAACTGAAACTGGACCCCTCCCTCACACCTTATATAAAAATTAACTCAAGAAGGATTAAAGACTTAAATGTGAGACCTAGAACTATAAAAACCCTAGAAGAAAACCTAGGCAATACCATTCAGGACATAGGCATGGACAAAGACTTCATGACTAAAACACCAAAAGCAATGGCAACAAAAGCCAAAATTGACAAATGAGATCTAATTAAACTAAAAAGCTTCTGCACAGCAAAAGAAACTATCATCAGAGTGAATATCCAGAATCTACAAAGGGCTAATATCCAGAATCTACAAAGAACTTAAACAAATTTACAAGAAAAAACAAACAACCCCATCAAAAAGTGGGTGAAGGATATGAACAGACACTTCTCAAAAGAAGACATTTATGCAGCCATCAAACATGAAAAAAAGCTCATCATCACTGGTCATTAGAGAAATGCAAATCAAAACCACAGTGAGATACCATCTTATGCCAGTTAGAATGGCGATCATTAAAGTCAGGAAACAACAGATGCTGGAGAGGACATGGAGAAATAGGAATGCTTTTACACTGTTGGTAGGAATGTAAATTAGTTCAACCATTGTGGAAGACAGTGTGGTGATTCCTCAAGGATCTAGAACCAGAAATACCATTTGACCCAGCAATCCCATTACTGGGTATATACCCAAAGGATTACAAATCATTCTACTATAAAGACACATGCACACGTATGTTTACTGCAGCACTATTCACAATAGCAAAGACTTGGAACCAACCCAAATGCCCATCAATGACAGACTGGATAAAGAAAACGTGGCACATATATACCATGGAATACTATGCAGCCATAAGAAAGGATGAGATCATGTCCTTTGCAGGGACATGGATGAAGCTGGAAACCATCATTCTCAGCAAACTAACACAAGAACAGAAAACCAAACCCCACATGTTCTCACTCATAAGTGGGAGTTGAACAATGAGAGCACATTGACACAGGGAGGGGAACATCACATACCAGGGCCTGTCAGGGTTGGGGTGCCAAGGGAGGGATAGCGTTAGGAGAAATACCTATTGTAGATGATGGGTTGATGGGTGCAGCAAACCACCATGGCACATGTATACCTATGTAACGAAACTGCACATTCTGTACATGTACCCCAGGACTTAAAGTATAGTTAAAAAAAATATACATATATATATATTTTGTAAGGCTATAGCTGCCATAGATAGTAATTTCTCCAGTGGAACTAGGCCAACTAAATTGATAACCTTCTGGAAAAGATTCACCATTCTAGATGCCATTAAGAGCATTTGTGGTTCATGAGAGGGGGTAAAAAAGAAAAAATCAACATTAACAGGAGTTTGGAAGAAGTTGATTCCAATCTTCATGGATGACTTTGGCCATGGTTCAAGACTTCAGGAGAGGAAGGAACTGCAGATATAGTGGAAATAGCAAGAGAACTAGAATTAGAAGGGGAGCCTGAAGATGCAACTGAATTGCTGCAATCTCATAAAACTTTAATGGATGAGGAGTTGCTTCTTATAGATGAACAAACAAAGAGGTTTCTTAAAATGGAATCCACTCCTGGTGAAGATGCTGTGAACATTGTTGAAAAGGCATCAAAGGATTTAGAATAACTTAGTTGATAAAGCAGTGGTTTGAGAGAATTGACTCCAGTTTTAAAAGAAGTTCTACTGTGGGTAAAATGCTGTCAAACAGCCTTGTCTCCTACAGAGAAATCTTTCAAGAAAGGAAGAGTCAATTGACATGGCAAACTTTATTGTTGTCTTAGGTTAAGAAATTGTCACTGCCACCCCAACCTTCAGCAAAAACCACCCTGATCAATCCGCAGCCATCAACACTGAGGCAAGACCCTCCTTCACCAGCAAAAGGATTACGACTCACTGAAGGTTCAGATGATCATTAGCATTTTCTAGCAATAAAGTATTTTTAATTAAGGTATGTACGTTCTTTATTTGGACATAATGCTATTGTACACTTAATAGACCACAGTATAGCATAAACAAAACATTTATATGTACTGGGGAAACATCTGTGTGACCTGATTGATTGTAATATTTGCTTTATTGCGGTGGTCTGGAACTGAACTTATGATGTCTCTGAGGTATGCCTGTATAGTTATGCAGCTTCCTGCCCTAGATTTCCTCCATTCATCTATCTAGAAGGACTATCCTGAGCATGCTCTTCCTTTCCCAGTCTTCCCAGCTCAATCTCATTTCACTTTGTTCACTCAAGTGGAAGTGAAATTTCCATATCATAAACTATGTGTATAGGCCTAAAACATCTATGCTATTGTCAATTTTTTGAAGACCAAAATTGCATTAAAAACAAAAATAGTCCGGGCGCAGTAGCTCACGACTGTAATCCCAGCACTTTGGGAGGCCAACGCGGGTGGAGGAAGAGGTCAGGAGATTGAGGCCATCCTGGCTAACACAGTGAAACCCCGTCTCTACTAAAAATGAAAAAAAATTGGTCGGGCATGGTGGCGGGCGCCTGTAGTCCCAGCTACTCAGGAGGCTGAGGCAGGAGAATGGTGTGAACCCAGGAGGCGGAGCTTGCAGCAAGCCAAGATTACACCACTGCACTCCAGCCTGGGCACCAGAGCAAGACTCCATCTCAATAAATAAATAAATAAGGAAAATCTCATTGCTAGACATATTCCTCGAAGTCAGGAAATACGCAAGTGCATGGTGCCTTGCATATACTACCTGCTCAATAAATGCTTATTAAATAAGCAAACATCTTGGTTGGTGGCAATTTAAAATTCTAGTCAATAAAAATCTGAGTCAAATTTTAACTGCCACGTAAGTGAAGAATGAGGAGAAGGGGGAGAAGTAAGATAGGAGAGGTCTTCCTTGGCTGGGACTTATGTCCTACCCTGACCCAGTGCTGGCTCTTATGGTTTAAATTTGGATGGGTGCCTCAGAGATTAGCCTCACACCAGTTCTTGGACACTGGCAATGCCACAGACGCTGACTGAGGAACCCCCTCAACTTCTACCTTAGATAATCTACTCTAGTCTCTTTCTGCTGAGGTTATCTTCCTCCTGACAGTAAATTCTTCAGTGTGTGGGGTGGGAGCGGTCATAATTGACTCCCTTCCACAGGATCCGCAGATGACCTCCAGGAGATCCCATCTCTTCCCTACTAGTTGTGAAAGTGTGGCTCATTCCATGCGTCCCTGTTTCATTGCCATGGTTTCTTGCCTTCTTACCTTTGCATGCTTAGGTCGGGTACCAGACTCTGCAACCCCTAGGAGCCAGGCTACCTGTACCATGCTCCCTGAGTGGTTGTGTGGCATCCCATTCACATGATCCTTTGTGTGTGTGTGTGTGTGTGTGTGTGTGTGTGTGTGTGTGTGTGTGAAGAACAGAAGAAACACCTCAGCACCCTTAATTCTCTCTACTGGAATTTCTGTGACCATACTCTTCATCAGTCTTACTAAAGTCTCCGTCCTCCTCCCCTCACCTACTCCCTCAAGGAGAGGTGAGGCAAAGGGAGACAAACAAGTAAGATTTTTCAATCTCCCAGACAATCCTAAACAGATGGTTTGACCCACATTATTCTTGGTCCTTCAAGCCCTGCTGCAGCTCTGATGCAACACAGTAAGCCGAATATAACATGGGATATAGGGAAATTATTGGATATCCTGGTGTTTAAGAAACCAAGACTTTGCCATGACCTGGGTCACATCCCACAGTCAGGGTTCATGCATTCTCCTCTTACCAAATAATCACCTGAGAATGCAAGTTGGGCAGGAATTCTTATTGTAGGACTTTCACATTCACTTTTATCCACTGGAACGGCTGCATTGAACACCCAGGATTTGTTTCCCAATCCAGAACCCACGTCATAAGACTTTGATCAGAAGGAACAATAATTTCCTAATAGAACTCTGTATGCAGAGAAATAATCAGAAATGCAAAAAAATTCCCTCCTCCCATCCTACTGCACAAAACAAATAACCCTCTGCATCATCCTACACTGCGTGTGCAATAATGGGCCCCGTCCTCTCTTGTATCATATTTAGTATTTATGCAATCTTTCTCCTCCTACGGTCCACCTAATCTTATGAAGGATAATTCTTTTTTCCTCTTCCTCCTCCCTACACAAACTTAATTCCTGACTCTCCTTAAGTATGTGCAAATTATTACACCAACTGTCCTTTAAAGCAAGCATCATACTGCAGCCTAAAACAGCAATTGGATGTGTTTTTACTATTGCATATTATCGGAGCTTGCTTTTAGCACCTTTTACAACCAAAGTGTTGATTTTTTTTCCCCTTTATAAAGTGGCAGTGGCAATCTGTGGCGGCATGCTACAGACACAAGTTCATGGTAAGTTCAGAGGAAAAGAATGTTCAAAGAAAACCAAACTCAAAGCATTGTGGGTAGTGATATAAAAAGTTGACAAAACAATGATAAACAATGGGGGGAAAAAGAAATAATTAAGTGTTCTGAAGCACTGTATCAGCATTTTATGCATTGTTAACTTTTTTTAGGAAACCATTTTATTGTATGCGGTTTCATGGAGAGATACTAACCCAGTCTGTTGGAACGGCACTCTGCATGTATAATGATTATAAAACTTTTTTTAATAAAAAAGAAAATGGGCAAATATGTCTGCCTGAGATAAGGCTTTCTGAACAAAATATAATACATGGAAATCCTTTCTTGAAGTGCTTTGTGGATTTAAGGAGGTAGGAAACTTAAAACAGTGGAGTAACAGTAAACACGTAAGTCTAAACAAGGTGTGAAAAATTGAACTATACGCCACAACAAGCAAAGCAATAAGTAAATGAGAAACAGTTAAGAGAGAACGGGTAAATACTTTATAGACACTTTCTTAAAAAAGGTATCTATGAGAAACAATGTGAACTTCTGAGATTTGTAAAAGAGGCAAATTTTTGTATATTGCTAGAACGCAATCCTAACTCATTTAGAGTATACAGCCTATATTTGATGTCCTGTTAGGTCAGTTTCCATGTAGATTATGTCCTCTTATCTTATTTGCACTCATTTATTCAACAAACATTTGTTTAGTTTCAGGCATTATTTCAGGCTCTAGGGATTCGTTAGTGGACAGAACATGCAAAACTCCCTGTATCCAAGAACATTATATTCTAGTGAGCAGAAAAGACAATAAACACAATAAATGAATATATTGTATATTAGAAGGTGCTACAAACCAAAGAGAAAAATAAAGCAAAGAAGAGAGAGAGATTGTCATAGGGCCAGGGAGCAGAGAGCGGGTGCGGTTTGGGGTAGTGTCTGCTGCTTTAAAGTTTAAAAGTTTTAAGAGGAGACGTTAATGAGAAAGTCACATTGCACAAAACTAGGAGGTGGTAAGGGAGCAAGTCATTGATTTAACTGAGCAGCGTGATGAAGGAACAAACTTAAAGGTCCAGAGGTGGGAGCTGTCCCAGCATATTAGACAAACATCAAAGAAGTCAGTGTGGCTGGTGAAGAGCGAGCAAGAGATAGGGCAGTTCATAATGAGTTAAAGAAGTAACCAGAGAGCAGGATCACTCTGGGCATCATAATGACATTAGCTTTTATTCTGAAGGTGGCAGGAGGCCACAGGGGAATTCTAGATGATACCGCATATGCTAACCATTTATTTCCCAAACTAAAGTAGTTACAACGTTTGAGCTTTGTAAATTTAAGTTTATAATTTTTTTTTTTTTTTTTTTTTTGAGATGGAGTCTTGCTCTGTCACTAGGCTGGAGTGCAGTGGCACAATCTTGGCTCACTGCCACCTCCGCCTCCTGGATTCAAGCAATTCTCCTGCCTCAGCCTCCCGAGTAGCTGGGACTAAGGGCGCACACTGCAACATCTGGCTAATTTTTTGTATTTTAGTAGAGATGGGGTTTCACCGTGTTGCCCAGGCTGGTCTCAAACTCCTGAGCTCAGGCAATCTGCCCCACCTCGGCCTTCCAAAGTGCTAGGATCACAGGCGTGAGCCACCACGCCCGGCCAGTTTATGGATTATTTTTAAAACACTTTTTGGGCCTCAAAATCATGTACAATAATAGGACAGGCCCCAGAAGTAAAGATGGACATGAGATTACTGCAAATGCTTTCAATAAACACCTGAAGATGCCACATGAATTTAGCGATTTCCATCACACCCTGTTGAAAATCGCTGATTGAATTCATGATACCAGTCAATAAACATAAACTGTTCAGCATACCAAACCAATTTGATTCTGTCATATCTTGCAGAGACAATTTACTTCTTTACATAAACTAGGTTCCTACAAAGAAAAAAAAGGGGCATGCATTGTTGACACAGTCAAGTGTCTATTTGTTTTCTTCAGCACATAGAAGATGCTAGAACAAGAATGAGTTGTCACAGTTTAGAGATGTTTGATAAAGAATCACTGAGACTGGTTAGCTGAAGGAAGGATAATATCTCCTGGCAGGCCAAGCTGCACAATAATCAGTATTGACTCAAATCAGATGTTATTGAGCATTATCAATGTAACAGGTTGAGACTTGAGTTTCCTCTGCAGGAAAAACTGTTTTGAAAGAACAAGGAAAAGCAGCTTTTTCAACACCCATTCTAATATAGTACTTCATATAATAGCTTCAAAAAGGCACTGCTTTCTTGTCAACTATGAATAAAGGACTTGGTCAGTAAAACCTCAGATTATTCCTCCACTAAATGTTAACATGCCAAAGTTTAAGAAGCTTCCAGAAACCTGTGGTCTTTAAACTAGCGTTTACCTACCCAAGAGGTGAGATGTGGGGATGTGGAAGGGGTTGAGGTAGTTCTGGATTGGGGGTTGCTGATTTTTTAAGTTTCTCTAAACACACTTCGTGAAATGCCTAAAAGATGCTAGAAGAGGGGAGCATTCTATTTCAAAGGGAGGGACGGGGATCTGTGAAACTTAATTGTTTGTTTCTTAGCTAGGGTAGTTAAAGGTGCATTTAAAGTTTGAACAGAAGAAACTAGCATTTACTAAGTACTCAACACTGTGCCAGGCCACTGAATGTGTGTGTGTGTGTGTGTGTGTGTGTGTGTGTGCACCCATGCACGTGTGTGATTATCCCTACTCCATAGATGAAGAAACTGAAGAAGCAGATAATCAGAATAGATACAGGACCTTGGAAAAGAACATGAATGTAATGATTCAAGAATGAATGCAAATAAATTCATCATTAACAGGAAGCTAGGAACAGGACAGGAAATCTATTTGAATTCCCCCATAGGAGATGCTGTTTAGAAATGGGGCATGAAATGTATTTGAATTCAACTGTAGGAGATGCTGTTGTGTGTTGTCCACACAACCAAAGATCCTTCCTTTAGTAAATGAAGCACTTAGTGCCCCAGCTGCCAGCAGTGCTCACAGCTTGGCCCCTCTCTGGGAACTGCCTTTGGTGAAAGGAAGCCGCCTCATCCAAAACTACACTCCATCCCAGAAGCAGCAAATGTCTAACGTCTGCTAAATGGGGAGGTATATAGACAGCCCACTGTCTCAGTTCAAGACAGCTTGGAAGGGCCATCCTAACTCCAGAGCTCCCCAAAGGATTGGCTGAGGCCTCTGTTGCAACTGCATCTCAATTCAACCTCTCTATCTGCCCATCCTGCTTCCTGAGCCTTGCATAAGCTATTGTTCCCTAGGGCACAACACAATAAACCTCACAGATACAAATATCAGAGACTCAAAGTGTGTTTCCCAAGGAAGCTGACCAAAGACAACACTACAGCAACAATAAATACTAGATGATTTTTTCTGTACCATCTGAAAGAACTGAGATAGTAACTGATTCCACCGGTACCTCCAGGACTGACATTAGTCTCTAATGCAATCCCCATTGTAACAGACAGACAGTCACAAGTACTTACAAGTAAGTTAGTTAAAACAATAAGTCATTTCAAGTTAAACGAGAATTGTCAGTTAGTGATTTTATAGTGACTATAAAGTGCTATATAGCTCATGTAAGCTACATGATGGTCAAATTTGCATGGTATCAGACATGTCTAATGAATGCACACTCCTTAACACGTTAAAACATTATGCTTGTTTGAGAACCTCTCTAATTTTATTAAAATTATGTGACTGTGTATCAGTTGAAAGAGAGCAAAAAAAGGAGGTAAAAGGGAAAGGATAAATTTCATTGTGACAGACTATGAGTTTCATATAGATTCAAAGATAGAGTCTAAAGTGGATTATTAGACAGATGACTTTTGAATACTAAGACCAGGAAATAGAGATAATAAGGAGTCCAGAATAGGTTAAACAGGTAACGCAAGGAATACATAATTTTATTATATCTTAGCTTGGTTAGGATACTGACATAGCACTGATTTTGTTGTGATCAAGACAGAGCTATGGACTGGATAATGGCATAAATAGGCAAGATCATGAAATGTGTAACAGTCATATTCATAGAGAGCTGCTATCTTAATTGATATTAGTTTGTAAGAAAAATTTTGGTGCCTGCAAGCTCTGCCTTCAACTCTCACAGTTTAGGATTCCACAGTGTCTGACCTGGTGATGTGCAATGGAATGAGACATACAGGGAGGGCTTGGACATTGGACATATTTACAGGATAGAAGCAAGTATTGATGGGAACAGGGTTAGCTTTATTCTCTCTCTATGGAGGAAATTTACTATGACAGACAGAACATATAATCTGAAGGATAATTGTACTATACAATCCTGTAAAAGACAATAGCATGAAATAACCAAGGTATAACGACACAAGGGCCAACACATTATGGAAACCTCAGAGATAAGTGCTACTCAGAAGAAATCATGAGGCCTTTTGCAACCAGCATTTAACAAATATTTATTGCAATCTCCTATGTGCTAGTAACTGCTTTAGGCACTGAAGACACAGCTATGAACAAGAGAGATAAGACCCTACCTACATATATTCTAATGGTGAGAGCAGGCAGATAACAAATGACTAATAAATTATTAAGAAAAATAATCATCCCATGATGATGATTGCTATAAAGAAAACAAAACATGGTAATATGACAGGGAGAGACTGAGACTACCCTAGATTGGGTGGCAAAAAAATGCCTCCTGACAAGCTGTTATTTGAGCTAAGATCAGAAACACCAAGGAAAATTCAGCCATTTGAAGGTAAGAAGGAAGAATATTCCCAGCAGAGAGGCCCAATGTTTGAAAGGCCCCATGTGGACAAGTTTAGTATTTGTAAGGAACAGAAAAAATCAGCATATGGCTAAAATACACTGAGGGAGGGATGCAAATCTTAAGAGATGAGATCAGAGAGATGAGCAAGAACTGGGCCATAGAAGCTTCATGCACCAACATGGGGAAGAGTGACATGACTGATTTGTTTAGAAAAATCATTCTGGCTACTGTTCAGAGGACTGACTCTATAGTGCAAGTGGGGGTGATTAGAATGGAATTTCAGAAACCAGGTAAGAGGTCATTGCCACAGAGCAGGCAAGAGGTGATAGTAATGGGAGAGTCTAAGAAGCCGAAATGTAATAAGGATAAACATAATATATGTTTTATATCAACAATTCCCCCCAAAAAACAATAGCACACTATAAGATGGGAGATTCATGAGTGAGCAGCAGCACAGAGTGAAAAAACACAGAGGGAAACAAAATAATGGAGGTATATCAGTGGGACGCAGAAGCCAACCTGAAGGAGCTCCCAATGGCCAAAGCTGAAACAATTTGGGCAACAAAATAAATAGCATACTCTTGTATCATAATCCAAGGATCAAACAAATATCCATGAGTCCATATTGATAGAAATTAGTGATTGAATTGATCATAACTGGGAGAGAAGAGACTAATCTCCACTACACAATTCCAAACAATTCTTGTAAATACTCCCCAGTCAAGAAGGTGGAGTTTAACTCCCCTCCTCTTGAGCAGGGGCTGCTCTTCCAACGAGAACAAACAGTATGGAAAGGGAGAACAGAGTAACTTTACACTAGAGAAACCTTGGCCAGGTGAAAAAGGTTAGTGTCATCAGCAATAAGCCATGTTGACAGCGTGTGCCCTTGGTATGATGTGATGAAAACGGCACTTCAGCTTTGTGACCTTCCTCTCCCAACCCCACAAGCCCCATCCATCCATGAGGAAAACATCAGACAAGCACAGACTGAGGGACATTCTAAAAATACCTGACTGTCAAGGTCACGAAAAACAAGGAAAATCTGAGAAACTGTCACAATCCAGAGGAAGCTAATGAGACATGACAACTAAAAGTAATACAGTAGCTTGGATGGGACTCTGGAACAGAAAAATGACACTACGGAAAAAAAACTAAAGACATCTAAATAAAGTAGAGTTGACTTAGTAGCATTGTACCAATGTTTGTGCATTTGTTGTGCCAAACAAACTATAACAACATAATATGTTAACAACAATGATAGCTGGATACAGGGTAAATAGTAACTGTCTATACTATCTTCGCAACTTTTCTATAAAACTATTGTAAAATCAAAGATTTTATGAAAAAATAAAAAGCAGAGAGGTCTTGTATTGCTTCCCATCAACAGAAGTATGGGCAAATGGGAGCCACAGCCACCTCTACTCAGTCTCATTGGAGCACGCCCACAACACTGTGGGAAACCCAAGGTGCCATGCTTGGAGAGGGATGCGGACAAATTGTTCTTAAGTGTGGCCGGGCGTGGTGGCTCACTCCTGTATTTCCAGCACTTTGGGTGGCCAAGGCGGGTAGATCATCTGAGGTCATGAGTTCGAGACCAGCCTGAACAACATGGTGAAACCCTATCTCTACTAAAAACACAAAAATTAGCTGGGCATTGGTGGCATGTGCCTGTAGTCCCAGCTACTTGGGAGGCTAAGACAGGAGAATTGCTTGAACCCGAGGGGCAGAGGTTGCACTCCAGCATGGGCTGGGTGACAGAATGAGACTCTGTCTCAAAAACAAACAAAAACAAAACAAGTGCAAGGCAACTGAAAGACATGTCATATGAGATGCAACTAAAAGTACTAGGTATATTTAACCTAAAAATCCTGAAAGGCACAATAACCATCTCACAGTAAATGAGAGATTCTTATAAGGAGTGAGGATTGGATTTTCTAAATCTCAAATTGTAGCATCGGGTGAAAATGGAGAGAAAAACTACTGCTGAAAAAAATATCCATTCACAAAAAGGAAGAACTTATTATAAACCTGGAATTGCTCACCTTGGAAGGCAACAATAAGCCCTGGCAATACCGAGCATTCAGGCCTCTCCAGGAAAGATATTACCCACGGTGTTGTAGAGGAGACAAGTATTTGAACTACAGGGGACTTCTTGGTATTAAATACTAAAATTTAATGCTTTCCTGATGCTTTACCACCACTTAATAAATAAGAGGAAACTAGTTGTGTCCTTAATTCCTGTTGCACTATGGTATTTCTATACCTTATTCACTTTTAAGTTTTCACTATTAACAGATACTTTTGCTTGCTTATCTTTTTGAGGTGCATTTTAACTGTGGGTAGACCTTTTTAACTACGTTATTGGAATAATGTGGAGTAATATACCCCTATATTATTATCTCCAGCCCAGACCTCACTCCTGATTTCAAGATTCACCAATCCAATTGCTGCTTTGACCTCTCCACATGAAGGTCTAACAGGCATTTCCATCTTAATGTGTCCAAAACAAACCTCCTGACATTCCATCCAAACCTGCACCTCCCTCAGTCTTCCTCATCTCAGGAAATGCCACCAGCCTGTACCTAATTTCCTCCCCGCTACACCCCGCTTCCATTTCATTAGCACATCCTAGGTTTAATTAATTCTCTACTTCTCTCCATCACAACTACCACCCCAAGTCCAAACTAGAACTTCCTACACTATTACAATCACTTCCTAACTGGATCCTCTACTCTCTTTCCTGTAATTTATCATTCACAAAGCAATCAGAGGGAAGACTACACAGTCTACAACCTCCTTACCCCTTCTTACAAACCTCCAACAGCTCACCAGCACACTTACAAAAAAAATTCTAATTCCTTACTCTGTGTTCTCGCTCTTATCAACTCTCCAAACTCTTCTTACTATTTTCCTCCTTGCCAATGCTCCAACCACATTAGTCTTCTCTCTGTTCCTCCATAACCTCAAGTTTGTTTCTCCCTTGAGGATACTGAACTAACTGTTCTCTCTGCCTAATATGTTCTCCCCATGATCTTCAAAATATCTAGGTCCTTATTATTTTACACTGGCCATTAAGGCACTCTTCATCACATCAGCCTGTTTTAACTCTCTGCAGAGCAGTTACCGCTCGTTGACATTTTCATGTCGCTTTGTGTTGCTTTTGTCTGTGAGTTTTCTGAGAACAGGAACCTTGTGCAGCTTATTTACAGCTGTAGCATCAGACCCAAAACAGGGCCTGGAAGATAATAGTAGTAAATATTTTTTCAAGAAATTAGTGAATTTAATATATGTGAAGATGACATCCTGTTATCTGACTTAAAATCTTCTAGATCTTTTCTAACTTTTGAAGTAATAAGAACCATCTTCTAAAATATAATTAACAGTAAGTGAACACATGGTAACCATCAAATCACACTCATCCACCAGTCTTTTCCCACATTGCCCAAATTGACTCTTGTGCCCCTCAGTCCTTTGTGTATGTTTATGCCACTCCTGTGACTGAAATCCTCTCCTGAAGTGTTCCCTAGCCCCCACACATTATCTATGAAAGTATTATCATCCATGAAAATTACTACCTATCTTTAAGACCAAATCCTAAGACTACCTTTCTTTTGACACACTCTCTGTAAAATGAGTATGCGCAACCACAATATTTGTCTCCTTAATGACAACACTAATCTCAATGAGGAAGCTGGGTATTATTATAAATAGGAATTTCCCAAAATTTGTTCCTTAGAACAGGACTTGAGATAATTTATGAAATTCACATTTATGAAATTCACCTTAGCTTGGGAAACACTGCAAAATATACCTACTTTTAGGGATTCACAATGCACAATGTGGAAGCCACTGGAAGCATCCCACAGTAAGTAATGTGTGGGGTTTCACTTTCTGTAACTCAAACTTTGTTGTTTTCCATTATTTGACCATAGAAGCACCAATCATCTTCTTTTTTAATTTTTGTGGCTACATAGCAGGTATATATATTTACGAGCTATATTAGATATTTTGATACGGACATACAACATGTAATAATCTGATCAGGATAAATGGGATATCCATTACTTCGAGTGTGTATTTATTTTATTTATTTATTTATTTATTTATTTATTTATTTATTTATTGAGACAGAGTCTAGCTCTGTCACTCAGGCTGGAATGCAGTGGTACAATCTCAACTCACTGCAACTTCTGCCTCCCAGGCTCAAGTGATTCTCCTGCCTCAGCCTCCCAAGTAGCTGGGACTACAGGCATGCACCACCACACCTGGCTTTTTGTATTTTTAGCAGAGACGGGTTTCACCATATTGGCCAGGCTGGTCTTAAACTCCTGACGTCAAGTGATCCACCCACCTTGGCCTCCCAAAGTGTTGGGATTACAGGCGTGAGCCACCCATGCCCAGCCAAGTATTTATCCTTTATGTTACAATCCAATTATACTCTTTTAGTTGTCTTGAAATATACAATTATTATTTACTATAGTCCTCCTGTTGTGCTCTCAAATGCTAAATCTTATTGTTTTGATTTTTTGTGCCCATTAATCATCCCTGCTTCCCCTACCCCCTCACTACCCTTCCCAGTCTCTAGTAACCATCTTTCTATTCTCTAACTCCATGAGTTTTAATTTTTAGCCCCCACAAATAATTGAGAATATGTGATATTTGTCTTTCTGTGCCTGGCTTATTTCACTTAACATAATGACCTCCAGTTCCATCTATGTTGCTGCAAATGACAGGATCTCATCCTTTTTACGGCTGAATAGTACTCCACTGTGTATAAGTACCACATTTTCTTTATCCATTCATATGTTGATGGACATTTAGGTTGTTTCCAAATGTTGGCTTTATGACTAGTGCTGCAATAAACATGGGGGTGCAGATATCTCATATATATATATACTGATTCCTTTCTTATGGATATATACCCAGCAGTGGGATTACCCAGGTCATGTGGTAGCTCAATGTGTAGTTTTTTGAGAAACCTCCAAACAGTTCTCCATAGTGGTTGCTCTAATTTACACTCCCACAAAGAGTGTATAAGGGTTCCCTTTTCTACACATCCTTGCCAGCATTATTTATTGCTTACCTTTTGGGTAGACGTAATTTTAACTAGGGTGAGATAATATCTCATTGTAGTTTTGATTTGCATTTCTCTGATCAACGATGTTGAACACCTTTTCATATAATCATCTTTTTAAAAAAATGAATATCTAATATTAACTCTTCATGGAAGATAATCTGAAGGACACCTGAAGAGTGATTAAGAAGATGGGTTTTAGAAGTCTGCAGGTCTGTAGACTTTCATTTTAACCTGGGCTCTAACCGATATTAGAGAAATGATCATGAGCAAGTAACTAAACCTCTCTGGGCCTCCACTTTCCCATGTTTAAAATGGAGTTGAATATGACTACTGCATAGGGTTAGTATAAACATTGAATAAGAATGGCATGATGCCTGGGACGCTGTAGCTACTCTAGGAATTATAGATGCCATTAGAAAAGTAATAATTTGTATTATTCTTTTACCTCAGTGAAATCAGGAATCAGGTCTTCACTTTCACATCTCCTGCAAGATCCAGCAGATATCATACAAAGAGACTTAAGAGTTTGCACACTGAATGTTTTGGGCAGAATATGGCCCAAACACATGTTCTGACTGGCTATCACATGGTCTTGAAGGCTTCAGACCTCACACCATCCCAATTGCTTATATAAGGCTCAATTAATAGATTTATGTCATCTACCTCATCCTGAGGCATTAGAGCTTGCAACTCCTTAGACAGAAGTCCTCAATTAATGTTTATCGAGTTGCTTGATCTCAGTGTATTCTGGCTTCCTTCCCTACCAAATACCTAAATATTTGACATACATCTCTTCAGAAAGAGTAGCTTGCGTAAAGCAATGATTTACATATTTAAAATCGAACTTATAAGGTAAAATGTGTAGTTTAAAAAATTATCCAACCTAATGTGCACCTCCTTCCTCCACTTCATCACAGAGGTCATCCACAGTTACTGGAGAAGTTCGGAGCAGGAATGTGTCCCTTGGGACTGGCCACTAATGCCACCTCCCAGAGGGTGGGAGGCATTCTTACCTGGAGAGGCTAGACTGATGACCTTGAGAGGACCATTTCACCCTTGAGTTTCTAGGAAATCATTGGAATTTAAAATAAAGCACTAAAAAGAATTTGAAGAGACCACCAAGGACATCACCCTGCCTGTTAGAATATTTTTATATCTCCAGGTTCAATGTTGAAGTGTGAAGGCTTTAGCTATAAGAGAAATTGATGGGTTAGAGGGCAAGAAAGCTTAGGGGGAGAGAAGAGAAAGGAAAAGAAGAATCCAAGGATAAAGGAATTTATGCCCTCCCAATTAACCTTACCAAGGACCTCAAAATTCCCAAGGCAACCTTGATTCTACCTTTCTTTCTTTTGTTTTCAAATATGGAATTTTCCCCAGGCCTAATGTTAGAATTGAGCATATTCTTCCTTTGATTTATGAGAACATTCAGGGAATATAAGGTCATGAAAGTTAGCAAACCAGCTGGCTTCAATGCAAAGTAATTAAATAGAAAGTCTTAAAAACTTAAAATCCTTACTAGACTTGTTTCAGAAGAATGTTAAATCTATTTTCCTTTGCATTTAAAGTACCTTCTTCTTATATTTTTTAAATATTTATTCTAGATTTACATTAACCTTTCTCTGATGACAGGAGTGGACCTAATTCAGAAAATCTATTGAAGAGTAGAAATTGGAGCTCTGCATTTGTGGTTAAAACTACTGGTGGACAACCACATTTCAGGAAATACATGGTTAAAGCAATTAGATAACCATAAATGCCTGTTAGTTCAGAAAAGCAAAGTTAAATGCTAGAATTTTTTTTCCTTAAAAAAAAGGCACTATGTTTTGAAATAATAAAAAAAAATCTGATTTCTTAAGTTGAGCAAAAGTGCATGCTGAAGTGGTTACACTCTACTCATGAAAGCAATCTAGTCAGAGTGGCATTAAGATGTAGGTTTATAAGCTAACCATAGCTTAATACTTAGGTAAAATACCTACACCAACCATTGAGCTTGTTTATTTATTTTTCAACTCCTTTTATACTATGCTTAACTATCCTTAAATTGTACTTAGTAATATCTTATAGACCAGGAGAGCCTCTCCAGTTCTAGGTGTTGCAATTCATTTGTAATATACCTATTTAGACATTCATGGTTAGTAATTTCTCTAACAGAAATGATGGCTTGAAACAATTCTCTTGCAGGTGTGATCCTGAGCACATTCACACAAGCAAATCACTCCTACATCCAGCAGCTAGGAAAGAGAGCCAATTTCTGGTAAATGGATATGATAGCCAATTAAAGGAAACTAACTGGTAGCAAGCTTAGATGACAAAACAAGAGCCAATTTTCTGTGACTTTTGCTTGCAGTACCAAGGCATGCTTTAATAGAGTGGCTTCAGGTGTTGATACTCCATCAGCGTCTACATCTCTCTGATTCAGCATGACATAATAGCTCTTTCATTTTTGAAGGCCGAGTGTTTCCATTTTCTTGTATACTATAGATATCCAAGAGCAAAGAGAGTTGCCACATTACATTTCTCCAAATAAAACCATAGGGTAGTCAAATTAATCTAATTATCTGTGACCCAATTTGCTAATACTGCTAAAAGCAATGGTAGAGAGGGCTTCTCTAGAGCTATATTCTTTGTTTCTTCATTCGTTCTCTTGTTTTATTAATTTCCCACCAAAAATGCACCTGCTTAAGTATTCCGTGAATAAACCTGAACTATTGAAAAAGCGTGCTCTGTCTACCGGCATTTGGAAAACCTAATGAGGAGAGAATAGAGATTGTCTTGAGTTTCTATTAAGGTCTGAACAATTCTAAAGTGATCCAGCATCACAATCCCACTTAAGCAAGCAACTCTCAGGTGATTAATAAAACAGGTTAAACTACTGGCTCATCAGAGATCAGACATATCACTTGCACCTTCTTCCATGAAATTGCATGCTGTGTGAATTTTCTACTTGCTTCTTTCTTATCTCACTTTTATTCCTCACCCTTGACAGTATCCACTCTGGTCTCTGCCTCACAGATACAAACATGTGGCAGATTAAGGCATTTTAAAAAAATAGCTTTGCATTCTATAGTAACAGATGCACAAGTATTTACGGGAATCGCTTTCTTTCTATTTTTTCCACTTAAGAATTTACATTGACCCTCCATCTTTGGAAGCAAAAGACTTAATCCAAAAACCTCTGGTTTTTAAAAATTTCTTCTTCAATGCACTGTCATTCTGAATTTTTAATATTTGTAATGAGTAAAATTATATGCTTGGAACGCACCCTTCCATATAATGGTATTACAACTAAATTTTTATTTGAATTATGTTTATGGTAATAATAACTAATTTTTTTTCATGACATAGGTTAAAAGTCTGCAGCCTCTAATTTGACAGGAACTCTATTATCACTTTCTGCAAAATTAGACAGGAAAGAATATTAAGACATCTAAAATCTGACACAAATAGAAATCACTTTCACTCTCTCTTCTTAGAAAAAAAGATGATTATATGCTGTTTGACATCCTATTTTCAGGCCAACTAAGGGGATACAGAGCCTCACACCTCGTTTATCCCACCAAATATGTCCACTGCAAGAATGCATTGATATTTGAATACACTGAGCTTCCTTAGATAGTGGATCAAGTTAGCTTTATCTTCTTGATGGTCTCATCCATGTAGCCCCCTTTGTTAGAACATAAAATACCTTCCCTGCAGGGTCGCAGCCCACAGGGTTAATCCATTGCACAGGAGAAACACATAGTCCTCAAACAGGTAATCAGCTAATTAAAAATGGGTGAACATCATTGACGCAGGAAGAGTTCCTCTATTTGAAACTGGAACAGAACCTGAACAGAATCTTTTCTTAAAGTTCCAAAGTGGCTGATTTTCTAGGTGGCTTGTATAACTATTATTTTTTAGATGTCTCATACTGTATGTAAGCACTTTTTGTTCTGGATATAACTACAAATGAAACTCCAAGAGCCACAGCTGTTGATAATGGTGCCTTTGAAGAGATGTGTATGAGAGAGATCCCTTAGAAACAGCATAAAAAGTCTGTCCTTCTATAAAGTTCAGTCAAGATTTCATAGCAGAGTATGTTGATTAATTTCACTTTGGAGAATGCATTCATGGAGCCCACGCTCAAAATAACACCTCCAACTATGTGCAGAGATTTTGAAGTTTAGCATTTCCCTAAACATCCCTGAAAGTGATAGCATTCCAATGAAGACTGATAGTCGGCTGAGTATGAGTCAATGACCCTGAGATGCTAGGAAACTTTCTAGACTCACTCAGTAGAGGCTTGTGCTGTGCCCCTGGATGTCCCTCCAGGACCAAGGCCCTCCTTCCAGCTGCCGGGAGGTCTGACTGCTGATCACTCCCAAGCGATTCTTCCCCAGAACTGCCCACAGTAGAATGACTGTCCTACAAAGCGTCTAGGAGTAGAGAGGCCCAGTATCCTTACCTCAGCTACGAACAGCTCTGCGAGGCCATGCAGTCCAAAGCTCCCCATGGATTAGCTGAGCTCTGAGTTGTGGCTGCATCTCAGTCCACTTCCTCCCTCTGCCTGGTACTGGAGAGCAGAGGCGAAAGTCTTACTCCTCACAGGTGTTAATCCTGAGAGCACTTGCAATCTCTAACTCAGCACCTCAGGAAACCCAGCCCAAGAGACTTCACAATGAGAGTGGCTGGAGGGCAACATAGAGATACTGTAATTCAACTTTTCCTCTTTTGTAAAAAATAAAGAAACCTCAGCCAAGAACAGTTAAACAATTTCCGCCAAATCAAAATCTAGTTAGTCCCAGGACCAGAGCCTCTATTTCTGGACTTACAGGTGGGTGTTCCTTTATTAGAAATGGTTTTCTTCAAGGAACTTTTAAGTAAATGTCACCTAACAAAATCACATTTGAGCTTAAATCTGGCCAAGTAACAGTTAACATTCCATCTCTATTCAGGGTCCCATGTGCCATATCATATTTCTAGAAACTCTACTAAGGAAGAAGGGTCAGAATGCATGAGAGAGATTTAAGGCATCAGGGTGGTTGAGGTGGAAGTACCTTTCTTCTGCATGTCTACTGACTATGCCAGGATCTTCACATGTTATCTTATCTAGCCTTCACAGCAAGTCAGTGAAGGGAATATGCCTGTTCTTACTTAACAAATGAAGGAACTGAGGTTCAGTTAGGTCATGTGGGAACTGACCACAGAGCTCTTGATGTGTCCATTCACCCAAGCACCTCACTGGGACTCCTAATAAACATTCGCTATCTCCCTTGGCTCACCAAGTTTGCAAATGTGAAAGCTTCATTATCATTTACCTTCCTGAGTCTCACTAATTAAAGACAGCTTCCCCACATAATATACCTGTGAACCTGACTCGTTATAAATAAAAATCAACAATGCTACACTTTCCAGAGTGTGATTAGCATTCATGATTTCATAGTGCCAAAATAAATCATTTACTTTGAAAGATCAGTAAACCTAAAACACATTCTTACGGCTGTGTAGCCAGTATAAAAAATTTACAATGTCATCCCTTAACTAGGCACTTAAGAAATCATTTGGCAGTTTACTTTTTGCCAAATGCCATACATTGTTTTAATGTCAGATAGGAAGCAAAAGTTATTTATAGATTGAAATATAATACTATTAAAGCTCAATCTTATATACAGTAACACATTCCAAATAGAGTTCTCAACACTACATTTTAAAGCGCAAATCGCTGTATTCAATACCAGCATATGAATATCATCTTCTTAATAGAGTACCAGATGTGACTAAGACTCCAAAAGAGGAGACAGTTAAAAGAAAAACCTAATAATGTCAATGGTGTATTTTTTACCTTAACCTGAAAATTAATTTTTGTGACTAAACTTCTAAAACCTGTTTTTTTTAAAATATATACGTCTGTGAATCACAGTAGGCCAGTCAACAGGAGCCACAGTTAAATGTGAGTTTCCAACAATGGTTGTTGCTTTTACCAATGCTAGGCTTTGACATTTTAGTTAATCTAAGTAATTTTTTAAGAGATTAGCATTTCTTATTTGGGCATACAGACACAACATTTTTAGCCTTGTGGGACTGTGTTTTCATAGTAAGATAAGCCTTTGGATAATTTCCCTTTGGGGAAATTCTAGTATTTGTAGTTTTATGAGCACCAATTGTTATACTTTAGTTATAACAAGGCAGCTTCTGGATTCTATAAATAAAAGAATTTCCCAATATCAGACAATTTTTAAATAAATAAACAAAAATGGAAAATAATTTTAATGCAAACTGATTATTGCCTCAAAAGTGAAGGAGCTGTCTCCATTCTTGCATAAACAGAACAATGTTCTATTTATTTCCAACATATAGGATGACTACCACTGGTTTTGAGGGCTATCACTGGTTTTACTTTATAGGCTTAAAAATTAGTGGGCATTATAGATAAGGGAAGATGAGATAAAATGAAATGTAAAATACTAAGAGTGTTCTCTCAACTCAGATTACTATTTTCCATTTTTATTCTATAAGGAAATCAGTTCCTTCCTAAATAGGGATGTGAGGTAAAATACAGGACACTCAAGTAAATATGAATTGCAGGTAAACTATTTTTTTTTTTAGTATAAGTATGTCCCATGCAATATTTGTATTGTGCATGTGAATCACCTGAATATCTTGTTAAAATGCATGTTCTGATTCAGCAAGCCTGGGATGGCGCCTCAGTGTCTGTTTTTTTAAATTTGTTAAATCTGGCAACGTATCCTAAATTATTTTTAAAGGAAGAAACTGCTGAAGAGAATATCATTAAATGTTTATTTGTGGACTAATATTTGACATTAATGCATAAAATGATGAATTGTTTTTTTACTTATATATTTGGTTCAGTGTCTTCTCTAAAAACTCCAGAATGATTGCAAAAATTAAAACCCTGAGTAGACTTTTAAAAATATTATTTATGACATTATCATCTATGGGCATTTTTTTTCTTCATCTTCCAGGGTCCATTCTCTACTCAGTCATGTTCAACGTGAGCTGAACGCCAAAATCAGCTGGAGAGCTTCTTTAAAATCCTGATACCCGGCCACATTCCACTTAATTAAAGACAAATCTCTGGGGGGTAGGATGGGACCCAGATATAGATGTTTTTAATTTTCCCAAGTGATTCTAATTGCAGCCAAGATTGGAAACCTGCCCTTATCCTTACTAAACAAAGTGTGATCTGGGAACCAGCAACATCAGCCTCAGTTAGCAACTTGTTAGTAACACAGAATCTCAGACCCCACCCTAGGCCTTTTGAATCAGAACCTGAATTTTAACAACATCTCCGGGTGATTCATATGCACATTATAATTTGGCAAACACTTCTCTAAATCATTTAGAGATAACAACTAAATGGAGCCATGTTTATGACTTTCACCTTATTAACTGGAATTCTAGAACATTCCAAGATAGTAAAACTTGTGTAGGTAAGTACAATCACTATAGAAGAGACCAAAAGAAATTGTCAGTACTCTCCCACTGCAATCACTTTAGACTTTGAACAGAAATAAGATGAACTACCCAAAAAGACACTGCTGGTATCAATTCTCAAAGGACAGCACACCTGATCCCGACCAAAACTCTATAAGCCAAGAAGTCAACATCCAAATAGGGATGATTGTTTCCGTTCCCCCTCTCCCTAATCCCAACTCCAGTCACTAAAGCTACCTTTCTTACAGAAATATATGCCCCACTTAAGGTCCTTTGTCACGAAGTGCTGGTTTATCTGTGGTGACTTGCTAGTATGTTTTCCAAGCCATGAATTTGCAGGTTTCTTGCGCACGCTCCATCAAGTGATGGAGTGCTGTTTCTGAATGATGGTCCATTCAAAGAAACCTGACAAGGTAACCTAGACACACCAGAATCAAGCATTCACATCAAAGCTCAAAGCTAGGTGCTATGATGTGTAGAGTATCTGGAAGCCTTCCTGTCAACTTGTCTTTCCACATATAACTGGAGTTTTATTTGCAATCAATTTCTTGTGCTAAATAATGTCCCCTGCTTCTCCAGTTAAATATAAGTACGATAATCCTAAGAAGTTATCACATTTATTTTCTTAAATCTTATTGTTGAATTAATTTATCGATTTTTTCAATCTAAAAGGAGAGATGAGTTCTGGGTTCCTGGAGACATTAAGAATCAGGGAAGGGAATAAAGAAAGAAACCGACAGGAGTATACAGGGTACCAAAGGAAAACTGTCTACTGTATCATTTTACTTTCAAATGACCTGTATTAATACCTAAAGATGACACTTCCAATCCATATGAACAAGAATAATGCTTCATACTTGTATAATTATCTTGTATTTTTTCAAATTTATTTGAACTATAAAAGAACTATTTTAGTAGAGAGTGGCCAGCTGCTGAGTTTAAAAAAATATATTTCAGGGAAACATTAAGACATATTAATTTTTAGTTATCGTACATTTTATATCATACCTTACAATACTGTGGAGCTGAAGCAGAGAAAAATTGAGTATGTATAGAGTGAATCTGATGAATAAAGATTTCTGAGCATATTTTCAGTTTTATTATAGTTCACGAAGTGAGCAAGAAAAAATTGTGTCTGCATCAATGTAGTGAAGGAGTTTCTCATCTCCAAAGCCTATCTGTATTGATATCAGAAAAGGGTAGGGGTGCAAAATGACAGCAGCTAGCCTGCCCTTTCACCTTCCTAACAGTGCTGGTGGCAGCAACGAAGCTTAATCAATGCAATGGGAGTGACATTTTGCAGTCAAATCAAATTAAATGGAAATGAAAGGAAAATCTGAGGTCCAACCTAAAGGCTGTCTCTCTTACCACTGAGGTCATCTCCATGGCAACTAAATGCTACAAATGTGTAGAGTAAATCCTTAACAAATCTGCAGAAAGCATGTCCAATTGAATATGATAGTGTCTGTCACTGTATTTTGTAGCTTTCTAAAAGCTTACACTAGAAGTAACAAAAAGGACTTCAGCCAGCAAGTAAGCAGAACAGCACACTTAATCTGACCACTACTAAACGACAGAGATGCTCAACTTCTGAAAGAATAAACTTGAAGTAAGTGAGCAACTTAAAGACAGACCCAGTTAAGTGGATTAGGTTCAAACTACAATGTTTTCCAGAATTGTTTTTACTTGGACTTACTCAGTTTAGAAATCTCCCAGGTCCCTGTAAAAGCATTTTCACATCATGAGGAATAATTTGTATGGGATTACATCAGACCATTCCATTATCTTCTCTCGAGCACTCCCTCGGAGATGCATTTCCCCCTCTTTTTGACGGTGTGTTAAGAGCAGATGGATTTTAGGGTTGTAAGAATGCAGCACTGTAGTGGTAAAAAACAAGAAAGCAGCAGTGGTAACAGCTCCTTTGTGGTAGTTTCCTCCACAGAGACTCTTCCAGAAAAAACCTGAACTCATCCCTGTAATGTTCCCACTTATATGACTGTACCATATGATCAGTCCAAACTGACTTTGGTAACTTAGAATTGGTTTGCTCTTGCAGACCATATTTTGTTGGATAAAGCAAATTCATATCACCAAATATACTTCCCCTATAACTGAATAACCAATAGATTCTTGCTGTCCCCAAACAGCATAAATTGTCACATATTTATGTATGTTTGGCCTGAGATTTGGTTGCCCTCTACTAAGTGACAACACATTTACAGAAGGAACAATAAAGATGAAATTCTATGTATGCTGAGTTTTCGCATTGATACATACTGAATTTGTTGTATAAGCTGTTCAACAAGAAACATTATTTTGTAGGAGGATTTATTGTACTGTTTGACATGTTCCAAGCTGGTCATTTAAGTCAGAAAAGTGGCCACTACGATTCTAGTTTTGAACACAGTGAATTTGGATGTTGCTAGTGATGCTGTTACTGTGCAATATGAAAGATACCAGTGGATCTACACCTTAGACAAGAGAAATGGGAGGATGACAATTGATATGAAGTGATGGTTTTTGCCCAAATGCATAAAACCATGGGTCATCATGTCATTGTATATTATATTCTATCTCTGTTAAAATAGCAATACACACTAATGAATTAACTTCTTAGAAGAAATACCTGCTTTCTGAATGGAGGTAAAAACAACAACATTGTTACCTGAAGATAACAATAGTCCTTTACCATATACAGGCCACATATTATTATCTTTTTTAAGTAGCACTAGTTTACTTTGTCTTGGGTATTATGTCTAGTAATTTTTCAAACTTTATGTAATAATAGTAATAAAACCTAACCTTCATTGAACACTTACTCTGGCAGTTATGATAGCCAAGTAAAATAAAAACCTGTTGTTTTTTGAGACATCTTTCTCTTGAATAGCTTCAATGCTTTAAAGTTTATAATAACTACAAATCAATTTTGTTTCATATTATCATCTCTATAAAATTATACTTCAGTTTAATATAATGGCGTATTCCCTGGTCTTAGAGACTCTAACCCAGCTCAGTTATTAATTAATAGCACTTTGGGTTACATCATTTACCTCCGTCTTCCCAATATTCTCCACCGCAAACTGAAGCTAATTCTACTGGCCATTCTTACCGCACAGGATTATCTGAGGATGCAGTGATACAATGTACAATCATGCATCACTAACAACAGGGATGCATTCTGAGAAAGGCATCATTAGGAAATTTCATCCTTGTGTGAATATCACAGTGTACTTACACAAACCTAGATGATATAGTCTCTTACATACCTAAGCTATATGGCGCAGCCTATTACTCCCAGTCTATAAACCTGTACAGCCTGTTACTGTACTGAATACTGTAGGCAATTGCAACACAATGTCAGGTGTGTATGTAAACATAAATGAACATAGAAAAGGTACAGTAAAAATATAGTATTATAATCTTATGGGACCACCATCCTATATATTCAGTCTTTCCTTGAAGAAAACGTCATTATGCAGTATATGGCTGTATATGGAAGAGCTCTGGAAAGTCTCCAACAATATTCATGATATTATTGTCATGTTATTATATTGAAAAGATTTATTGTTACTCTTTCAGGCAAACTATTTTTGTAATGTCAAGAACAGAGCTAAAGACTCACATTTAAATTCTGATAATATAGTAAGCCTAGGCTAATAGGAAAACTTCAGTTTTCCTACCTCTGCTTCTATAATCCCTAGTAAAAACTAATCTCTTTTGCCAATTCTGTGTATAAAATTTGATTAAAAATATAATGACGTAAATGAACACCCTGCAATTTGCTTTTCTAAAATCCTTACTTGATATCAGGTTATTTCCTTAGGATGTGCTTCTACTCCTAAAGAGTCAAATGTTAGAAGAGAAGAAAATAGTGTTATTTACATTTATGAATGCTGAATTCAGATAAATTTTAATTGTACTAGACTTTGTTGGTAATTTAAATGAGACAATGTATCAAACAGAACTCTCCCCACCTCCTACTTAGAGTGGTTTTCTCCTCTGACTACTGCATTATACATTTCAAGCCTCATTTGTTGGTGGGGTGCAGTGGCTCCTGCCGGTAATCCTAGCACTTTGGGAGGCCAAGGCAGAAGGACTGCTTGAACCCAGGAGTTTGAGACCAGCCTGGGTAACACAGTGAGACTCTGTCTCTACAAAAAAATTTAAAAATTAGCTGGGCATGGTGGTGCATTCTGTAGTCCAGCTACTCAGGCAGGAGGCTCACTTGAGCCCAGGATGTGAGGCTGCAGTGAGCCATGATCATGCCACTTCACTCCAGCCTGGGTGACATAGTGAGACCTTGTTTCAAAAAAAAAGAAAAAAAAAAAGCTTATCTGTTTTCCCTTTAAAATTTTTGCCCTAACTTTATAGAAAGCAACATTTGGGGCAATTGAAGGTATTTTATTAATTACAGAGTCTAAGTTTCAGAATTTCAATTGCTACTCTCTACGTACAGCTAAGTTCGAAAGCAAAGACAGGAAGACCTGCCTTGGATGCTCACAAATCACACACTATCAAGGAAACAGAATGACAAGACCTAAAAGTTACTATGTTGTATTTACTTTGGAAATTGCCATTATAACTGAAATACAGTTTGACAGCCCAGTTTTAAATTTCTAAACGCTTACAGATTTTATCTAACTAATAAACCTGTGGCTTCATAAACCCACAAAGCTCCCGTGATACTATCTTATTTGAAAAGGGGGTGAGCTTGCCAGGTGTAAGGAAGCAGATGCGATCTACGGATTGGTGAACGGCAAAATGCCTATCTATTTTCAGAGATTATAGGGAGAGCACTGGTGCCATTGGTTAAGATAGCAAATTGATTTCTTCAATAAACTAGTGCTCTCATTCACTCGCCACAATTTTCTAAAATTGCCCTTTTGATCTGAAGCTTCCAATCCTGGTCAGACGTAATTTTTTATTTTGGAACACTGACATCTATACTCTTGAGCTATCTTTTCCTTACATGACCAGAAACACAAACCTTTCTCTCCTCATTCACTCCACTGAAATTGAAGACTTCTCTTTGAATTGGCTTCCATGTTTATTGGCTTTATTTAGCAAAATAAACAAAATTTTTAACAACTAATCTAAAATTTCCTAAGTTTAAAACTTCGCTGACAAATAGGGGTTACCTACTGAGCGGTCGTCTATTAATTAGGGACTACTCTAGATAGGATGTTTAAATTTTTAGCTTCCCTCTGATGGAATTTGGAATCTGTACCCTGGGAAATAATGGAAAATTAGTATTTGCAAAAATATACCTAAGTATGTGTGTTTATGTATGTTTATATGATGTGTGCATGTAAGTATGTGTACACTCACCTACACACACACAAACACTGATATTCAGTGTTTTGAAATGTGAAGCTTGTGTTTGTAGTTTTCTCTTTCACTACCACTACTTCTAGTGAGAGTTAATTTTTTTTTTTTTTTTTGAGACGGAGTCTCACTCTGTCACCCAGGCTGAAGTGCAGTGGCACGATCTCGGCTCACTGCAAGCTCCGCCTCCAGGGTTCACGCCGCCTCCCGGGTTCACGCTATTCTCCTGCCTCAGCCTCCCGAGTAGCTGGGACTACAGGTGCCCACCACCACGCCCAGCTAATTTTTTTGTATTTTTAGTAGAGATGGAGTTTCACCGTGTTAGCCAGGATGTTCTCAATCTCCTGACCTTGTGATCCACCCGCCTCGGCCTCCCAAAGTGCTGGGATTACAGGCGTGAGCCACCGCACCCGGTCTTGAGAGTTAATGTTTTTTGAGAAGTTACTATGTGCACGCACTCTTCTAATCACTTTACATGTATTAATAAAAATCCTATGAGATAGAAACTAATAGTAGCCCCACTTTCCAGATGAGGAAACTCAGGTATAAAGAGTTTAAATCATTTGTCCAAGCCCTACAGTTATTACATAGTAAGAAGGGCTAGTAATGTAGGCACTTTCAAAGGAAACCATGTTAACATGATCACTGTAATAAGGAGTATGGAAAAGCTCCTTTTCTGACTTTCTAGTTGAGTAGGCATTTAGGTTGTAGAACTCCACCAACAAGTCCAGGATAGCTGCAGAAGCAGCAGTAATGATAGTGATGCTGAGAGAATGGATGGTGATAGTGCTCATCGGGATGATGACAGAGATGATGACAATGATGTTATCTACCATTGAGTACCATGTGCCAGTAATTGTGTGAAGGGCTTTATCTCTCATTTCATGTTACACAACTCTGTGAGGCAGGTACTACCTTCATCTTTCTCTCACGGATGGGAAAACTGAAGTTCAGATGAACTGAACAGCTGACCCAAAACCACACAACTAATAAATGACATAGAGAGAATTAAACACAAACTCTCCAACTGCAGTACTATCATTCCTAATCGTTACAATGTTTTGCCTTCAAATTAATCATAATAGCGAACATTTACTGAGCGTTTATTACATTGTTCCAAGTGCCTTTACACATTATTTTCTCAACTACAACTATGAAGTAAGTTGTATTATATGCAATTTAAGAGATGCATTTATTCATTCAATCAGCCATTTTATTAAGCAGTCCAGGTTCTGTTTTGGATGCTGAAAATTGAAGAGTGAGGAAAAACAGACTTTGTTCTTGCTTTCGTAGTGCTTGCAAACAAATGAGAAACTGAAGTCAGAGGGGGAGTGGTCACCTGAGAAAGTCACAAAGCAGGTAACGGACACATATGAGACCTGGATACAGGCAGCCTGCAAATTTTGTATCTTTTCATCACATCTGTATGACAGTCTCAGAAGTGAAGGAAAACCTAGGCAAACAATTCAACTGCAAAGTGAAATTATATTAGTCAGGGGCCAAATGAATTTAGAATACAGATCAATGTGGTAAATGGCACTCAAACTTCTGGTAAAAACAGGTAGTTGTTGACGGCAAATCATTCATGGTCCACCATCCCAACCCCACAGAGGCTCCAGAGGGCTTTCGGGAGAACCTGCAATATCTAACACTATTGCAGACACGAGGGCTGTCACAGCACTTCCCCATAGATGGGAAACACTCCCTTACATTACTTTCTACCACCTTCGTCTACTAATAATACTATGATTTATAGTAACATTTACACTAATAATACTACCCTAATTATCCCACACTGCAGGAAAGGGTTTTTTAAGACTTAAATCTTTTTCCATCTTTTCCATACCTTGAGAGGGTAGAAGAAAAAAATAAGAAAGAGAAAGAGGGAGAGAGGAAAAGAGGGAGAATGAAGAATATGGTCAGTAATGAACAGATCTGAGAAAGCCCTCAGTACTCCAACATTCCTCCTCCTCATCTTCTTTTCTTCCTCTTCCTTCTTCCTTCTTTCTTCTTCTTTTCTTTCTTTTTTTTTTTAAGAGACAGAATCTTGCTGTATAGCCCAGGCTGCTGGAGTGCAGTGGCACAGTTATAGCTCATAACAGCTTTGAACTCCTGGACTCAAGTGTTCCTCCCACCTCAGCCTCTCAAAGTGCTGGGATTATAGACACGAGCCACTGCACTTGGCCCCAGAATTCTGTAAATAAACGTTTTGGAACTACCCTTCCCACTTGAAATTCTCATTAATTATAAGTCATCTTGGTCCTCCATGGATATTGGCACAGACACAGGTTTGTAGAACACATACTAGTTAGTTTCTATTTAGGGGTCCAGACAGCCTCGAGGTAGCCCACTAGTTGGCATGGAGTAGAAGTAGACGCTGTGGCCCAATATGGCCAGATGTTTCCCAAACCAAACATTATGCATTAGATCCTTTCCTGTTGCAACAAATAGCAGGCAGTTAATTCACCCCCAAGACAAGCTCCCATTCTAGCTAGACATCATGATTACCCATGACATTTTTCAAAAAACAGTTTGTGGGCTCCTACACCAAACCTATGAAATCAAATGTTTGAGAATGGACTCCAAGAAATTTATAATTTTTAAAGCTCCCCAGGTAATCTGATGCATAATCAGATGGAATCTCTGCTCTGGAGTAAGTGACAGTGCTGGTTTTCCCACAAGCCAAAAGAAAATGCATCTCATCTTTAAAGAGCACCAAAACAATTCAGTCCATTTTTAAATGCATTCTGTTTCCTAAAACCACCAGAAAAGTCTTACTTTCTCCACTTAATTCTCTCATATGTAATTTAAATGCATTCCCTTTCTTTATCTGTCTCCTCAGCAAAGATAAAGAGCTGGCCTTCACTCTCTACTGAAGAAATATACACAGGTACATTTAAGGTCTGACAGTAAATCATATCCTAACCTGAAACTCCAAAAGCAAAAGTATTAATACCATCAGATACTTCCATTCATTTATTTGCTCATTCATTCAACAAGCATTTCTTAAGCACCAGCTCTGTGTCAATCCCTGTGAGAGCCAGGAGGTATTTGGTGAGAAACATATTAGCCCAATATTTGAGCAGTTCATAACTTAATGAGAAAGAGAGACAGAAACCAATGAATGCAATTCAGTGCACGTTACAATGGAGCTACACACAGCGTGCAATGGGAAATGACTTCCTGGAAAATATGTTGCTTAAGGTGAATCTTAAAGAAAAATAGGAGTTAGTCAGGCCAAGAAAGGAGGAAGGAAACTGTGGGCAGACAACAAAATGTTTGCAAATGCATGGAAGCAGAGAAAAAAAAATTGGTACGTGCAGGAACCACAAATAATGCATCCTTTATGGAAAAGTTTTGTTGTGGCAGGAAAGGGAAAAGACAAGCTTAGGATCAGATCATAATGGTCTCTTACACCACATAGGGGTGTTTAGATTTTTTCCCGGATATGATGGAGAGCCACTGAACAATTTTAATTGGAAGAGATATATGGTCAGATTTATATTTTGGAAAAGTCTCACCAACAGAGTGTCCAAGTTTGTCCTGGGGGGTGGATAAACTGCCTGCTATTTGGAGCAACATGAAGGGACCTAGTGTATAACGTTCAGTTTTGAAAATGTCTGGCCATATGAAGCAACAGCATCTGCTTTTACTCCATGCCAACTAGTGGGCTACTTCATGGCTGTCTGGACCCCTAAGTAGAAACTAACTAGTCTGTGTTCTACAAATCTCTGTCTATGCCAATATCCTTGGAGGACCAAGATAACATAATTAGAATTTCAAGTGGAAATGGGCAACGCTGTAGGCAAAAGACACTGGAGTAACTGAGATCATAACAACTGGGAGATGAGGAAGCAGATTTTACTGGTGTTTAAGAGCTTGAGTTGTCAGGACTTGGTGACTGATTAGATGGAGCGGGTGAAAGGCACAAAACATCATGGGCCTTCCAGGGTTCTGGAACGAGGTAGGGAGTGTACTGGATTTCAGCATGGGCTCCATGCCAGGTTGCTTGGAATCAAAGCCTCGTTCTGCCACTTTCTTGATATGTTAATTTGGATAAGTTATTTAATCTCTCTGGGTATCTGCTTCCTTATCTGTAAAATGGGGATGTAACAGTGGTGTACCTGCCTTGTAAGGTCATTGGAGAATTAAATTAGTTCATGTACAGCATGTAAAGTATATAGAACAGAGCTCAGAGCATAATAAATACTATGGTAGTGCTAGGTTTTATAGATGTGACTATCTACTGGGATTCATTGATTTCCTAGGCTTGGCCCCAAATACTGGAAATGTATAAGATTGATCCCAGACCTCAGAAAATTCAGCACTTTCCCACATGCACTCAGGTTAGAGGGGTTTAGTCAAACACCGCCCCACAAAGCAATTCTTGAGGTAAACTTTCCCATTCCCATTCTTACTGTTTTTATTCTTGTATGTCTAGTCTCACGGTGCTTAAATTTTTTACTATATGTCTGTGGTCTCTGATTTGTAGCATTAAATGTTTTATGTTTAAATATTCATATTTCTTTTCCCATGTTTCCATTATTTTCTAATCTTCAAGGAGTCTAATGATGTTTTTTAAAAAAAGAAATACTATTTTTACATCAACAGTCACCATGCCTGGCCTATTTCCATCTTAACTTTTGTAATCTAAACCAGCAGTATCCAACCTTTTTGGCACCAGCGACAGGTTTCATGGAAGACAATGTTTCCACAGACCAGGGTGGAAGGATGGTTTGAGGATGATTCAAGAGCATTACAATTATGGCGCACTTTATTTCCACTATTATCACATTGTAATATATAATGAAATAATTATACAACTAGCCATAATGTGGAATCAGTGGGAGCTCTGATCTTGTTTTTCTGCAACTAGGCGGTCCCATCTGGGTGTGATGGGAGATACTGACGGATCATCAGGCATTAGATTCTCGTAAGGAATGTGCAACCTAGATCCCTCACATACACAGTTTACAGTAGGGTCCAGGTTCCTATGAGACTTTAACGTCACAGCTGATCTGACAGGAGGTGGAGCTCAGATGGTAATGCAAGCGATGGGGAGCGGCTTGCTCACCCACCACTCACCTCCTGCTGCGTGGCCAAGTTCCTAACAGACCACGGACCAGTACCGGGTGTTGGGGACCTGATCTAAACTTTCCTTCTTTTCCTCTGCCTTGGTTCCTGATTCATATTTTAGGGTTCTCCATTTGGCTGCTCCTTTTTCTACAGCTCTTTATTTACGGGTTGGGTTTCTCTCCCTTTTGTATCTATGTTCTATATTCACGACTTCCTAATACTTTTATTTAACTCATGCCTTTAGATATTCCATTGTACAAAAACAGAGAGAACCACTTTCTATGACGCCCCAGGCTAGCTCATTATGATAACGTTAAAACAAAACAAAAATCCCCAGATATGTGCAACTTATGAGTAGATATCTATTCTCTGTGGAATGAAGAAATCTGGTTTTATTTTGTAAAGCTCACTTTGTGGGTGCTCGAAAAACTATACTAAGCTTTAAATTACCATACTGGGTATCCACAGGGGAGGATGAATGCTGCATACCAAAAACCCTTTCCTCCACTAAGCTTACTGATTACAATTGGAGTTTCCTCAAATGAGCTTGTTTGATAATTTGTCTCATTACTACTGAAAAGGAAATGAAAATCAAGGACTTGAGGGCTGGAAGCGGTAAGCAAATATGATCAAAGGTTATATTGTATGAGATGTTGGTTTCATGAAAAACAAAAAAAGAAAGACCAGTGTCATATCAAGTAATGTATATATATTATAAACTTTTAAACTATTAATTAAGCTAGTGCATGCTAATATTACAAGCCATAGAAAGTAACTGTACGTGAATAATCTTAAAGCATCAAGTACAGATGTCTTTAAATGCAAACCAAAGTACAGATGATGTAGAAAACCAACCCTGAGTGCCATTTATTACTTTCCTACTAATTCTAGGTTTAGAATGTACTTTGAATTTGATTGCCCAATTACCCACATCTATATTATATCATCTCGAAGCATCATTACGACATCAGCCTCAATCTTGTGGGAAGGACCATAAACAAAGGCCAGTTGGCTAAAGATAGATCATTACTGACACATCCACAATAAGGGAGGTAACTAGGAGTAATGAGTATAATCAAGAGAAGTAAATTTAGGCTAAATACCAAGAAAGAATGTTCAACGGTGAGGACAGATTAAGGCAGGAACCTTCCAAGATAAGTGATAAAGATCACGGAAACACTTAAATCCATGATGAACAGCTTTTCATTCATAAGGGTGTTTGATCAAGGATTCCAAACAGTGAGAGAACTAGAAAGGGGCTGGGGGGTGGGCAGGGAAACACTCTCATTTTCATTTGGGAAAATTAGACAACTAGTGTGACTGCGATTTCCTTACAAAACAAGAAATGTGCTTTCCAAATCAGTCCCTTACAATGAGTATTAGAAAACAGTGTTGTGGAAAGTACTTGGACTCAGAATATTCTGTGTTCAAATCTCACTCCCATTATTTACCAGGTGAGTAAACTTTAGCAAGATAGCTAACCTTTCCAAACCTCAGTTTCCTCAACTGAAAAATGAGTATAGGAAAGTCTGGCTTGCAGGGTTACTATGAAGTTTAAACATGGTAACATATAAATGAATCCAAGGGTTAATCATCAAGCACAGAATACTGCCTGGAATACCGTAAATATTTAATAAATGGTAGCGATTGTTATTATTAGATTTTAACTTTAACTTTCATGAAGCATTTTGATCCATTACCATTCACAAATAAGATAATATTTTTCTTCAAAATAATCAGTAAGTCTCATTGCTGCTTTGCGGATTATCATGCTTTTAAATCCAAAAATTTTCCAGACATCTTGCAAAGTGAGGTTAAGATAGTTGCTATTTTAGGCATTAATTCATAAAGTTTCTACACATCCTTAGAGTTGGGTTATTTGCCTCCTCACACTCTTGTATCCCCTTCTTTCCTTTTAAATATAAAGAATAAATTATGAATTTTAAACTTTAGTTAACCAGAATGTTAAAGAACTGGGATGTTCTGGTAAATCATATTCTAATTTAATTTTTCTAACCACCTAAGTAGAAATTTATTATTGTCTAAATACTCAATATAAAAAACATGTTAACACATGCTATTAGGACTTTCTGCATTGGAAGTCACATATCATGAATGTAATCTAACCTTTCTGTAAAGATGACAGTGCCCCATCACCATTATCCTGAGCATTAATTATCATTGTAAAATACTGTAGATGATAAAGATGTATGAGATTAAGTTACCTCATACTGACCCATTCTCTTGAAGTTGTTTTAAATTAAATAAATACCTAGAATCTACTTGTGTCTTCTAAATGTTAAATGAGGATGGGGGAGGAGCAGGGGCTGATAATTTAAGATGTTTCTAAAGGTCTGGTAGGTTGACAACTTAATAAAAAAGAAATGTTAGGTGTGTTACTAATGGAGCAAGTAAGCATACTTTGTACTCCAACTTATAAAATCATAAATGAACCAATTAAATGAAAATGGTGTAGCTTTCACACATCAGTTACGTTATCAAAAAAGTTTTTCAATAAGTTTATGCACTTTTAATCAGCAACAGCCTTAGTCAGTTGAAAAAAAAAAAGAACTCTGATGCATTCAGAGCCTATAGATCTAAACCAGACAAAACAAAGCCTCATAAATGTGTTTGTTCATTAATTTTTAAAAAGCCAGACTTTGAGTTGTTATCATGTCAACTGGCACCAAACCATACTCAATTTAGTGCAACTACAAAGTGGAACCCATAGTCTACAATGGCAGCGTTTTTGATCACACTAATTAACAACCATTTTGTTTAAAATAAACAGATATGAGTCTAATTGCCTTTTTTACATAAGAAAGGGAAGATCTTAAAAGTAAAAACATGCACAAGAAAGATCAGACAAATGCCACTCAGACAGATAAGCAAAGTGTGTGTGAAAGGAACCCAGAGGAAGTCTGGGTTCTCACTGGGATTGACAGCCCAATGGAGCAAAGGGAATTAGTGGCTCAGAAAGGTTAAAGGGAATCCAGAGGTGCAAGACCTGTAACTACCTATCCTTTCATCTTTTCCCCTCACAAGGGGATTGTACCTCAGTGTGTAATGTGATAGGCAGTAGCAGGCCTGATACTCCTAATTAGGAGAGAACCTCTTATTACAGACAAATCATTCCTTCCACCTTAGCATGCATTGCCAGAAGAGGATGTTCAAAGATAAAACTGTGGACTGGTTCTCTAAGTCCCAGATGCTTTACTTCAATTTTGTGAACAAAGAATGAGCCCCTAGATCACTGGCCTGTGTTTTCTAAGGCCCCCAAATGGTTAACATAAGTTGAATTGTACTTGGGTCCATAGACTCTATTTTGATTTAAAAACCAACAGCTAACTGTGTGCATGCTGAATTTTTCATCTTTCTAGCCTGTAAAATCAATTCCTGAGGACACTCAGAGAAGCCTTCAGTTGCCAGAGCTATCAATAAGAACATTATCAGACATACTACCTTATGTTAATTAACAAATAATATGCTAACTAATATGCTATACATATACTGTATGTTATCTAGGATGTAAAGTAAGCCATGAACTACATAAACATAATTTTAAAACAATACCTATTGTGTTACCTGTGGTGATCTATTTTAATGTATAGCCAATATAATCAGCTTGTCACTCATTCTGCAGTACAAAATATCAACAATCTATGAAATAATAATTTAAAAATCATTTATCTGATTTTAACCTCTACAAATAATTTTTCCCCTTTGGTTATTTGTAGTACATTGACTACTCAAAAACATTACTCTTTGTATTAATCTTTATATCCCCTGTTCCTAGAGTAGTACCAAGCAGAGAGAGAGCTTTCCAAAGTGTCTGAGGGAGTCCGTTTTAAAACTAAGCAAATATGATCAGCATAAATTTTTATCTACACTCATAAGCTTGAAGCTGAAACCAACGCTGTACTGGTAAATGTTTAGCAATCAACTCTCTCCAAGAGGAAAAAAAAAAGCTCTCATATGTAGTGTTTGCAAATTTCATGGTGAGATGCCCAAGATGGCAGATTTCAAGCTACCCTGCCCCCATGAAGTCACTGAACAGAGTTGGGAGGAGATGTGGGCAAGTGGCTCACGGGAGCGGGTGCAAGCCCACAGAAGCCAGCTCTCATGCCACTTGTGGAAACTCAAAACCCTTTTAAAGTACAACACAAATTCCCAACAATAGAATTTAAGTTGACTCTGGTGTTTTCAACTATCTCCATTTGTGAAACTTCACTATTTAAATTTAAATATTTGAATCTGTTGTCTTCAGATCTGACAGAACTTTGAAAATGTTTTTAGGTTTTTTTGCTCCAGATCAAACAACCAAAACATATAGTTCAATTGCTGTTGAACAAATTCAAATAACACTCATTGTAAGAATCCGAGTACAGGTGTAAGACTGAGCCTCCCACATCTGATTAGAGTTGGCCCTCAATAAGAAAGAAATCTCAAAGGTCTGGCCTCTCTAGTCCTTATCCAATACCTGATGTATTTTCTAGTATCTGCAACTCAGAGACAGATCTATAATCGAAGATAGAGTTTTCATGTGATTTTGATGTTAATTTAATCAAGATACTCTGCATGTCTGACTCATGTTTGTAGATACATAAGAGATGAAAAACAGGCAATGCTCAGCAAAACTAGAAAATCATTTAATACATGATAAAGATTCTGATTAATCAAAAATGGATCTAATAAAGATTGGCCATTTTATAGCATACTCAACTTTAAAAGAAACATTTACATAAAACATAAACATGGTTTATTTGTATAAAGAATGCTGTAAATGATTGTTATCTTAAGGACTAAATACCTGGAAGGCATCAACTAGATATAAGAGAAAGTTATCTGTTCTGAAGAATCATTTTAAAATGTGAAATAAAACAATGAGATTTTATAAATATTTTGTCATATATAAAACTTATTTATAGGTATATAATTTTTGCTTAGATAGATCTTGGTTTAAAAGGTTTCTCAGACAAAACCCCTTCTAGAATGACTTATCTAATAAAACTAGTTCCCTAACAAAAATAACTTGGCTTACAAAGAAGAAAACTGATTGTCTGTATTTGGTGCCTTCAAATTATGTTTGGATAACGGTGTGGATGACCCCCCCACCGGTGTGATATCATTTGAAGTTTTGATATCTATCATGGGGAAATTTTGTTCTGTGCAAAAAATGTAAAAGATTACTGTAGTAATAATTGTAAATGATTTTCCGTAATTATGACTTTTTTTGTTTGTTCGTTTGTTTTTGAGACAGAGTCTAGCTCTGTCACCCAGGCTGGAGTGCAGTGGCGTGATCTCAGTTCATTGCAATGTTTGCCTCCCAGGTTCAAGCGATTCTCCTGCCTCAGTCTCCCGGGTAGCTGGGATTACAGGCGTGCACCACCACGCCCAGCTAATTTTTGTATTTTTAGTAGAGACGGCGTTTTACCATGTTGGCCATGCTGGTCTCGAACTCCTGACCTCAAGTGATCCACCCGCCTCAGCCTCCCAAAGTGCTAGGATTACAGGCATGAGCCACCACACATGGCCTAATTATGAAAATTCTTAGTGAGAGTTTTTTTTTGAGATGAAGTCTCACTCTCACCCAGGCTGGAGTGCAGTGGCTCCATCTCAGCTCACTGCAACCTCTGCCTCCCAAGTTCAAGTGATTCTCCTGCCTCAAGCCTCCTGAGTAGCTGGGATTACAGGCACACACCACCATGCCCACCTAAATTTTGTATTTTTACTAGAGATGGGGTTTCACCATGTTGGCTAAGCTGGTCATGAATTCCTGACCTCAGCCTCGGCCTCCCAAAGTGCTGGGATTACAGCCCTGAGCCACTGCGCCCAGCCCTTAATGAGAATTCTCTATGAACTTACATTGTCATGTGTTTTGCTCTGTGTCTACTCTTTTCTTTTTAGTTCTACACTTCATTTGAAATGGAAAATAGTACAATTCAAGAAATTATCAAGTTAATAATACATATTTTATACCATTTCTATGAGTATATCAAGATTTAGTATATTAAACATCCATTAAAAACAAAACATGGTTCAAGTCTCTCCCTTATAGGAGCATAAGCCTCTCGAAGGCAGGAATCGTGTACTGTTCATCTTTGCATCCCCAGCACCTAGCACAGTATCTTAAGCACATGCACTAGAAACGTTTATGAACTGAGCTGAAGTTGGTAGTGATGAGAGTGATGTGAAAAGTCGTGAGCAACACTCTGAACTGTGAGGACCTGCACTGTCACCTCTCCTGTGTTCTTGGCTCTGACCATCCTCGGCTTCATCACTGTACTGGAACAATGAGTACCCAGCAAGAGCTAGACTACACTTCATAAAGTACAGAAATTGATTTTATTGGAGGAAAGTCAACAGGCTAACTCTAAACTTTAATTAGAAGCAGAAGAGAGCCAGGTGCAGTGGCTCACACCTGTAATCCCAGCACTTTGGGAGGCCAAGGCCAGAGGATCGCTTGAGCTCAGGAGTTCGAGTCCAGCCTGGGCAACAATGTGAGACTCCATTCCTACAGAAAATTTAAAAACTAGCCAGGCATGGTAGCATGTGCCTGTGGTTCCAACTATACAAGAAGCTGAGGCGGGAAGATCGCTTGAGCCCAGGAGGTCAAGGCTGCAGTGAGCCATGTTCATACCACTGCAGTCTAGCCTGGATGACAGAGCAAGACCCTGTCTCCGAAATACATTTAAAAAAAAAAAAAAAAAAAAAGCAGAAGAGAAAATTTTACAATCAACTCCTTGGAGGGAAAGCCAGTGCTATAGCATCTAACACGTGCTAGGCAGTGCTACACAAGCATGGTGTGGGGACCACTGTCCCTTTCCAACTGTTCATTCCTGGTGTGTGAGGAAAGGGATACAGCATCTAAGACTAAGAAATAGAAACATTTATAACATTTATGACTGAATCCTTGTATGTCTGTTGAATCTAACAGTGAAAAATCAGGGCTTGGATTTTGTATATCTCTGGTTTTCTTTTTTCCTTCTTTTGAATCCATTCTTACTGTGTTTTCTACCAGCCTTAGTCCACGACAGATTAGAAATGTGAAGGAAAAACTGGCCCTCATCACAGATCTTTGCAAAGCGCTCATGTAGAGTACTGCTGCTCCAGAGAACTCAACTAGAACCCATAAATAGACATTCTACAGTGGCCAATTTGGGGTCAATCATTAAAGCGAAACTAAACAAAGCAGAAAAAGTCTTTCAACAACGAAAACTGTCCAACAGTAGAAATGGATGACCTGAACTGTAGTGAACCTATGTCACTGTAGTTGTTCAAGCAGGAGTTGGACAACTGAAAGAGGCTGAGACTCCTCCAGCCCAGGCCCCCACGGCACTCTCTGCTTCCCTCTTCCAAGTTACCACACTGCACTGCATTTGTCGATATGTGTTGGCTTACCCCATTAGAGTGGGAGTTCCTTGAGAGAAGGAACAGTGTTTATTCACCTCTGTTTGGTCCCTAAACACAGCAGAAGCACACAAAGGTTTACTGCAAAAATAAATATCTACCATAGAGACTGAATAAAGTGATACTGAAGAACTAGTCTGTGATTCAGTGATTTATAAGAATGAGAATTTGGCTGAGCATCGTGGTTCACACCTGTAATCGAAGCACTTTGGGAGACCAAGGAGGGAGGACCGTTTGAGGCCAGGAGTTCAAGACCAGCCCAGGCAACAAAACAAGACCCCTCTCAAAAAAAAAAAAAAAAAAAAAAGAGTTCATTCCAATCTAAAGAAAACTTTAAAACACATTTCCAAAATAAGGTAACATTCCAAAATTCATACCATACTCATATCTCATATATAAATTCTAAGACTGAGATTTAACTTTTTTTTTTTTTTTCCTGTTTAGATGGAGTCACGCTGTGTTGCCCAGGCTGGAGTTCAGTGGCACGATCTCAGCTCACTGCAACCTCCACCTCCTGGGCTCGAGCGATTCTCCTGCCTCAGCCTCTCGAATAGCTGGGATTACAGACATGTGCCACCACACTAGGCTAATTTTTGTATTTTTAATAGAGACGAGGTTTTGCCATGTTGAACAGACTGGTCTCGAACTCCTGACCTCAAATGATCCACCCACCTCGGCCTCCCAAAGTGCTGGGATTACAGGTGTAAGCCACTGCGCCTGGCTTACTTTTTTTACATTGCTATATGCTATACTAGATTTAGTGAGTTTTATGACTCATATACAATCACAAATTTACCACCTGAATGTTGAAAATGGCCACTGTTAGCCGTTTTCAGAAACATTAAATGACCTAGGTATGAGAGACACATTGAAAATATATTTCTCAGTACTGTAGAATAATGGCATTTTCAGTGTAATTATAAGAAACTACTTTTAAGGAAAGAGACAAATCCCTCAAGTCTTCTGGGTTTCAGCTTCTATTTGAAATAAGATGAATATTGTTGTCTCTTTATCAAATACTATTAAAATTGAAGAGCTTGGTAAAATTGTTTAGCTATAAGTATTATTTATTTTTCTTATAATTTTTTACATTTATATTTACCTATAGTTAGATAGAAGTATTAATCATTTAGATATATATAATTTACAAGCACAGTTTCTTTCTTTTGAAGTCTATTAAAACAAAAAAGTTACCTTTAATGGCAGCTACCAGTTAATAAAATAACTTGCCTAAGAATTACACATTTTGTTAGCTTATCAAAATGATTTTTAGGTTAACAGAACAGCAAAAACTTTCCAAAAAGAAGCTGAAACCCCTCAAAATCAATATAATTCAATATGTAAAAGTGAATTTGTCTAACACCTAAGGAATTCCGAATCCAGAACTGTCTACTTGTGACATCCAAATGTTTTTGGCCATATATTGAAAAAGCTTTTAAATTACTACTGAAGTGTGAGAATTAATCTTGAATTTTCTTCTTTCATTTGACTTATCATAAAACGTTAGCACTATTTAAACACAGTTTATTGTATTTGATATTAAAATCCCAGGTTCATAAAGGATCAAATTTCCATTTATCCATTAAGATCACCAAAGCATACACCTACATCTTTCTGTTTGTACTTTTCTCATTTTATTATTTTCTTGAAAGAAGAGAGACAAAAGTGCTGTCCTATAAAGCTGTAACTCAATAGCTTCATCAGAACACTGCAATGTTTACCTTAAATCCACAGATTTCATGGTTTATAAAAAGAATTGTATTCTTTTCCACCTACTTAAAGAAAGATCTCTCCACCCAGATGACTGGGATGAGGGCCAATCCCTCAAGCTCCATTAATTCTAAACTGAGCTTATTACTGTTCCTGTTTCACCTGCTCATGTCCTTCCTATGCTCCGTTTCTGTTATGGTGCTACAGTAGCATCCTTTTAGTTACCTGAAACAAGAAATCTTTGGAGCATTATTTGTCAGCCCTCTTGCTTTCCTTCCACATCCTGTTGCACTCTTGACAATTCTTCCACTGAAGTCTTTTATTCCATCCATTTTCTCCATTGCATTCTCACACTAGCTCAGGACCTCACCAACTCTTGCTTGAACCATTATCCCAATTCCTTCTCCATTTAATTCTACTTATATATGCCAAATGAAACTTTCCTGAAAGAATTAAGGAAGGCACCACTCATGTGATTCCCTCGCTGGGAAATCTTCAACATCATTCAAATGCCTGACAAATAACATCCAGCTTATTGAAGGACTCCTATTATCTGGTTCCAATCTACTCTTCGAGCTCCATTTCTCACTATTTTCCCCATTGACAGTATGAATGGATACCTTCTTTAACCTAGCCAATCTGAACTTCTCATTGTTCCCATCAAATATTCCAGTTTCTTAACTCTGAGTATTCATTCACATCCACATAGTTCTCTCTATAAGAAATGTCATTTCTCTGCATCTTTGCATGTTTAAATTCCATGCATTCCTTAATATGTAATTCAAATGCCAACTCCCTGGTAACTCCGACCACTCCTCTCCACACCCCACTGCTGTCCCATTAGAAGTATGCACAGTAATTAACATCTTATCTCTCTTATTGTATGTGTCATTTTCTACTCCGCGTATTTGTTTTATACATGTTTTATCTCCTATACTAGAAAATAAGGCAGCACCTATTAAGTGCTTACCTCGGCCAAGCACTAGCTAAGCACTTTACATAAATATGTATGACCTCATTTAATCTTTGCAACAACCGTTTTGCAATTGAGGAAAATGAGCTAAAGAGAGGTTAAATAACTCACCTAAGACCACACAGTTCTTGAATGGTATGTGGAATGTTTCTCCAAATCTGAAGTCCATAAGACAATACTCGCACATATTATAATTTCAATAAAAATAAACGAAAAAGCCTTACAAAATCTTACACTGGAAAATATCAAAGGAATATTCAGGTATTTATTCATTTTTTTTTTGGTGTGGGGGGACAGAGTCTCACTCTGTCGTCCAGGCTGGAATGCAGTGGCACAATCTCAGCTTACTGCAACCTGTGCCTCCCAGGTTCAAGCAATTTTCCTGCCTCAGCCTCCCAAGTAGCGGGGACTGCAGGCGCCCACCACCATGCCTGGCTAATTTTTGTATTGTTAGTAGAAGCGGGGTTTTACCCTGTTGGCCAGGCTGGTCTCGAACTCCTGAGCTCAAATGATCCACCCACCTCAGCCTCCCAAAGTGCTGGGATTAAAGGCATGAGCCACTGTGCCCAGTCCTGGAGAATTATTTTAAAAACCATAATAGTTAATGCTTATTTGATATGTATTAAGCATAGGCAAATTTCTAAGAACCTGATTACCTGACTTCAAGTTAGGTAATCGAATGGAACAGAATAGAATACCCAGAAACAAATCCACACACCTACAGTGAACTCATTTTCAACAAAAGTGCCAAGAACATACACTGGAAAAAAAGACAATCACTTCAATAAATGGTGTTGGGAAAACTGGATATCCCTGTGCAGAAGAATGAAACCTAGATCCCTCTTGCCATATACAAAAATCAAATCAAAATGAATTGAAGGCTTAAATCTAAAACCTCAAACTATGAAACTACTAAAAGAAAACATTGGGGTAAATCTCCAGGACACTGGACTGGGCAAAAATTTCTTGAGTAATACCCCACAAGCAGGCAGCCAAAGCAAAAAAGAACAAATGAGATCGCAAAATGTTAAAAAGCTTCTGTGCCACAAAGGATACATTCAACAAAGTGAAGAGACAACCCACGGCCTGGGAGAAAATATTTGTAAACTACCCACCTGACAAGAGATTAATAACCAGAATATATAAGGAGTTCAAACAACTCTATAGGAAAAAAAATCTAATAATCTGATTTAAAATGGGCAAAAGATTTGAATAGACACTTCTCAAAAAAAGACATACAAATGGCTAACAGGCATATGAAAAGGTACTCAACATCATTGATCATCAGATAAAGGCAAATCAAAACTACAATGAGATATCATCTTACCCCAGTTAAAATGACTTTTACATGAAAGGCAATAACAAGTGCTAGCAAGGATTTGGAGTAAAGGGAAACTTCATACTCTCTCGGTGGGAATGTAAATTAGTAAAACCACTATGGTGACCTGTTTGGAGTTTCCTCAAAAAACTAAAAATAGAGCTAGCATATGATCCAGCCATCCCACGGCTGGGTATGTATCCAAAGGAAAGGAAATCAGTATATCAAAGAGATATCTACACCCCCGTGTTTGTTGCAGCACTTTTCACAATAGCCAAGATTCAGAAGCAACCTAAGTGTCCATCTACAGATAAATGAACAAAGAACATGTGATACATATACACAATGAAGTATATTCAGCCATGAAAAAGAATGAGATCCTATCATTTGCAACAACATGGATGGAACTGGAGGTCATTATGTTAAGTAAAATAAGCCAGGCACAGAAAGAAAAACATTGCATATTCTCGCTTATGTGTGCAATCTGAAAATCAAAACAATTGACCTCATGGAGATAAAGAGTAGAAGGATGGTTACCAGAGGCTGGAAAGCGTAGTGGGGGTGGGGGGTTGGAAGGATGTAGGGATGGTTAATGGGTACAAGGAAATAGTTAGAAAGAATGAATAAGACCTAGTATATGATAGCTCAACAGGGTGACTATAGTCAATAAGGAATTTAATTGTACATTTAAAAATAACTAAAAGAGTATAATTGGACTGTTTGTAACACAGAGGATAAGTGCTTGAGGGGATGAATACCCCCATTTTCCATGATGTGATTATTATGCATTGCATGCTTGTATCGAAACATCTCATGTACCCCATAAATATATATACTTACTAGGTACCCGCAAAAATTAAAAATAAACAATGTTTTTAAAAAAAGAATTCTAAGAACCTGGACAGTAGTAACTCATTTAATTCTCAGAGCTACACAATTCCTATTTTTAGAAGAGGATAACAGACATACAAAGACACAACTAAAAAGCCTTGCCCAGGTTCCCACAGCTAGCAGAGATCCAGGGGAGAAACGTAGATGGGGGTGGTCTGGCACTGGAGCCCACCTGCTGAACCATGATGCCATGCTGCTTTCTCAGCACTGGGCTTGCTTCTGTGCTCAAGGGTCTCAGTGAAGTCTGGCTCATCTGCTGGCATGGTACCTAAATTTAACTGGGTTCTGAGATATATTAAAATTAATTCTTAAAACATCCTTTGATGCATCTGCTTAATGTGATCTGGGAGAACTCTGATTATTCATAATCATAATAGTTAATATAGCCATCAAAAGCCTTGTAGGAGAAAAGACTTTAAGGAGGAAAAACAAAACATGTGAATAGAAGAATTATCTTTAATTTCAGCCAGTAGAGGGAAATTGTCCTTCGCCTCGGTAACCATCCTATGCAACACCTATCAACAGCAACAACTCTTAAGGCAACAGGAGAAGTAGCTAGTGCTGCCATTTATGCATGGATACACTGTACACTCACACACTGAGAAAGATTCCCATATGGGAAAAGAAAGAACATAAACAAAAGAAATATGCCAGCGTAGGAACAGAAATTGCCCTTAAATGACAGTTTCTCTTGACACAGAATGAAAGATAAGTATAATTCACCAGAGGAAAGAATGGGGAAATCAGGACATCTTTCATTTGGCAATGATAACATATTAAGAACAATTTTACTCATAGACTTTTCAGTCTTTGAAATGTTGACACTCAGCATTACCAGAAATGGCGTTTTCCCCACTACTATCACTATTACCCATTATCAATATACACCAGTGTAAAGATGTAGTTGTTGATCAGTGTGGAATGTTAGATCTCCTAAGAAATAAAAATGTTTACACCTTTTTATTGAAATACAATTTCAATCTGTCCAACCCTTCTACAAATAGTATATTTATAAGCCAAGTATATCCAAAAAGTTGTTGTTTCAAAGTTGTTCATTCTATAAAATGTATATTTCAGGATAAGTCTTCATTTATGATTTCATTTTGTGATACTACTTTTAATTTGTGTAGAATGTGCTTTTAAAGGACTACATAGAGCAAAGAAAAACCACATAAATGTGGATTAATGAAACACTATGCACACTTGAAACGTAAATAAGAGTATTGTGAATAAAAGATTGTTCTAAATTATCTCACTGATAGATGTATGTTACTTATGTCAATAGTCTCTAAATGCCAAGTCAAGTTTATATGCCTGTTACTTAGCATGTGGGTGTAAATATACAAATAATATACATATATAAATATAAACATATGTGTAAAAAACATATTTCCCTGCAATCACTACCCCAGTGTCTTAGCTAGAATAAAAATAAAGTTAAAACAATGTTTAGGATGACTCAGTTACAATGATACTTATTTCCTTGTGAAATGACACTTATTTTCAACAAACCACTCATTTGTTGACTAATGAGAGAAACATTTTAGATAGATTCTTCAATTTTCCTTTCAAAAGCATTAGGCTTTCCAAATCTTCCAAAAGAAAACTGTGTTTTGAAGATAATGTTTCTTTTTATTTTACCCAAAACAATACAAAAGAGAATAATAATATGTAGAATTTTTCTGGACAGTGAAAACGCCAGGTGAATTAACTTAGCTCTATGGCAATTTTCTCTTTCAGTTTTTATGGGCTTTTCTAAATCACTCACCCCAGAAACTAAACCTTGTTTTGGGCATCCCCATTCTCTTTCCCTTTAATTCACTTATGTAAATGCACCATAAGTTTTCCTCTCAGATGAGATGCTAATTATGAGGGCAGTCTTGTTAATCAAAACTAAAGCAAATGAGTACTTGTGTATTTTACCATCATTCCAGTTTGCAAGGACAAAGGAACTCCTTTGTATTTAACGTTGCATGAACCATCATGCAGCCTCTCGGTCTCTTAACAAAGTTGCCTGGCGACATAGGTCATTTTACCTATGATGGTGGTAAGCTTATGGCATCAATACCCACCTTACCTAATTGTTCACGTGAGCTGCTGAACACTTAGCTACCCTGTGACAATAATTTGGCTCCAATGAGCCTAAATTGGATATAAATTAGTTTTCCTAAGCATTTTTCATGTTTTAAACTGCACACATAAAGCTTATTTTATGAACACACTTTCTGCATTCTCTTTAGTAATTCTCTCTCAAAACAACACGTGAAGTCTTCAAAGTGCTTTTTCTAAATTCTTTTAAAATTATTCTTTATGTAAGAAAATGTGCTGAATCAGATATATATTATGTCACAAAGACAGAGATAAATTATATTTGTATTGTCCATTACATTCCAAGTTTGTATATGCTGCTGACTTAAAAGCGTTGTGAGAAATTTGCAACGTTTATATTATTGATAAACATCATTTTGCCTGTATGGAGAGTCCCAGGTCTCAAAAGCCTTACCAAAGAGTAAATTTGGCTATTTATCATGTCTCTTACCATAGTACTCATTTAGCCAAGCTGTATATATTTAGTTCTTCTAATCTTTTCTCATAAGTCAATCCCTTCGACTCATTAATCTTGTTACTTGTCTCTGATTGTTTCCATTTGGTTTACTAGGAAGGCATAATTTTCTAAAGACTTTCCCCTCTTCTTAATTTCATTCAAAGAATTATAAACTTCTTGAGGGCAAGGACTGCATTTTCCTGAATTAAAAATGAGTCACAGAAATAAGATGCCTTATTGGAGATAATCTTGAATCACCTTGCTGCCTTTTGCTAGCTGACACTGTTTTAAATCATATTAATTAGGAACACTGCATTTGTTGCTTCTTTCTTCTAGGAAACAATAAATCACAGCTGAACACCTTCAGACCTTTGGACTATGGTGGGCCTATGTGTGTGTGTCCATGTTTGTGTGTGGGTTTGTGTTCGTGTGTGTTGGGATTTCTTACTATTGTTGAATGGCTTGTGATAAAATAACTCTCTTAAAGAAACTGAATTACATTTTCCCAGTGGGAATTAACATTATGTATGCATCGTAACAAAACAGCCCTTGTTTTCCTTGAGAAAATCGTGTCAAAAACATTTCTGAAATCACTTTCCAGTGAACACTCAGGACCTTTTTCCATCAAATTATGATAGCGTTAATTAACTTATATTCTTCTCAACCCCTGTTTTGCATAAAGTTGAATCCAAAAAGTTTAAATCTGGAGGTAGAAATAAAACATAAGTAAATGATAAAATTAAATAATGTAAAACCCTTTACTAGAGATCATTTTTAAAAACACATGGAAAATAAATACTTTTGTATTCAGAGCGGTCAGAAACTCTGAGGGCTAGAAAGATAAAAAGTTGATCCAGGAGTTGGAATTTAAGGGAGGATTTACAAGGTTCGGACAGATGGAGAAAGGAATAAGAGTATTTAGGTATTAGGAAAATGGTCTGCACAGAAAAGTGGAGATGGGCTCAAGCAAAATAGAAGAAGGAAACACAAGTTATTCAACAGAACACTAAGAATATATCACAGCAGAACAAAGCCGGTAAAATGTGAATACCGCATCCCAACAAATAATAATGAAAACATAGGCCAGATGATTAAAATAACATTTGGAGGATTCTCAGCTTCAACTTATATAAATAATTGCAAGATTTTTCTAGCCTTGATAATCAAACTTCTATCTTGGAAGCTATTAAAAATAACTTTACCAGTATTTCAGATTAGGATATGAGTAGCTTAGAACTGGCATTAAAAGCACAGAATTGTCCAAACAAATTGTGAAAAACGAATTGTTCAAGAGTTAAAAAACATTTTAGTGATGTACGGGAAAATGACTCGACCAGAAAGGCTCCAATTCGCAGTTTCTCTGCCTTTGGCTTTCTGCGTGGCAACTACTCTGTAACTGGTTTTCTTTTATCTGTAAAATGCTTACAATAACAAGTACCCTTCCCATTTGTTGTGATGACTAGGAAAAAAAAATGTATCTAAAGAGCACCTAGAAATAAATGTCTGGTATCTAATAGTTATCAATAATTGGTAACTATTACTATTATGTACTTTTCCACAGTAAGGCCTATAATATGATTAAAAATGTTTTTATCATCCCTCCCCTCAACCCTAAAATGCTTGTCTTCCTTTTTCCATCTGACAAAAACATGTGGGTCTTTCAAGCAGCCACATTTTACACATATTCAGTACATGCCTCCTGCCAATATTTTTTTCCCTGTAGGCCTTTTCAATTTTTATAAATGTTTTGAGATGCAACATATATAAAAGATAAACTGCCAATCCATATACCTTTCTGTTGTTGTTGTTGTTGCTGCTGCTGCTGTTGAGACAGGGTATCTGTTGCCCAGGCTGGAATGCAGTGGTTCCATCATAGTTCACTGCAGCCTCAATCTCCTAGGCCCAAGCCATCCTCCCACCTCAGTCTTCCAAGTAACTGGAACTACAGGCACTAATTTTTAATTTTTTTTGTAGAGACAGGGTCTTTCTGCGTTGCCCAGGCCAGTCTCGAACTCCTGGCCTTAAGCGATCCTCCCACCTTGGCTTCCCAAAGTGCTGGGATTATAGACATAAGCCACTGCACCTGGCCCCCTATGCCTTCAGTAGATAATGTGAAACTCAAGGATCTCAAAACCTGAAGACTTACAAGTAACCTGGTCCAGCCACTACCCGAAGTGTGAGTTTCTTCTCTACCATCCCACCAAGTAATTAAATTTGCCTGTGTGGAGTACGTCCAGGAAGGGCACTCTTTCTGATTAAAGCCAACTCCAATCTGAAGCAGTTACAATGGGAGACTCTTCCTTTGACTGAGCCCACTATACCTGACTCCCTCTAAAAACTGCATAAGAAAGAAATCTAGGTACACTTATGTCCACAACTCTTTCCCATTTGGGAGGTACCTTGTCCCCTCTGGCCTCTCTTCTCGATCTTTCTCAAGCCCCCTCATCATTCTGGTCATTATCCCCTATAATCCTTTAAAGCTATGACTTAAAGCTAGTTAAAAATAAGACTCATAGAATGTAACAGAGTAGTTTCAGGCCCACATCAGCAATATAGCTCTTTTTCTAGATGTTCAACTTCTGTTAATGTGACCCAACATCATTCTAGTTTCAGGCACAGCCTAAGCAATGTTACCAACACCACAATGTTAACATGTACTGAGTCCCTTAAAACCATTAAACTCTTTCTTTCCCTTGTAATATGAGGAAATCACTTCTTCAACATCTCCATGTGTGTAGACTTGATGTTGATCCCAGTAGCAACTCCCCCCAGCTGAGATGAATTTGCACCCTGATACTGGTAAACAACACACTGCTCATTTATTCCAGGCTGGTAGGGTCTTCAAACGTGCTCATTCTACCAGCTCATGGGGAGAGTGAGTTATATATTATGGTCAGGGACACAGCCTTCTAGCAAGACACTAGAAGTTTTCACTATTATATCAATCCACGGAGCCAGTGTTCTCTGTCTCTAATGTTAAATAATTCTAAAGAATATTTAAACTTCTGATATGCTAAAATGAAAATTTGATCAAAGAAGTTAATATAAAGCTTTTCACTGAACATCCTAGCTCCCTGCACCCCACTATATCTGTGAATTAGTCTTTGAAAACACTGTAGATTTCCAAATAATCCAGAATTAGAACCAATAGATTTATGTCTCATTTCATTTATCTGACAACAAAAGTTAAATTTAAAAGCTTAGGAAAATGTTTCTTTATAAGTTTTCCAAACTAAACTACATTATATTTTCTAAATATCATCAATGCTTCTTTTATAAAAACCAAAAGGTAAATATCATAAGGGGACTGTATACAGGAGAGACTGGCTCAACAGGATATTTTATGGATATTCATTGACAGGCATGAGGAGGCTGGATTTGCAAGAGGACAAAATTTTTCCCTAATATTATTTGAATATGTTAAATAGCTCATTTCTTCATTTTAAAAATATGCAAGTTAAAATCCCCCTTAAGACTCCATTTAAGACAGAGCTATTCCAGAGCAACAAAAATTACCTCTATTTAGCTGACATTCAACTTTTGGAGATATTTCTCCCAAGAAAAGACAGTGAATATTGAACTGTGGAGCTCATTCAAAGAGGTTGTCATCACCACAACTTCTGCCTGTTTTACTAAAGACCCAGCTGCCAGAAGATGAGTAAGTGCCTCTACCATCAGGTTCATAGTACCCAGTGTCCTCTTTTTTTTTTCCCCAAAGACAAAAACTTTCAATAGAATTTTAGAGTTCAGACAACGCAAGGATTCAGTACGTTTCAAACCCAAGGAACAGAAGATAAGGGTAGAGTTCTCATCTCTCTTCCGTAGCAGGATTGGGGAACACCTTTATCACCCAACTGAAACACAGTAGAGGAAAACTATATGACTATTATTTCCCTGGAGCAAAATTAAAACAGTTTTTCATTTGTTAAACTGTCAAAAGATGTGGGCTTTTAAAAAGAGAAAAAAATGCTGACAGTTGAATGAATCATCATGGATCTATTCAAGTGTGACTTAAAATGTTTGCTTTTACTTAAGGTTAAAAAAAATTATTCAACTCTTTATACTATAGGCCATGTCCTATTATTTATTTGTTACCATGAGTTGCCAGGTTCCCAGATACAATGCATGTCTGATCAACATGTTGCAAAAAGATCTACAAAGCAGGGTGTGGTAACTCACCCCTGTAATCCCAGCGCTTTGAGAGGCCAAGGCAGGAGGATTGCTTGAGGCCGGGATTCAAGATCAGCCTGGGCAACATAACAAGACCCTGTCTCTCCAAAAAAATAAATTAGCTGGGTGTGGTGGTGTGTGCCTGTAGTCCCAGCTACTTGAGGGGCTGAGGCCAGAGAGATTGCTCAAACCCAGGAGTTCAAGGCTACAGTGAACTATGATGGCACCACTGCACTCTAGCCTGCATGACAGAGTGAGATCCTGTCTCAGAAAAAAAATCTACAAAATATTACTCAATCTGCAGTAGCTGGATCTGACTAGAAATTTTCACATTTAATTTTGAAGATGTTCAATATCTAATCTTTTATTTTGTCCTAAGTAATAAGTGTAAGTATTTTAAAATCCTCCTGAAACCCCAACCCCACTCTTACCCAGACTCTTAAAACCATCCAGTCTAGATAATCAAAGCCAGATTGTCTTCTGAAGCATGAAGGTGATGTTAGGTGATTTCCATTAAGCAGAATTATCCTAAATCTACACGGCATCCACAAAGCATCACAAGTTAATTTTAATACCTTAGAGATTTCAAGGATTCTATATTTTTAAAATATTGTAATAGAAAGTTAAAGACGGATGGAATGATGTCCCAGAAAACTATATTTATTGTGCTAATGCACCATTTGTCTTCTAGGCAAGCAACTAAAGGTCATTTGTTCTTCATGGCAAGGGTTGAAAATAGTTTGCATTGAAGGTCTAACTTACGGGACCAATGTGAAACCCCTCAGGCCTAAAGTGACCTTTTTATGCCAACACACACGTCCAAATCTCTTAAAGAGGCAAGCAGTGATGTTTGCACTCAGATTTTCAGTTACTTCAACTCTCTTTTCCTAAATGACTCTGATGGAGAAATTGGAATCATTTGCTTCATGTAGATTTCAGTATACTTGTTCAACTATCAGAGCCAGGTATCAGAGTCAAATATTGGACTGAAGAGGGGGCAAGTTTCCAAGCCTACATTTGCCAAATGAGAGGGAGAGTGTGGGAGAGAGAGGCACGTGGTGAAATCTGTTTGGGAGTGGGAGCTTGCTTCCTTTCCCTGGGGGTCTAAGTGGACTTGCGGGAGGCTGTTCAGTTATCCCACAGCTGTGCCTGGAAGAAACCCAAGGCCCAGAGAGAGCATGCCTTCTTCAGAAGAGTAAGGATCTGAAGAAAGAAGAATAAAGAGAGAAGGAGATAAGGCCTACAATTAAGGTTGATGGCGATTTCACTTGACAAAAATCTTCATGCTTCCAAATAGCCAGGAACTTTAGGAATTCTTGCCCCAGATCACTTAATAAAAAGAATTGTTGAGCAGTGGAAAAGTTGCCATCTTCAGTTACATCTATCCCCTTAACACATACCCGTTTTCAGGTGGCAAGTTGGCCATATTCCTGCCATCCCAAGGCAGGGCAGCAGCACATCCCTTATCAGCAAACAAGGCTCTGATGGCTACAAAGGGGTGTATGCTTTAACTTTCTCTTCCACATCAGCTGGGGCTGACTTTTCTCTCAGGCTTTGCTAACTACACGTTGGGATTCCTGCCTGAGAAACGTAGTCCAGAACTGCACCCAAAACATTGTCTAACTTTTAATGTGGTGTTTAAAGACACCTACTTTCTAGTTCACTCACTACTGCCCACAGATACAGAAGGCAAAATCAGCGTAGAAGCCCTCACAGCAAACCTCTCTTGGGTTCACAAGTCTTACTGCAGTGGATGGCAGACTTCATACATTCAGCGCACTGCTTTGCCACATTTGGGTGATAAAACAATGACACAGAACAGATGCTGCAATGAAGAGAGGAGAGACCATTTGTTCTATAACTCAGCTTTCTTTTGGTTACATAGTCTGTCATTATGCAGAGCAAGAAAAGTATCCATGGCACCTAGAACAGATTCAGATTTTAGTTTGAACTTGTACGGAGTTCTTAATCAAAGAAAAGAATTGTGTCTTGGAATTTTGCCTTGTGATTTCCCAAGATTGTTCTCAAGATGGGCATTGAACAGTCAGGGGTAAAAAAGGAAATAGATTGCTTTTATAGTACTTTTCATATCATTTTCCTTCTATTTACAATAAAGTAAATGAGGCTGTTACTCTTTTTTACAAAGCATTTTCTTTAAAGATGACCGTTAGTACCATGCAAGCACATTTTGAAACAGGTATGAAACCAGTGTGCCCAACTGTGGCTGAAACCCAAACAGCAATTTTTTTCCACTTACACAGGAAAATTCAGGAAAAAAAAAATGGTTACATGGGCAGCTCACAGTTTCTTTTGGAATGCTTTCATGGAAATTCAGGCTGTATTTGATACACACACCATATTTTTTTTAATGGTGTTGTGTGGGTGGGTTGGAGGCACATGAAGAGCTCCAAAATCCATATAAATATCCAAAACCAGAATGGAGAAACTCTCTCATTTCCTTGTTATTGTCTATTGCTCATTTGCTAACTGTTACTTGAAGCATGATACTCTAATATTCCTTTTATGCCTCTTTTAAACTTAAACATTATAACACCAGGCCTCTAAAACACATGGCTAAAAAATGATATCACCCCCTCAGAAAGATTTTTAAAATAACAAAATACCAAAAGAGCTGCCATATTCAAAATAAGAGGTGAGGCAGGCTTACCCCCATTCCTTTTATCCCAAAGCCAAGCAAGATAGACAAACCAACCAACTAACAAAAACCCACTATCTCTTTCTTTCTTTCTTTCCTTCTTTCTTTCTTTCTGTCTTCATGCCAGGGTGGCTGCCTGGGTGGTAGCCATTCATGCTGGCTTGTGTGTGCTTGGAGTGAAGGGCCTAGTTAATGGGAAAATTACAGATGACTTTGTATGGTGGGTTCTGTGATTTACATTTGTGGTAAAACCCAAGGCAACTTATCTGTAACTCTGACTTGAATTGAGCCCTTACATGGAAATTTTTCCTGCTTGTGGCAGTACCTAAAACCAGCTTTCTGGGAAGGGCTCAAGATCCTACTCTTCCTAGAGCAGCCTTTGCCAGGGTATTTTAACCTCTTTTACTATACCAATCATGATAGTCCTGAACATCCCTCTCACACCTATCAACCAAAGAAATGTTCACTAGAGTCACTTGCTAGTGTTTGGTCAAAAAAAAAAAATTCTCAACCTATGTAAAATGATAAATTATGGATTTCAAATGTTAGAAATCATATTTGAACCAAACTTTTTAAAGTAAAAATGCAAAAAAAGTCCTTTGAAGTACAGAGGTAACTAAAGCATATTAAATGGACCAATACAGCAAACCATAAACAAGAACAAGGAGATAAAAAAATGAGGGGAAAAAGGAATGAATATATCAAGTCCTGATAAACACTGGGTTCACATTTGAAATCCAAGACTATCTACTGCACTTAACCAGTGCACCAAAAGTATGTATGTAGTGGAACTCAGTCTATCTTTCTTAGACTGTTCTTCCTCATGGCAAAGGAAAACACTTTATTTTTTACTGTTGTAGGAATATGCCGTTTCACACTCCAAGCAGAGTTGTTTTTTTGGTTTTGTTTTGTTTTGTTTTTTTAAGGTAAACTACGAGCCAGCAGGTTGCCACATGTTCAGAATGCATTTGCTGAATTAGGAACCCAAGATCTTCACTCCATTTAATTGCTTTGAGACAATAAAGTATAAACAACTTTGGTTAAAGCAAGAGCTACAAGCAGACACACATACATTCTCACCCACCTTTTGGTCCTAATAAAATCTTTAAGCTTGGTAACCTTACTCAAACTAATCAAAAGAGGAAGGAAGCATGGCCATCTGTCTCCCCTTCATATTCGCCTGTTAGCTTTGTACCTTTCAAACTGGTTAAAAAGGATTTCATAATCCAAAGTTCAAGGGTAGTACCAACGAAAGCTCAACAACAGAAATAGCTGTTGATTTTGGTAACTAAAAGTCAGGGAATAAAATGGCTTCTGATTGATTGTTTAGCCTCATTCCCCCAATTTAAAGGTCCCTGAAAAGTCTCACCTTCTTTGGTGTGAAGCAAAAATAACTATTTTCCCCCAAGAGGAAATATTGTGCCTAAATTAATGTAAATTGCATACTATGATACTTCTATCTTGGGAAGTTCAGTAAAACATGACTATTGCAAAGAAGGGAGGGTAAGGTTCTAGACAATAAGGCACAATACCAATAATGATCCTGAAATGATGAAAAGCAATCATTTCATAGACTTCACTAAAGTTGCTTTGAAAAGTCAATGATTCAATCCCCTCAAGTATTAATAGAAACAGAGACTTGGGGTTATAATAGACACTTGAGGCCATCTTGTCATTGGCAAGAGATGCTAAACAATGTTACCATGCCTGAATTACTTCTTAGAGTCTACAAGTGATACTTACGTATTTTGTTCTTGATACTTCTGATGAAAATTGGCCTTTTATGAAAGAATGGGCTGTGAAATAGTTTAGATTCATTGTTACATATAAGGTCTCAGGTGTTAGGTTTCAGATGTGAAATTTTGAGTGTGTATTAAAATTTTTTTAAGAAAAAAATAAATTCCAATAAGAAAATTCAAACATATATAAATGCCACTAAGCCTTTTGATGACTTCTTCAGTTTTTCTGCTCCAGTAAACAAAATATTTTAATTGCCATGAGCACCCCTGATAATATAACCTGGTCTTTCCCAGTACTCAAGCCCTTTATCTATTTTACAAGCTGGTTTACCAAAAGGGCAAGGTTTCCTGAAGGAATCTCATCTCTTGTTAAGAGTATTTTTTTTTAATCAGACTTTGTGAGGCCTGCCTATTTTAAAGCTCCCAACAAATGATATCCTTTTCATACTATGGGATTTTATTTATGGGTGGGAGATCAAAAGTCTCTTACCAGTTTTTTCTACTGCGCAAATTTGAAATCGCTGGTTAAAAATCAGTGTCAACAGTATTCAAAATATTCAAAACTGTCAAGATCACTGAAAACAAGCAAAGTCTGAGAAACCTAGGAGATATGATATTAAATGTAATGTGGTATCATGAATGGGATTCTGGAACATAAAATAAAAAGAAGTAAAAACTAAGGAAATTAGAATAAAGTATGGACTTTAATACTAATGTATTAAAACTGGTTCATTAATTGTAATGTAATTCATGTATTACAGTAATGTAAAATGTTAATAATAGAGAAAACTGGATATCAGGTATGTAGGAGCTCTTTGTACTGCAACTTTTCTGTAAATGTAAGACTCTCTGAAATAAAAAGTTTGTTTTGGCCGGGTGCGGTGGCTCACGCCTGTAATCCTAGCACTTTGGGAGGCCGAGGCAGGAGGATCACAAGGTCAGGAGATCGAGACCATCCTGGCTAACACAGTGAAACCCCGTCTCTACTAAAAATACAAAAAATTAGCCGGGTGTGGTGGTGGGTGCCTGTAGTCCCAGCTACTCGGGAGGCTGAGGCAGGAGAATGGTGTGAACCCAGGAGGCGGAGCTTGCCCTGAGCGGAGATTGCACCACTGCACTCCAGCCTGGGTGACAGAGCAAGACTCCATCTCAAAAAAAAAAAAAATAGTTTGTTTTTAAAAAGTCAGTATAGTGTTTATAAAAAATCAGTAAAAAGCCAGTGATACATTGACTTTTTAAAAGCAGAAGTACTTGCATCAATTGATCACTTCCTCAATGATCGAATGTATTGGATGATGTGAAATAACTGAAAAGTACACAGCTCTTTTGAAATAATGATATCTATTGAGATTCCCTGTCCACAGTGAAAATAACTTCAGGATTTTCAGCCTTACAAAAGGATAGAAAATGTCTGGGTAAATCACACTGACGTGTAGAACATATACATAGGGTGTCTAGGTATGGAAGTAACTCCATACACTTTCGTTCCCCCTACAGCAGACAGGACTGGGCAGGTAATAAGAAAATATAAATAGCTCCTCTTGCACCTATAAAGAATATAAAGGCAAGATAACTATGGGACCTGATGGTTTACTGCTCCCTGATGATCAGTTGCCAGGGCAAGAAACTGGAAAATGTTTTCTAATGCAGGCCATCCAACAAAAAGGACAGCAAATAATAATACCTTTGAAAATTTCAAAGTGCTTCCCATTTATTATCTCATTGTATCCTTATAACAACAGTATGAAACAGATAGCATAGTTTATTATTATCATAGTTCATGGCAAAAACTAAGATATGGAAAGGTTACAAAACTTAGCTGAAGTCACACCATAAGTGACTGAATTCCAACGAGCATTCAACTTTCACAACTTCAACCCCCACCTTTACTCTTCCCTGGAAGTAATGTGGTTTCAAGAAAATAATTTTGTGCTGATGTAAATGTTGTGTTTCAGAGTGTAAGGCATAACATTCTAAGTATAAGTCTATGTAAGGCAGTTCCAAAGTGCCATGATTCCCCTTAAAACGAACTACTAATGAAATGAGAAGGGTATGGCAGCATTAAAGAAATTTGATTACTCTTTTCCTCACTATCAATGTAATGAAAAAAAAAATACCCCCAAAAAACAGCATTACAGAATTAACTACAAAATTGCTCATAGAATTCAACAAATTTATCGCAAAATATAGACAACTGGGGTGCCAATTAGGGTTGGATCTGATGACTGAATGTTGTATCATCTTAGCCTTAAAAAGGTAATTTTTTTCTCTGATACCATGATAGCATGGCAATTTGGAGTACTCATTGCTAATCTATCAACTATAACTACTTTTGTTATAAATTTGTTCACAGAAGAGTTAAAATCCATCTTGTTTTCAATGAACCATTGTCAAATTAAGGACATCTAGTTATACCCTGATGTTTACTCAAGAAACAGTGAAATTTACTTCTTCAATTTGGCTACAACTACAGAACTATCAGAGTAATATATCATTCAACAACTATCTATTGAGTATCTGTTATGGCCCCTGCAGCACAGTATGGACCAAATATAAGTAAGATATGGATCCAGTGTGTTAGAAACTTAATCTAATCAAAGAGAACCAGTATGAAGTAGGTTCAGAATCAGAGGACATGAAAGGGAAATGAGCAACTTTCTGGTTCTTATTCTTTTTCCTTTCAGCAATTAGAACTACAAAGAGCCCAAAAGGTATGTAAAGTATTAGAAGACTTATTCAGAAAAGATTTTCACAAGATGATCCTTAGGAACTCAATTTCGGAGAATTCAACAATGTTGCATTGCAAAGTATCAACCAATAACAAATCTGGATGTTGATTTCTTTTCCATTTGAGTGAACACTTGAGAACAATGGTTTCTCGTAGGTCAGCCTCCAAAACAACAACATCAAACAGATACACGCCATTTCTGGTTTAGGTTCAAGGGTCTGATTAAAGAAAGCGTTTTAAGTTGTGAAGTGTATTTTATGACATACCAACATGTAAAATTGCACCACTTATGAATAACTACTTATTAACTAATGAAACAAGAGAAGGTGTATATTTGAGAATAAAAATCAAAAGAACCACAAGGATGGGGGAGGGTGTGGTACGCAAGGAATGCAGATCTCCATCTAGAGCTCAGTTCCGAGAGAGTCCTTTCCTAGCAGAGGCAAAGATGAGGTTGGGATTTTTGACTCTGGATAATTTCTTAGTGTTATAAATCACTCCAGATTTCTAAACTATACTGAGAATAAATAAGAAGTGATTCCATGACTTTATTTTATGACAATAAATTCAGTTGAATGTGCCACAGTGATCTAAACTGTTCAAGGCAGAACAACTTTGAAACACTCTAATCTCATAACTAAACAGAGTTGAAGAACAGTAGTCTCTATACTCCCCGATCCAAAAAGTGGGGGTTGAAGGGGTGGAATTCCAGAACCTTAGTAACTACAACTTCTGCTCATTTTCAAGCAACTCCTACACAAGCAAAAATACCTATAAAGAAGAGTAACGCCTAAACATCAAGAGGTTACTTAGAGTTTACTCAAACTTTTTGGAAAAGCCAAATTGGGCTACAAATCCCTGGAGACATAGTTTGCCTCTGTTCTTTTTGGCTTTCACTCCATGAAAAGAACAATAATTAGAGAAAGTGTCATTGACTTAAAAATGTCATTTTTTAGTTGAAAATTAAAACACTTCCCCCAAATTCTTCCTTAGCATCCCCAAATTATCCAACTTCACTCTTAGGTCTAAGGAAGTGAAAATTCCAGGTATTTTGACTGTCTGGCTCAGCTTACCCTAACTTCGCAATTTCCAGGTAACTTATGTAATGTTACTGGGAGTAGCAGAAGAGAAACAAAACAACTATACAAAAAAGCCTAGAGGGATTTTTCTATTTGGCTGGTTAAAATGTTCAGAATTATTTAAGAGTTGGAAAAGAAACAATAAACCACACCCTCAATGGGCTCTAGTCTGAATTCCACCATTCGTTTATACCGTGTTTTCCAATCCAAGATTTCAGCGTATTAATGAGAATAAAAGAGCACCCAAAGAATGCATTGGTGTCAGCTAAGCTTGCTTGAAATCAAACTTCTAAAACATAACTTGGTTTAAGAACACAGCCTGAATTTATTACTTACACCTTGCTCTTTATGAATATACAAGTTCTACTGGCTTCTTCCCAAGAACAAAAGCTCATCTCCCCACTATTTGTGGTTTCTACAAGCGCCACTAAGCATGGAATCTGTTATGACACAGAGCTGTCCTAGACTTTGTACAGGAGGAATTTGTTAGAAAATGATCTCACTTATAACACAGTCCTCCAACAAAGACACTGAATGATGAGGCTGCAAGGTATATTTACAAATGTATAAAATGAAAGTTATAGGTCACTGTACAATCTACAGCTAGGCTATGGTTTCTCATATAATTTTACAGTTGAATCAATCATGAAGGAAAATTAATAAGATGTATCTAGATTGTTACTGTTTACCAAATGGCTGCATCTCTCTCTCCAAAAATACTATTTGCTGAATAAATGGCTACAAGGGGAAAAAAAGCAGAAATTTTTGTTTGAGTATGTTTATTTTTAAAAAAGTATGTTCCTGAGTTTCACCTTATTAACTGTTAATGGAACCTTCCTAAGATGCCAGGCAGAGTGTCAAAGAGGTCAAGGATGGATTTTAGAGCCAGACAGAATTTCAACAAAAGCCTTCTGACAGCGAGGTGTAGAGGGTCTTCATCCTAATGTTTTTTTAGAGTTTGCCAGGCCAGGCATCATTCTCAGTGTTTCAAATGGATAATTTCAGTTAAAACTGAGGACAGAAAAAACAACAGATGCTGGCAAGGTTATGAAGAAAAAGGAATGATTTTACACTGTTGGTGGGAGTGTAAATCAATTCAACCATTGTGGAAGACAGTGTGGTGATTCCTCAAAGATCTAGAGGCAAAAATACCACTTGACCCAGCAATCCCATTACTGAGTACACACCCAAAGGAATATAAATCATTCTCTTATAAAGATACATGCATGCATAAGTTCATTACAGCACTATTCACAACAGACAAGACATGGAATCAACCCAAATGTCCATCAATGGTAGACTGGATAAAGAAAATGTGGTACATATGCACCATGGCATACTATGCAGCCATAAAAAGAATGAGATCATATCCTCTGCAGGGACATGGATGGAGCTGGAGGCCATTATCTTCAGCAAACTAATGCAGCAACAGAAAACCAACACTGCACGTTCCCACCTATAGATGGGGGCTGAATGATGAGAACACAAGGACACATGGGGGTGGGGAGGACAACACACACTGAGGCCTGTCTGAGGGTGCAGCAGGAGGAGGGAGAGCATCAGAAAGAATAGGTAATGGATGCTGGGCTTAATACCTTGGTGATGGGATAATTTGTGCAACAAACCACCATAGCACATGTTTACCTATGTAACAAATCTGAACATCCTGCATATGTACCCCAGAACTTAAAATGTAAAAAAAAAAAAATACTCAGGACAGATTAATAAGGTAAACAATATTATTATCACCCTTTTACTGGTGTGGAAACAAAAGCTAAGAAAGATTAAGTAACTTTCCAAAGAACTAGCAAATCAGTGATAGGACTGAGTTTCCAATCCAGATAATCTAGGTCCCAAATTCATGCACTAAGACCCTTTGCTGTACTGCCTCAGTGGTAGTAGACCTACATTCCTTCTACCTCTTTCTTTCTCAAAAGATCATGAGCTTGGCCACCATTAAATAGGAGTGTTACAAACTTAGCTCTTTCTGCCTCAGTAAAGCATTAATTCTAAATACTTATAACAATACATTTTCAGGATCCACTTACCTTTATTCATTCAGCTATTTGACAAATATATACTGACTGCCTCCTATCTGTGAATGACTCTAATACATAATTCCTACCTAAATAGAGTTTATAATCCACTACTCTAAAAGGACTATACATATGATTATCATAAATGAATTGCAAAGAATCAGATCATTACACCCTTCGGCCCAAATCTTCACCAAGAGCTTGGAATCAACACACTTCATGCTGGTTCACAAATCCATACACAATCTGGCCTCTACCCACCTCTCTCAGGGTATCGCTTGATTACTACTCCCCTGGCTCACTGTGCTGCAGGTACTTGACCTTCCTCTTATTCTTGGAACACACCAAAATTTCTCCTGGCATAGGGACATAGTGCTTGCCGTTTACCTCTTCTCCTAGATTTTCCACAGTTGGCTCCTTCTTTGCATTCAAGTGATGGTGTAATACTGCCTTCTCAAAGAAGCCCACCCTAACTCACTCAATCTACATGGGCTCATGCTCTCCCTGCACCCTTCAGGTATAGCTCTATCATAGTTCTCTCACTGTATTCACAGCATGCATCGCCATCAGAAATTAAGTGTTTTTAAATTGTATTTGCTTGCTCATCGTCTGTTCCCTTATCCTCAGTCAGAGGGCATGGCCCGTGAAACCAGATGTTCATTTTTGTGTCCATCCCCATCGTCCCCCCTGCCTGGCGCTAAGAATATTTCCAGGCACACAGGAGATATGAAATACATATTTCTTGGGTGAAATAGGGCTGTAGGGCTTAAGAGGAATGTCTTGCATCTCCTGGACAAGAAAGGTTTTACTAAGTCAACAGCATGAGGTGTGGACTTTGAAAAAGATGTGGCAATTCAGCAAAGATGGGTGCTATGCGCACCGCAAGGAAAGGGGATAATATGAGCAAATACAAAAGGGAAGGAACCTGGAGCATGCTCAGGAAGGATGGAATAATTCAGTCTGAATGGTACACATCCAATGTGGGACAAGTAGATTGAGCTAACATTATGGAGGGTCTTCAACAACAGAAGGAAGAATGCTCTGGGCATTGGGGAACCACCAGAATGTTTATTAGCAAGGAAGTGACTCAGGCAAAGCCTAGCATTGGAAAGATGAAAGGCTGATTTAATAGTCCTAGTCCAGGCGAAGGATGCTAATAACACTTTAAAGTCACTCTGATAAAACACTAAAAATCTGCCTTTTTTTTTTTTTTTTTAAATAGAAAACTCCCAAAAGAGAACAGGAAGAGAAGAACTATGAACTTAGTGCTGTTAACTATTGGAACAGAAAGTACAATGTTACAAAGTATAAAGTTGAACATGATGATGAAATTTGTTTCTCTAATATCTGTTCAAAAGCCCTTTGCAAAATAAACACAGATTTTATTATATCAAACCACCCAATGTGACTCATCTCTTTGGAAATGTGTCTCTGGCATATTCTTTCCTCAGGCCTCAAATTCTTTCAGAAAATCAAGCAGATTAGTGGCCTGATGACAGGACAGAAGTCAGAACTCAAAATCCTAAATCCAGTTCTGCCACCGACTTGCTGCCTGACATAGAGCTTTGTGTCATTTTTGTATTTATAAACCATCTTTATGTGGTGAGTGTTTTACAAAGTAACGAATCTCTGACTAGGAAGTCATATAAATTTTCAAAATAATCACATACATATATTGAAATGAACATAAATTTTTAATGGAGTCCCTTATTAAGTATTCTTGAATTAGCCCGTTCTTGTTTATTTCTCAATCAGGCAGAGAAAAATAGAAATATTCAGAAGAATACATATATGTGTGAGTGTGTGTGTCTCAGAAACCATGGCTGTGTCCTTAAAAATTCCCAGATAACAGAATTGAAAGAAAAAAAAGTTTCTTTTTAAACGACATGATGATGTAAACACTAGGAAGTTTAAAATAACACTTGTATAAACTGTTTGAATTGAAGAGAAAAAAACACACCCCAAAAGAGTTTTGTCAGAATAAAAAGAAAATAAATCCCAAATCCTGACAGCAACATAAAAGCCAACTTCTCCCCCTTCCTTTCATAATGGCTTTTCTATTGAGCTTCATTTTGACCTTTCATTACTTTCCCAACATTGAAGAATATTGCCTTTCAAAACGCTCCATTTCTCTGCCTGTTGTACTATTATTCCTTCTCCCATTGTTGAGAGTTCTTAGCTACCGCTGTTCCAACATGCAATGCACAATCTTTGGCTTCTCCCAAACAAATATAAACCGGCATTTTTACACACTTTCCACTTCAAATTCATGCCCTGTATAAAAAGGAAAGACAATAATAAAGCTATAAACATGCCAAGAAACTGGAAACAGAAAAGTTGGTTATCTATTTTCTAGAAAAGAAACCATCGGTCTTATAATCAATCTATAACCAATGCACCCTCCCCTCCTCAGCAGCAACAGGATGTGCTGTGTATGAAAGAACTCAAACAGCCTGCATTCATTAGTCAGAGCCTGGAGGGTGGGGCGGACCCACTGCATGATCTGATTGATAAAGTTTCATTACAAATTAGCCCATCTCTTTGATAAAAACAAGCAAGGCAGAGACTGTGCCACAATTTTATCCTTATAAATTAGCCTACCAGACAAACACTAAACACAGCTTGCCACATGAGGGGCAAACTAATTTAATTAATTCATACACAGCACCTCATTAAGAGCAGTTTTAGCACCAAGGTTGTGATCTTGTTGAGCTTGCATTATTTTCCACAAAGATGCCCACTTGGTTGTCAGGGATAAAGGACCAGGATAGGGGCAAGATATGTGCGTTTGGGTAGTACTTCAACTGGAAAGATCCAGTGCAAAAAAAAAAAAAAAATATGTACAAGCTCTATCTTCCCATACTCCAAACGCATGTATATAAGACTTTTAACATAAGTCTTCATGTAAATAGGCTATATTTTGCTTTTGCTTTTGTTTAAAAAAAAGTATTCTATACTTAAAAGTGGTATCAAAAACAAATACATTTCAGCTGGGTGCAGTGGCTCACACCTGTGATTCCAACACTTTGGGAGGCTGAGGTGAGCGGATTGCTTGAGGTCAGGAGTTTGAGACCAGCCTGGGCAACATGGCAAGACCCCATTTCTACAAAAAATACCAAAAATTAGCTGAGTGTTGTGGTGTGCACCTGTAGCCCCAGTTACTTGGAGGACTGAGGTGGAAGGATTGCTTGAGCTGGGGAGGTATAGGTTGAAGTGAGTTGTAATTGCAGCACTGCACTCCAGCCTGAGTGACAAAGTGAGACCCTGCCTCAAAAAACAAAACAAATAAACAAATTTCCTCACTGACACTGTATAATTTCTATTTCATATGGTAAATGGAAAAAAAGAAAGAAATTAATTGTCGATAAAAACTGAAGATGATTACAGGGCTTCCAGAGCATCCTGGGAAAAGACACAGATGTAATGCTCTCCAGTCTCTTCACATCCTGAAAAAAAACACTCAGCCTGCAATGGGATTCTCAGACCTAATTCTTGGAAACAGCCTTCCAGGCTCCACCTACAAACCTCTAAACACGCCAACTTATGTATTTAATATTTCTTTATTGTCATATCACCTTCTAAAATAACATTATTTAAATGAATGCATGGGGCAAGACTTTACTTTCTAAACATTCTCCAGTTGTATGTAGCTTCAACCAAGGAGATTCCATGAAGAAGTGGCCAATTCCAACAATGGGTCAGGGATAATATGAGATAAACCTGGAATATCTCGTGGTACCAGAAAATAAGAAAGTGAGAGAAAAAGGAAAGGAGCACTTCAAAAGGATATGGGCGTCAAACTGAAGAGTTCCCAATGGGCAAAACTAAAACAATTTGATCAAAAAAATATTATTAGACCATAAACCATAACACAAAACTAAATATTCATGAATCTACATTGATGGAATATAACCTACTGATAATGGAAATAAATCATTGAGTATATAAACCCATAAATGAGGAAGAAGGAACAGTTCTTCCTTACAGAAAATTTCCAAATAAATGTAAGATAAAAGGGGGTAATACAAAATCTCCATGAGAATGCTACCATAATAATTACTGCAAGCAACATCTACCAACGGGTGCTAAAATTGGTGCCGAGAAGAAGCAAATATTTGCATAGTCTCACAGTATTTACCCCAAGATGTTTATTAATTCAATGGGAAAAAGCAGTAAATTTACGGTGGGGAAATGCAGCAGATACTGCCTTAATCAAATGATCAAGATTAGCATTACCAGTGGTAAAACGAAGTATATCCCCTGATATGATGCCCTGAGAAAAACACATCAATTTTACGGTATTCTGGCCAAAAGTGCATATCCTCAATCTAATCATGGGAAATCAAACCCAAACCCAGAGGCATTTTACAAAATAATTGACTAGCACTCATCAAAGTTGTCAAGATCATGAAAAACAGGGAAAGCTGAAGAATTGTCACACTGGAGGAGAAAAGGAGATGCAACAGCTAAATGCACTGTGGGATTCTGGATGGGATCGTGGATCACAAAAATAACATTAGTAGGAAAGCTAGTGAAATTAGAACAAGGTGTGTATGTTTATTTCCTAGTTTTGGTGACTATACTATGCTTATGTAAGTTGTTATGATTGGCAGAAGCCAAACAAAGCATACAAAAAAAAGTATTATCTCTGTAACTTTTCTATAAGTCTAAAATCATGTCAAAAACATTTTTTTAGCCAGGCATCATGGCTCACGCCTGTAATTCCAACAAATAGGGAGGCTGAGGCATGAGGGTCACTGGAAGCCAGAAGTTCAAGTCTAGCTTGAGCAATGACGCATGACCACATCTCTAAAATAAAGTAAGTAAAATGAAATGATTTGTTTACAAAGCATAGCTTAAAAGGATAGTGTGAGGAATTATATAACGAGGCTGAAAAATCTCACTGTAGAACCGCCATAGTCTAAATGAACAATTATCAAGACTGAGCAACTATAAACACACATGCACACGTATGTTTATTGTAGTACTGTTCACAATAGCAAAGACTTGGAACCAACCCAAATGCCCATCAATGATAGATGGGATAAAGAAAATGTGGCACATATACACCAGGGAATACTATGCAGCCTTAAAAAAGGATGAGTTCATGTCCTTTGCAGGTACATGAATGAAGCTGGAAACCATCATTCTCAGCAAACTAACTCAGGACAGAAAACCAACCACAGCATGTTCTCACTCATAAGTGGGAGTTGAACAATGAGAACACATGGACACAGGGAGGGCAACATCACACACCAGGGCCTGTCAGGGGTTGGTGGGTAGGGGAGGGATAGCATTAGAAGAAATACCTAATGTAGATGACAGGTTGATGGGTGCAGCAAACCACCATGGCACGTGTATACATATGTAACAAACCTGCACGTTCTGCAAATGTATCCCAGAACTTAAAGTATAATTAAAAAAAAAACAACACATTTTGAGTTTCTCAGAGTAGAAATTCGAACTCTCTTCCAATCAAATAAGAAGGGTACATAGAGAAAATGTTTTACTTTCTGCAACTCTAGGCCTATTTCCCTGTAGCTTTGCTTCATAGCAGTGTTCTGAATATAATTAATAATTACTCAAATTAATTGGCCCACTAATTTTTCTACAGAGCTCTTCCAATCATTATTGAACAATTTAACATCAATACTTATGTCCTTAAAATAGGAATTTATCAGACTATAGGCTACGTCAACAGTTCCATTTGTGCCTATTCTTACAGGACTAACTGGTTAGTCTTCTAAATATGAGCCCCAGTAAAATCTTTACACTCTTGAAAATAATGTCTTGTCTTCAATATATAAATGTGGGCTTTTAAAAAAATTACATTACAGGTCACTAAAAGGCTTTTCACTTAAACCTATACCTAATTCACCGATAAATTTTTTAAGAGAAAAAGTCATTTCCAACAAAATACGCAAATCTACTACTTTAAGAAAAATTAATACTATTCCAGAGAAACACAAGCATGCCACCATTTCTTTCATGACAATTCTAAAAATTAAAATATATGTACATTATTTTCAAAATGCCTACCATGTTTCCAAAATTGACATCAAGTGCAAAAATAGTAGAGAACTATATAAATAAATTGTATAGATAAACATTCAAATAGAACCTACTCTTTCCTTCTTTTTGCATACAATGGCTAATGATATAAACCTTAATTCTAGTTCCTTTTTCTTTTTTCAACAAAACATTATTTCCTTTGAGTTCACATCTGTCTTGATGAGTGGATTAAGGACCTAGCACACTGATCCTAAAGCTAATCTAAGCAAGGTGCACTTACAATATTCCCAACCACCCTGGCTACTCTCACTTTTTTTGTTTTTTCATGCCGCATTGAAGATGAGATGCAGGTGAGGAAAAAAAATACCATATCTATGTAAAGTATCACTACTCAATCCTGGGGTTTGCAATTTTGCATGAAGAGGAAGCAACAACAGATAAAAAGAGACTAAAACACCAGATTCTTTCTGGGAGATTTTTGGGTTGACTTGTAGCATCAGTAAAAACAGGTTTAAGATCTGACCATGTTATAAACCTATGCCTACATCTGGAAAAGGCCAGGCAGCCCTATTGTGCCTAATTTTCTTGTTTCATTTTTTTCTTTTAAGATTCAGAAATAATGGCTCAATCTGCTAAATTAGATCAACATCTGTGTAAAATCAGTATTGGGCTCAACAGAACTTGACTGAAAGCTTATAATGTGGAAAACCTTGAGTTGTATCTGGAACAAAGAAGAACTCACAGAAACAAAAGGGAAAGTGACATGGGAGCTTGTTGGAGAAAACGATCAATGTAAGAGAAGAGATGTGATGGAAATTAAAAACAAGAATAAGGTGGTGGTTTCTTGAGATGTTACTGAATTATGTAACAATTGAAAAAAAATAAGAGCCAGTATGTGTTATGCTTTTCATACGGAACTTCTTTTGAATATGTCCATATTTAGCCATAAGATAGATAAACATAATCATCTGAACTTTGTAAACACACCCAGAGAAAACACAGGTGCTCTGATAACAAGAAACTATTCACAGTAACTCACCACTGTTGCACAGCTAACTTCACCTACATCTGAGGCAATCAACCAGCCAAGTGGATCAAAAAGCAATTTTTTTAATTTTATGGGCAATTATTACATAACTTCTGAAACCCATACGCACTATGAGTCCATCAATTTGTATGTAAATCACTCTCCTAACAGCATATGTCATGCTTCCTTGCTTAGGAGTTTACCACTCCCACGCCTGGAAGGCCAAGGCTTGGTATGTGTGTGTGTGTGTGTGTGTGTGCGTGTGTGTGTGTGTGTGTGCGCATCACTGCAGGAGATGAGTCTAGTGCAACCCCAACCACGGCTTCTGAGAGTTTCCCTACTGTGAACACCTCGCATTATGAATATTTATAGGATTTAAGATTTTTTAGTCTAATGTAACTCCAGACAATATTTGCCTTGTAAATGGACTTTAAAACTTTTCCTCATGATATACTATTAATAACAGCAATAATAACATGACCACACCCCCTATGTGTGACCAAAAAATATTAATAGGATAGTAGCATCTTTTTGTAATCTTTTTTATCACTTCACAACAAAACATCAAAATCTTTACATGACAATAGTTACATTTTTAAAAAATATTATTTTTAATGTCTCCATATTATCCCACTGCTTGGAATACCATAATTTAGCAATGTCCCCTTTTAAAACATTTTCCACTTTTAACTATTACAAATACATGAAGCAAGCAAATCTGGCTGACAATTAACTAGAGATTAAAAAGAAAAAAATAAATTTTGAAACATTCGAAAATGAACACAAATGTTCCAAGAGGCACATAAATTTACAAAAAAAAAAAAAGAGAGAGAGAGATGCAATAATGATTACAAGAAAAGTCTTGTTTGGGGTAGTTTGTGTTTTACTGAATTGCCTTCAGTAGCATTGCTTTAGGTCCAATCATGCACAGTGAAATGAATTTACAGTTAAAAATTAATATTTTCAATACAACGTGAGACTGATGGTAGGGGTGAATATAGAATTTCATGCAAGGGGAGAGTGGCTATAGTTTGGCTCTGCAGGATTAACAATGGCATCCTACTGATAAAATCTGCTGATCAGAGCCTTGAAGAATCTATTAAAATTTAGACAGATAATCAAAAAGAAAGAACTAGCATTTTCCCCCTCCCTTTCCAATGCAACCTGTATTTCATGGTATCCAAATGGTCTTTTTTTTTTTTTTTTTTTTTTGGAGACGGGAGTCTCGCTCTGTCGCCCAGGCTGGAGTGCAGTGGCGCGATCTCGGCTCACTGTAAGCTCCGCCTCCCGGGTTCACACCATTCTCCTGCCTCAGCCTCCCAAGTAGCTGGGACTACAGGCGCCCGCCACTGCACCCGGCTAATTTTTTGTATTTTTAGTAGAGACGGGGTTTCACCTTGTTAGCCAGGATGGTCTCGATTTCCTGACCTCGTGATCCGCCCGCCTCGGCCTCCCAAAGTGCTGGGATTACAGGCATCAGCCACCGCGCCCGGCCCATGGTATCCAAATGGTCTTAATGAATGAAATAAAATTCTTCTTTACAACCCTTAATGAAATAATTGATTTAGGCAATAATCATCAATGGATTAAACCATTGGTTCCTCAACAATTGATGGTGACTCTGATGAGGGACAAATGAGGCTGTCACCACTTGAACCCACTGATCAATGTTAACATCCTAAAAATTAGGTATATAAGTAGATAATTAGGTAGGTAGATGGATGGATAGACTATGGAACCTGAATTTAATCAAACCTCGAAAGCTAATTTATAGTTCTAGGATAGAGATACTAGATAGAGAAACAAGTTAAATGACACCACAAGGAGACAAATACAGATTATGGAACACTCTATATGACAACTGACCTACTTTCTGCAACAAGTAAATGACATTAATAAAAGAGGAGAACTGTCCTCAAAGAAGAATTATAGATTTAACAAAGTTTAATATGTGGTACTTATTTGGAACATTATTTTAAAAATCTAACTGTAAAAAAGACTTTTTTGCAACAACTTAGAAATTTTCATTATGTGCAGGGAATTAGATAATCTCAGGGAATTACTGTCAATTTCATTAGGCTTTAAATAACATTGTTATGTACGAAAATGTCCATATTTTTGAAGACACCTATGGAAAGAGGGGTGAAATTGTATGGTATCTTGAATTTGCTTTAAAATACTACAGCAAAAGAAAAAATTAAAGGAGAGGATGATAAATGAAACAGTATGTCAAAATCTAACATTGAATATAATAATTGTTTATACCTTTCCATCTCCTTCTGTAAATATTTGAAAATTTCCATAATTTTTTTTTTAGTTTTACCAAGTTATACAGGAGAGCCAGCCATGAGTTGAGATGCTATGTACCAGGCAGAGAAAATGGCATCAGTGAAAACACTGACCCAAGGCAAAGTATGATGTCATCGGAGTGCAGCCTGAGGGTGGGTGGAAGGCAAGGTTGCACAAGGGAGGGCCAGGTTGCAGCAGCCTCAAGTTCCATGCTAAGGAGCTTGGACTTTACCCTGTAGGATATGGGAAACTAAGCAAGGGTTTTAAGCAGAGACTGATGGGGTTAGATTTACACATGCGTCTAGACCATCACTCTAGCAGCCCTGTGCAGAGTGGGTTTCAGGAAGACAGTGGAAAGGGGAGCAAACCTGGAGAAAAGAAGCTCAGTGAGAAGCCTACTGAAAAAACTGCAGACAAAGAACAATAAAGGAGTAAAAGAGAACAGGAATAAGGTAGGGGGCCAGGAATTAGTCACTGGAAGGGAAAGAAAGAATAAGAATCAAAGCTGGCTTTGAACTTTCTGATGGACTGGTTGACTTTGACACTGAGATACAGAACTCAAGAGGAAAGGCAAACTTGGACATAAAAGGGGTTGGGGGTAAAGAAAATGGATAAAGTCCATGTTAAGCATGTCAGGTTTGAGATTTCCGTGAGACATCCAAGTGGGATGTGCATCTGCAGCCCAGGGCATCAGTCACAACAGAGCTATAGACTGAAGAATCCTCAGAATATATGCAGCAGCTGAAACCCCAAGAATGGATGGAATCATTCACGCTGTGGTCCAGGGCTGTGTCTATCATTATCTGGCACCTAGCATGGTGTGGGGCTATAATAATCACTAAATAAATGTTGAGATTGTCCAAAGAGAAGGTGAAGAGGGCAAAGAACAGTGGGCTAAGGGCAGACCTCTGGAGGCTCAGTGTTAAGGAGTGAAAACATAAAGAGGTCCCCTGAAGGAAATAAATAATAAAGCTCAGACTAAAAGGAGAACAGGGACCATGCAGCCACAGAAACAGAAAGAACAGAGAATTTCAAGAAAGAATGAGGTGTCAACAGTGTCAAATACAGGGAATGAGGAAAAGAAAGTTCGGAAATTGCCCATTCATTGGCCAAAATTGAGGCACCTGATGATCTTAGCCTTTACACCAAATCTCAGAGGCAAATGACCTACTTTGCTCATCCTAAAAATAAAGATAAGTAGCAGCGTGATGGCCAGTCAGTAGACAATGCCACTATTTGTGTGACCATGAGCATGTCATTTAACCTTTCTATTCTTTCCTTATTTTTAAAATGAAGCCTATGAACTATATTATCTGTAAGGTTACATTCAATTCTAAAATTCTACAAAAGCAAATCCTTTGGTTTAAAGTGTTCCGAAGATAGTAAGAGCCAAGTGCCCACTTTGAGACCCATTACATTTTATGCTGGACTTCTGCTATACTCACTCTCTTTGCTTCATCTTTTTCTCTCCTACCTTTTTTTCCTCCATAGTAGTCTCCCAGTTGCTTTAGGGGTGAAAGTGATGAAGCTTCTATGAACATAAAAATGACCATGGCATTAAAGGCAAAAAAACCAAAGTGACAGATGAAGAGATATGTCAGCCTCTGAATTTATTTGTGCCAGTATTTCACAAATAAATAAGATATACTAATAAAGGAGTTTCTAAAATTTTGGGGGGGAATAAAAAGCAATTAATAGCAATAGCCAAAATGCCATTGACCCAATAAATAGTCATGAAAGCATAGAGAACTGAACCTCCTAAGCCATGGGAAATTAGATGGATGTGTTTATGCAGAATGCCCCGGCCTCTCATTAGCAAGCTATAAAAAGGCCTTCACTTGTATTTGTGTTGCTCTTCTATATGGCTGTCATGTTCTTGGCCCAGCCAGTAACTAGAAAATTAGTTTATATTACTCCAGCGAATCGGTTGCTTACTTTTGGTCTCAGCCACACAAAATATTTAAATAATTTCAGACAGATCACAGTTTAACACTGGAACCAGAAATCTATTTACAGTCATAAAGTCCAGGCAATGACTGACATTTGCAATGTTACTTTTATGGATAAATTTCAAAAATATCAACCACAAAATTTAGTTAAAAAGATCTGATTTCTCTTCACTTAATCTGTATTAAGGGCTTCACAAACAGTTTTAAAAACAAATAAGAAACATGTCATCTGAATGAGAAGTTTTGTGTTTACTACATCAGATAAATTATTCAAATAGACTGGAGTCATTTTTCTTAAATTAATCTCACAATCAGGCAACTACAGACACAAGTGTATATTCATGCTCAAAATAGATGCTTGTTCATCTTGCAGTCTACAATCAACACACAGGTGAACACAGTGTGTTTTGGAAGCAATTACAGAACATAGACTGTAGATACAAAAAAAATGAGAGGATATTCCACCCAAGGATGATAGAGCGGATAAATACACATCAACCAACAAGAATAGATGCTTTGCTTATGGCAGAGATTTTTAACTGAGGTCTGTTTCCCTATAACACAATCAACTGGTTCCAATTTTCAAATTTTTAATGATCTTGAAAGAGTTATGCCCCCAAATGCTGGTTAAGACAAATCAAATTAAACAACTAAAGGAGGGTTCATTATACAGGCAAGAAGAGAATAACCAGACAGGAAGTAAAGACCAGGTAGATAAGTAGGTAGAACACAGATCACTGGCACCAGAAGATGAATAGTTAAAAGCTATCAGAAACACATGGGCAAGCTTTTAAAAAACACGTGCCTGGGCCACAGCCCTGGAAATTCTGATAGTGCCTACATTTTTCAAAATCCACAGGTGATTATGATGATTAGCCAGAAAATCAAGAAGTCAAAGGCACAAGATAGGAGATCTGAAGAGAGGGAACGCATGCCAGATACCAGCATGATTTTGAGGTATCTGGCCTCAACAAGAATTTCTTACACACATGAATCTAGATCACGAGCTGGCCCCCAGGATATGAGTACCCACAGTGAATAGCAGGAAAGTATTCTTGGCTGAAAGGGGGAATGGAGGAAGAGAAGCCAAGGGAATCTTTTGAACGCATTCCACTTATTTTCACAGTCACACAAATCTCAGGCAGTTAATAATGACTTGCTTCACATATGAGTATCTTTCCACCCTCCCCCAAAAGGAAAAGTAAATTCTGCGGGACCAGGGAATGTGACTTTTACTTTATTGCACTAGGCTGGGTATACAGAAGACAAACAATAAATTACTATAACTACTTTGTCACAAGAAAATCTCCAGACCATTCCACCTCCCTTTCTCCTTTAGACCCCTCTCCCTTGAAGTCACATGAACCAGAAAAATTTTCTTTCAATTTTCACTTGTAAATATTCTAATTTATTTTAAATTCAACTGTTAAATGCATATGGTTTTTAATTTTCTAAATTAACACAATGCAGTGTGGTAATGTGTTCATCTCCAGTTTAATCTAGTCACACTTCTGTCACTACAATACCCAATGTTCCATGACTATGTGAAATTTCTATGTCCATTTATATGGCATTAACATGGGAATTAATGATCAAGAACTGTCCATAAACATTTAGTTTGATCAAACTGCATCAATGTATTCCTAAAGGCATATATTTTTAAAGCTTCTATGACTTTTTCAAAATCTTAATGGGATGAATTCAATAAACATTTACTAAGCACCTAGCAGGAGCACTTCTGATTCTTATCATAAATTTTAGTGAATCAGATATATATTTAGGAGGTTGCTCAATAAAAATCATGGCAATCAATAACGACATTTTATTTTTTTTAAAGTTTTTGCGGCCGGGCGCAGTGGCTCACGTCTGTAATCCCAGCACTTTGGGAGGCTGAGGTGGGCGGATCACAAGGTCAGGAGATCAAGACCATCCTGGCTAACATTGTGAAACCCCGTCTCTACTAAAACTACAAAAAATTAGCCGGGCGTGGTGGCGGGTGCCTGTAGTCCCAGCTACTCGGGAGGCTGAGGCAGGAGAATGGTGTGAACCCGGGATGTGGATCTTGAAGTGAGCCCAGATCGTGCCACTGCACTCCAGCCTGGGCAACAGAGTGAGACTCCATCTCAAAAAAAAAAAAAAAGTTTTTGCAATACATTTTAAATGATAATTTGTTATCCTGATTAAATTCAATATTAAATCAATTACTGTTAAAAACAATGAAGTACCACTATTTAAATCTATATTCCAATCACGGGGAATATAAACAGAAATAATAAGAAAAAAATCTTAAATTCTTAAAGCCTTTGCAACAAAGTACACAAACATGTAGACCTTCCTCTATGCCAGAAGTTCAGAAGCCTGAATGAACTCGAGGTAAAGTGATACTCTGTTAAGATGTCTTACATTTGCCCAATTTAAAAGCTGTCCTAAAACACGGATACTTGATCTATCTACTACTGGAATAGTAATCTACATAATTTAGAGGAAGTTGCTAAGACTGTCATAAGCTGTAAATCCTTTTTGAAATTAAGCACAGAATCCTATCTCCATCCCTTCCATTGTCACCAGAACAGAAGTTTAACAACTGCCTCTTATTTTATTTCCAGAGATCAAAGTTTAATAAAACTGAAAAATACTTAAGACTCAAATATAACACCTTTGACTTAATGAAGACAATGTAGATATATGCTCCTTTTTCCCTCTGTATCTTGGCAGACTATGTACCTCCAGCATAGTTTAAAAGGAGTGGTGGAGAGTGCAATACAACGGAAAGAGGTGCATATTCACAGGAAGTCATAAGAGCCAGATTCTAGTCTTAACTTTGCTGCCCACTAAACAGAATCACCTTGGGCAAGTCAGTCAATTGCTCTAGCATCCAATGTCTTCAACCGTAAAATAAAGGACTACATAGTAGATTATCATTCAGGTTTCTTCCAAATCCAAGAGTGCAGAATACAGGGTTATCTCTAAAGTCAAGGAGAACCTGTCAACCAGGGACTATAATCCATCCAGTCTTTTGTGTTAACTTGATAGAAAAAAACATTAGGTAGGCTTAATCAAGTTAATAAGAGCAATGGTACTACAGACAGTCCTCAACTTACGATGGTTGCACTTACGATTTCCAATTTATGATGGTGCAAAGGCAATACTTATTCAGTAGAAACCATACTTCAAATTTTAAATTTTGATCTTTTCTCATGCTACTGATATGTGGTACCATACTCTCTCATGGTGCTGGGCAGTAGCAGTGAGCCGCAGCTCCCAGTCAGCCATGCAACCATGCAGCTAAACAACTGAGGCTACAGTGCCCTGTGTTACCAGACGATTTTGCCCAACTGTAAGACTAATGTAAGTGTTCTGAGCAGGATTAAGGTAGGCAAGGCTAAGCCGTGGTGTTCAGTAGGTTAGGTGTATTAAATGTGTTTTCAACTTACAATATTTTGCATTTATGATGGGCTTATGGGGAAATAACCCCATTGTAAGTCGAGGAGCAACTGGTGTCTTTCTTAGGTACTTGGGAATCCAACGTAGTTCCTTCTAACAAATGAAACCTTCATATTTAACTCAACACAGAGGTAAGAATTGTTGGCTTCCCAAATGAAACTTCTTGTTTGTAAACTGGCATGCTTTTCTTCTAATTAAAGGAGAAGTACACTAGGGAATAATTAAAGGGCTCTCCAAGGTACACTATTCTTTACCTCTTCAACAATCAGAGGGTCAAATTCAGATCATTAGGCTTCTTTACATAATTTGTTAATATCGGGGAACATCGCAAGAATACTTGAAGAAGAAATGCTAGAGCCACTCCCCATTCTGACTTTAATTATAGTCTTCAGGATTACCACTGAGTTTGATCTGTTTAAAAAATGAAGTAAAATATCCCACTCATATGCATAGTATTTCCCCTGAAGCAAGTTCCTCTTATACTCTCACAGTGTCACAATAAGTTTGTCAAATTATTAAACTATACAATTTTAAGGATAGGAAACCTTAGAGATTTTCGAACACAATGCTTTTCCTAATATAAATGGCCAATCTCATTCTGTATAAAAAGACTTTTGCTATTTTACAAGGTAATCCTTTCCACTGCTAGACAGCTCTAATTTTGGGATGTTTTCCATTGCATAGTGGTAAAATAATCTTCATTAATATCTGAGAGTTTTTGAGAGCAGCACAAAGCCAGTCTACTATCTCTTCTACAGGACAGTCCTTCAAATAGTTGAAGAGAATTATGGTGTCCCTCCTCAGGCCTCTGAATCGACTCAAATTTAACAACAGGGCCTTTCAACAATTAGCCAATTGCTTCTTTCAATAGCATCATCAAATCACTGGCTTGTTACATCTAAACTTCACCTTTTCTTCTTTTCCAGGGAACGATTCTCAAGAAAGTTTCTATTTTAGTCTTACATACCACTTTTACATTTTGTGAATGCAGAATCCTGACAATTTTATTGAATATCTAAATTAACCCTCCAAGACACGTATCATCTAAAGATTTGTATGCATGCTTTTACTGAAGTTGCAGACCAATACTCAAAAACAGGGTAAAAATCAGAGTCCACATTCCATTAACACCGACCCACTAATCAATTATCTATGAGTTCAGTTGTTCCACCTGCCAAAAATTTACCCATATATGTTATCATTTACCCAACATTTTTCTCATTGATGGCATAAGGAAAGACTATGTCAAATATTTACCCAGCAATCCCACTACTGGGTATATACCCAAAGCAGTATAAATTGTTCTATTATAAAGACACGTGCATGTATAAGTTCATTGCAGCACTATTCACAATAACAAAGACATGGAATCAACCTAAATGCCCACCAGCGGTAGACTGGATAAAGAAAATGTGGTACATATACACCTTGGAATACTATGCAGCCATAAAAAGGATGAGCTCATATCCTTTGCAGGGACATGGATGGAACTGGGGGCCATTATCCTTAGCAAACTAACATAAGAACAGAAAATCAAATATCGCGTGTTCTCACTCATAAGTGGAAGCTAAATGATGAGAACACGTGGTGGGGAACAACACACACTGGGGCCCATCAAGGGGTGGGGAATGGGAGGAGGGAGAGGATCAGGAAAAATAACTAATGGGTACTAGGCTTAATACCTGGGTGATGAAATAATCTGTACAACAAACTCCCATGACACAAGTTTACCTACGTAACAAGCCTGCACATGTACCCTAAACTTAAAAGTAAGAAAAAAGACTATTTCAAATATTTAAAGATATGAAGATAATGCATAGCTGTGTCATGTTATTTTAGTAATATAGGAATTGACTCATTTGTATTCCAGAGGCAGTATAATGTAGAAGTTAAAAGTGTGGGTTCTGATTTCAGACTGCCTGGGTTCAAATCTTGGACCTGGCATGTGTTGTTATTTGTGTGACCTGTGAAAAACTACTTACTTGTACTATTGAATCACAGTTTTCTCATCAGTAAAACTGGGTTTGTTGGGTTACTATGAGAATTAAATGAATTCATACATGTAAAGTATTTAAAGTAGTGTCTTCCATACAGTGACACTAATTATATTTAAGTTGTTATTCGTATTATTATTATTGTTAATCTAGTACAGTGCTTTGATACTTCATTCAAAATCATTGCCAGATGTAACAGAAGATGGCTGAATAAGGAATCAGGCAATTCTACCATAGCGTTTTCTCACAGACACTCTAGCAATTTTTAAAACTAAATGGGATTATCCCAGTATACTAGTCTAATAAGTCTACCAAAAACCAAGAAACCAAAAATTGTTCTTATCAAACTGTATGCTGTCTCTTCTTTTAAAAACACAGACTTTACTTACCAATTCACCTAGCACCACAAAATTAATCAGTTTCCAGTTTCAAAGAGCAAACATTTCCCTCTACTTAAAAACCACATCAACACTTTGTCTATATACATTTCCCCGATTTTTCTCAGAATTAGAGAAAAATTGTGAGCAAGTTGCACAATTGCTCAATTACAACTGTTCAATTACAAGCGAGTTGTTTTGTAAGCTGAAATATACATTTGTCTGTGACTGGAAGCTTAAACTCACTTTAAGAGGTTAAATGTGCTCTTATTCTATTCTTTATCCTTGCGTAGGCTTCCATTTCCACCTAAGTATGCTGAATCTTTACCTTATAATTTGGAACAAAATAGACATGGAGTAGTTTTTTCTTGGCTATGGCAATTTTTTTTCTTTTCCTTTTTTTTTTTTTTTAAGCGACAGAGTCTCACTCTGTCAGCCAGGTTGGAGGGCAGTGGTGCGATCATAGCTCACTGCAGCCTCAACCTTCCGGGCTAAAGCGATCCTCCCACCTCAACCTCCCGGGTACTTAGGACTACAAGCATGCGCCACCATGCCTGGCTAATTTTTAAAAATTTATTTTTGTAGAGACCAGGTCTCACCATGTTACCCCAGCTGGTCTCTGACTCCTGGCCTCAAGCAATCCTCCCACCATAGCTTCCCAGAGTGCCAGAATTCCAGGTGTGAGCCATTGCACCCAGCCAACCATGTCAGTTTTTAATATTACAGCCCTGTGTTATCACAGTAGATTTTTGAGGGCAACAACTTCATTATATTTTATTGCCCTCAACATAAACAAGTGTATCTGGCATATGAAAGTCTCCCAATAAATATTAGTGGTATGAATGAATAAACGAGTTAATGACCCTGATTGCCAGCTCTCCTGAAGTTCCTGCCTTTCTTACTAAGCCCTAACTATGTACTCCTTCCTCTGTCTTTGATACTTACCCCTTGAAATTCTGAGCTTATCAAAGAGCTCCTGATATAGTCACACTTTTATTTAACTCCTTTTCTTTCTCAGCAGGATTATTCTCAATTATATAGTCTGAGTTACAATTTTAGAGCATCTCATCCTTTGTGAGCTATATTTCTTCTTTATAATCTCTGTACATGGAATTATAAATCAGGCAGCATTCATGGTTAATTAGTATTTTCAGCATAATTTTTGTTTTTTCTTCCATTCTTTATGTTTCAGCTTCAAAACATTTAGGTTCCTAACACTAGAAAAGATAAAAATAATAATATAAATGTATTCCTTTGTATCCTTAAAGCTTTATATTTCTGTTCCAATGCTTTAACTCCTTAATCTGTAGAATTAGTCTAAAAATCTTAATACTTACTAAACAATAAACATGAGAATAAAAAATTATTCTGAAGAACTTAAACACTCAACCTAAAATATACATTAGTTTTCAAAAACAGGCATGTTATAACTGATCTTTTAAAATCACACTTAGCAATTTAAATTATAATAATGTCTCATTCACATAGTAAGTGTTCTGGAAACCTCAGCCAGCTGAAATGGTTGCAATATGCAATTCTATCCCCCTTTCCCTTGCTGCCTCTTGACCAAAGAGGAAACATTGTGAATAGTAAATTAACAAATTCTGAATAGCTTGTAAAAAGGAAATCTACAAGAAGATCTAAAATCATTCACAACTCAACACAACCAAGCAGCCCCTAATACAGGAGGGGCAACACTTGCTGGGTGTGGTGCTTACATCCACATCAAGAGGCACAGAGTCAAAAAGCACGGGAAACACAGTGAAAATGGCAGTTACAAGAAAGGGGTCATGGGGGCAGGAAAGGACGAAGAAAGCTGCAGAAGTGAGAAGCAGGGGAAGTTATATACAATCATTGTAAGCAGACAGTAGGAAAAAAAGAGAACCATATAGGCCTTGGCAGTCCTTGAGGATATCAAGAGATCACAGCTTGAGATGATAATTAATGTCCTTAATGATTACCCTACATCACTAATGGATGTTTAACCCTGACCAAACATGTTATCTAATAAAAACTGAAACATAATTCTGTCAAAGAAAACATAATTAATTCCATGTTTTTTTTTTTTTTTTAACAATCCTCCCAGGTTTACAACTCAGCAACAGGTAGGTAAGCTTATATTCCTACACAAATCTCTCAGCAAAACATTAAAAGCTGTCCTTGTATCAGAATTCAAAAGTTATTAACAAAATCCTACAGTAAATGGACCTCTACAAAAATTTTGAAACCTTCTTTATACCAATTCCTACTATTTTCAAGTAGACAACTTCCATCCCATTGAAAATAGTGAGTAGAAAATGTAGTTTCAACGTACAATACAAAGTACAATTTAGTGTTTTGAATCTCTCACAAAATCAGTTTCTCACAACCTTCCATTTTGCTTTACATATGGTTTATTAATCAAAAATTTTATTAACACTTTAGACTTTTTTTTTTTTTGAGGCAGGGTCTCACTTTGTCACTCAGGCTGGAGTGCAGTGGCCCAGTTTCTACTGACTGCAACCTCCACCTCCCAGCTTCCAGTGTTTCTCATGCCTCAGCCTCCCGAGTAGCTGGGGTTACAGGCATGTACCACCATGCCTGGCTAATTTTTGTATTTTTAGTAGAAACGGGGTTTCACCATGTTGGCCAGGCTGGTCTCAAACTCCTATCCTCAAGTAATCTGCCCACCTGAGCCTCCCAAAGTGCTGGGACTACACGCATGAGCCACCATGCCCAGAGAGACAAACCTCATTTTAAATTAGCTTGGAAAAGCTCTATTTCATCAACGCTCAAATTCTCCCATTGTTACTTAATCAGAAAATGTTGGAAAAAAGAAGTGATAAAGAACAAAAAGGTCATTTTTCTTTCCTTCAGAAAGTACAGAGAATCACTTATATCTCAGCCAAATATATTTAGAATATTGTCAGCTCAAATTGGCATGATTGACACTACTAGATAACACCCAAAACAGACTCAGGGCAAAAGAAAGTTGTTATCATAAGCACTTTTGTGATCCATTTATTCCCCTCTGTAAAATAGGTAAGAGAATGCGCCAAGATATCACACATAGTCATTTACATACAGTATCATTTTATGGAATTTTCCAAGGTGTTAATTAAAAGTTTTAATGAATGTTAATCATCTGTCAATTTCATTGGCAATCTCTGTTCAACCATATGCTTCACTTTTACACCTGTAGGCTTTAAAAATCATTAAATTGTTTTACTTCCTTAATATGATATTTGTATTAATATTTAGGAAACAAAACTTCTGCAGCCTATACAGAAATTTTCTATAATTCTTTCGTGTGTTTTCTAACTTCCTTAAATAAGGTATGATTATGTAGGATTGCATGATCATTATACTTCCAAGAGAAAATATAAAAACGTTTATTCTTTTTTAAAAAAAATCTTTATTTTGGGTACGTGCCTAGAAAATAATGCAGAGCTGAGAAATTGAGAACGGTATGGCATCCTAAAACCCTAGAAATAAAATTCTCTCTCATTAAATCATTGTACAATTTTTGCTACGTGAATTTTTTTCTTTTTCAGTATGTTCTTATATTTAATCATTCATTCATTCACTCAAAAATATTTACTGAGCACTCTTCTAAGTTCTGGACATATAGGAATGAACAGAACAGACAAATATTTGTCTCCCCAGTGAACTTACTTTCTCTCCTTAAAGGAGGCAAGAAAATTAAGAAAATATATAGTAAATTCAAAATAGTAAGGGAGCAGAAAGAAGAGAAGGTAAAGAGGAGATGTGTATGTGTTGTTGGGAAGGGGTGGAAAGAAAGAATAGTGAAATTTTAGATAGAGTGACCAGGAAAGAACTCACTAAGTAAATAGATTTGAGAAAAAAAAACTAAAGATGAGTATACCATTCAAGATACCTGGAGAAAAAGTGTTCTATGCAGCAGAAACAGGATGTACTAAATTCCTGGGTTGGAAAAATGCTAGGAGTATTTAACAATCATCAATTGTGGATGGAGCAGACTAAGCAAAAGAGAAGGTATTAGGATATAAGGTTCAACAGGCAGGGGAATAACAAATCATTAAGGCCTTGTAGGCCACTGTATAATTTAGCTATTGATCCATGAGAGAAATGAAACCACTGGAGGCTTTAAACAGGAGTGAAATGATTCGTACACATCTTAACAAGGTCACCTTGGAAATGTAAATCCAGATTCACAAAACTCAGAGCCTCTCCAAAATGATCAATCCACAGAAAACTAGACTGAGGCACATTACAATCAAATTGTCATAAGGCAAAGACAAAAAGAGAATTTTGAAACAAGAGAAAAGTGACTTGTCACATATAAGGGGCCTATATAAGACTATAAGCAGATTTCTCAGCAGAAACATTTCAGGCCAGGAGAGAGTGAAACAATATATTCAAGTACTAAAAGAAAAAAAAAAACCTGCCAATCAAGAACAATATACCAGGCAAAGGTATTCTTTAAAAATCAAGCAGAGATAAAAAGACTTTCCCAGACAAACAAACACTTTTGAAGTTTTTCACCAGTAAACCTCCCTGAAGAAATGCTTAAAGGAGTCCTTTGAATTGAAATGAAGACATACTTAACAGTAACATGAAGGCATAAATCTAACAGTTAAAGGTAAATATATAAACATATACAGATAAATGAAACACTCTAAAGATGGTGCACAAATTATTTTTAATTATAATATAAAATTCGATAAAAATTTGTTAGAGGAGGAGAGAGTGAAAGTATGGTGGTTTTGCATGCAGTCGAAGCTAAGATGCTATCAACTTAAAATGGAAGGTTATAATGATAAGATATTTTAAGCAATCCTCAAGCTAACTACAAAGAAAAAAAATCTATAATAGACACATAAAAGATAAACAGTAAAAAAAAACAAAGCAAATATACACTACAGAAAAGCATTAAATAAAAAAGGAAGACAGCAAGAAAGGAAGAGAGGTACAAAACAACTGCAAGACAAGCAGAAAATAACTAACAAAATGCCAGTAGTAAGCCTTCACTTCTCAATAATTACCTTAAATGTAAATGAGTTAAATTCACCAATGAAAAGGCACAGAGTGTCTGAATCGATAGAAAAAAAATCCAGTGATATACTCTTTACAAAAGACTCACTTTAGAATTAGAGATACACATCAGCTGAAAGTGAAAGGATGGGAAAAGGAATTTCGTGCAAATGGCAACCGAAAGAAAGCAGAGGTGGCTATACTTTATCAGACAAAAAAGATTTAAATCTATAGCTAGCTATAGCTGTCTCTAGAGACAAAGAACATCATTATATAATGACAAAAAGGTCAATTCAACAGGAAGATATAACAATTATAAATATAAATACACCTAACATCAGAGTACCTAAATACATAAAGCAAATATTGACAGATCTGAAGGAAGAAATTGACAGTAATAAAACAATAGTAGAATTTTTTTTTTCTTTGAGACAAAGTCTCGCTCTTGTCCCCCAAGGCTGGAGTGCAATGGTGCAATCTTGGCTCACTGCAACCTCCGCCTCCCGGGTACAAGCAATTCTCTTGCCTCAGCCTCCCAAGTAGCTGGGATTACAGGCGTTTGCCACCACACCCGGATAATTTTTGTATTTTTAGTAGAGACAGGGTTTCACCATGTTGGCCAGGCTGGTCTCAAACTCCTGACCTCAGGTGATCTGCCCATCTTGGCCTCCCAAAGTGCTGGGATTACAGGCGTGAGCCACCACACCTGGCCAATAGTAGAAAATGGTAATAATTCACTTACAATAATGAATAGAAGAGCCAGACAGAAAATCAATAAAGAAAACAGCTGACTTGTAAAATACTATGAATCAAATGGACCTAACAGACATAGACGGAACTTTCTACCCAAAGGCAGAATATACATTCTTCTCGAGCAAATGTGGAACATTCTAGAGGACAGATCACATGTTAGGTCACAAAACAAGTTCTTGACAAATTTAAGAAAATCAAAGTCATTCAAAATTATCTTTTTAATCATAATGGAGTGAAATTAGAAATCAATAACAGCAAGAAAATGAGAAAATTCACAAACGCATGGAAAGTAAACAACACACTCTTGAACAACCATAGGGTCAAAGAGGAAATCAAAAAGAAATATAAGAAGTATCTTGAGACAAACGAAAATGAAAACACAACATACCAAAACCTATGGGATGAAGCAAAAGAAGTAATAACAGAAAAGTCTGTGGCAACAAGTGCCTAAATTAAAAAAGAAGAAAGATCCCAAATAAACAATCTAATTGATACCTCCAAGAAATGTAAAACCAAGCCCAAAGTTAGCAGGAGGAAAGAAAAAAGAGATCAGGTAGAAACGAATCAAATAAAGACCATAAAATAGAAAAAAAAATCAGCAAAAGAGCTGATTTTTTTGAAGATAAAATTGTAAAACCTTAGATACACCAAGAAAAAGAGAGAGAAGACCCAAAATCAGAAATAAAGGAAGAGACATTACAATGAATGCCTCAAAAATAAAAAAGATCATAAGAAACTATTATGAACAATTAAATGCCAACAAAGTGGATAATGTAGAAAAATAGATAAACTCCTAGAAATATGAGACTTATAAGAATGAATCACAGAGAAACAGAAAGTCTGAACAGATTTATATATCTAGTATAGAAGTTGAATCAATAATCAAAAATCACCAAAGAAAAGCCTAGGATCTGACGGTTTCACTGGTGAATTTAAAGGACATTTAAAGAAAAATTAATGCCAAGCCTTTTTAAACATTTCCAAAAAATTGAAAAGGAGGGAACCTTTGATATAATTTATTTCATAAGGCCAGCATTACCCTGACAAAGCCAAACAAAGATATCACAACACCACAAGAAAAGAAGCTTCAGGCCAATATCTTTGATGAATACAGATACAAAAATCCTGAGTAAAATACTAGCAAATCAAACTCAACAGCATATTAAAAGAAACATATTCTATGACCAAGTGGCATTTATCCCGGGGATGTAAGGATGATTCAACAGACACAAACAAATTAATGTGATACACACATTGCAGAATGAATAAAAATCACATGAGCATCTTATAGATAAAGAAAAGCATTTGACAAAATTCAACACCCTTTCATGACAACAACTGTCAACAAACTAGGAAGAGAAGGAAAGTATCTCAACAGTAAAAGCCATATATAAGAATTCCACATCTACTCATATTCAACATTGAAAAACTGAAAGCTTTTCCACTAAGATCTGGAAAAAGACAAGGATCCTCATTCTCACCACTTTCATTTAACATAGTACTAGAAGCCTTAGCCAGAGCAGTTAGGCAACGTAAGGAAAAAAAAAGATATCCAAATCAGAAAAAGAAGAAGTTAAATCATCCCTGTTTGCAAGTGACATAATCTTATGTGTAAAAAAACCCTAATGACTCCATTTAAAAACTGTTAGAACTAATAAATATAGTAAAGTGGCAGAATACAAAATCAACATACAAAAATTGGTTGCATTTCTATACACCAACAATAAACTGAAAAAAATAGGAAAACAATATCACCAAAAAGACAACATACTTAGAAATAAAGTTAAATAAGGAGGTAAAAGACTCGTACACTGAAAACTATAAAACATTGGTGAAAGAAATTAAAGAAATGAATAAGTGAAAGATGGCCCATGTTCATGGATTAGAAGAACTAATATTGTTAAAGTGTCCATACTACCCAAAATGATCTACAAATTAGATGCAATCCCTATCAAAACTCCAATGGCATATTTACAGGGTTAGAAAAAACAATTATAAAATTCACATGAACCCACAAAAGAGCTCAAATGGCCAAATCAATTGTGAGAAAAAAAGAACAAAGCTGGAGGCATCACAGTTCTTAATTTCAAAATATATTAGAAAGCTATGGCAATGAGAACAGTATGCTACTGGCATAAAAATAGACATGTGGACCGATGGATCAGAAGAGAGACCCCAGTAGGAAATTTGCACATATACAGTGATCTGATCTGCAACAAGGGTGCCAAGAATAAACAGTGAGGAAGGAATAGTCTCTTCAGAAAAATCGTGCTGGGAAAACTGGATATTCATAGGCAAAAGAATGAAATTATACACTTGTTTCATATCAGACACAAAAAAATCAACTCAAAATGGCATGCAAACTTAAATGTAAGACCTAAAACTACAAAACTCCTGGGAGAAAACATAAGGGAAAATCTTTGTGACATCGGTCTTGGCAATGATTTCATGGATATGACACCAAAAGCATAGACCACAAAAGGTAAAATAGACAAGTGGGACTATATCAAATAGCTTCCGTGCAGCATAAGAAGACAATCAAAGAGTGAAAAGGCAACCTATTAAATGAGAAAACATATTTGCAAACTATATGCGATGGTTAATTTTAGGTGTCAACTTGATTGGATTGAGGAATATCTAGGAACTGGTAAAGTAATACTTAACGGTTTGCCTGTGAGGATGTTTCAAGAGGAGACTGGCATGTGAGTCAGTGGACAGAGTGGGGAAGAACCACTTTCAGTGTGAGTGGGCACCATCTAAACCAGATTCTCAGGCCTTTGGCCTCATACTGAGAATTATAACAACAGTTTCTCTGGTTCTGACGTTTTAAGACTCGGACTAAGCCATGCTACCAGCACCTCAGGGTCTTCAGCTCAGAGATAGCCTGTCATGGGACTTCTCATCCTCCATACCCATGAGCCAATTTCCCTAATAAATCCCCTCCCATCTATCTATCTATCTATCTATCTATCTATCTATCTATCTATCTATCCATCCATCCATCCATCCTTCTATCCATCCTACTGCTTCTGTCTCTCTGGAGAACCCTAGCTAATACACTCTATGTCTGTTAAGAGGTGAATATCTGAAATATAGAAGAAACGTTTTCAATTGAAAAAAAAATCCTGATTTTAAAATGTGCTAAAAATTTAAATATACAGGTATATGAAAAGATGCCTAATGCCACTAATCATCAGAGAAATGCAAATCAAAACCATAATGAGATCTCACCTCACACCTGTCAGGACGGCTAGCATCAAAAAACAAAGGACAAGTATTGGTGAGAATATTGAGAAATTAGAACTTTTGTACACTGTTGATGGGAATGCAAAATGGTACACTCTCTATAAAAAATAGTACATCATGCCTGTAAACCCTTGGGAGGCTGAAGCAGAAGGATCGCTGGAGGCCAGAAGTTTGGGACTCGCCTGGGTAACATAGTGAAATCCCATCTCTAAAAGAAAAAAAATAATTAAATCGGCTGGGCCTGGTGGCATGTTTGAGATTGCAGTGAGCTAGGATCCTGCCACTGCACTCCACTCTGAGTGACACAACAGGACCCTGTCTCAAACAAACACAAAAAAAGTACAGAGGCTCCTCAAAAAATTAAAAATAGAACTATCATATTATCCAGTAGTTGCACTTCTGGGTATTTATCCAAATGAATTAAAATCAAAATCTCACAGACAAATCAGCACTCACATGTTCGCTGTGGTACTATTCACAATAGCCAATATGTAAAACAACCTAAATGACCATTGACAGGTGAATGAATAAAGAAAAAGTGATATATACATACAAGGCAATATCATTCAGCCTTTAAAATGATCCAATATGCAAAAACATAAATGAACCTTAAGCACATTGGGCTAAGTGAAATAAGCCAGTCACAGACAAATACTGCATGAGTTCATGTAAATAAGATATCTAAAATAGTCAAATTCCTAGAATCAGAGTGGAATGGAGGTTGCCAGAGTTGGGGGAATGGGAAGTGGGAGTTGATAATCAACAGGCACAAAGCGCCAGTTAAGCAGGATGAATGAGCTCCAGAGACTTGCTGCAGAATGTCTTACCTATAGTTAAAAATAGTGTATTGTGCACTTAAAAATGTGTTAAGAGGGTAGATATCATGTTAAATGTTCTTACCACAATGAAATAAAAAATTAAAAGAAAAGATTAGAGAAGCAGTAGCCAGGCCGGGCGTGGTGGCTCACGCCTGTAATCCCAGCACTTTGGGAGGCCGAGGCGAATGGATCACGAGGTCAGGACATCCAGACCATCCTGGCTAACGCAGTGAAACCCCGTCTCTACTAAAAATACCAAAAAAATAGCCGGGCTTGGTGGCGGGCGCCTGTAGTCCCAGCGACTCGGGAGGCGTGAACCCGGAAGGCAGAGCTTGCAGTGAGCCGAGATCGCGCCACTGCACTCCAGCCTGGGTGACAGAGCGAGACTCCATCTCAAAAAAAAAAAAGAGTAGCCAGTAGGTATGAAGAAAACAGAAGCCAGGTGAATGTTGCACAGCGTGGAGTGCAGTGGCACTACACGGCTCACTGCAGCCCCGCACTCCTGGGCTCAAGTGATCCTCCCACCTCAGCCTCCAAAGTAGCTGGGACCACAAGCACGCACCACCATGCCCGGCTAACTTTTGTACTTTCTGTAGAGACAGGATTTTGCCATGTTACCCAGGCCGGTCTCATACTCCTCGGCCTCCCAAATGCTAGGATTACAGGTGTGAGACACTGCACCTGGCTGGGAAGAATTTAGAGGAAAAAAATTAAACAATTTTTCCCAAGCAATTCTTCATTAAACAGATGGAGGCAAATGTGTAGTAGCTGGAAAGAAATGGCACTAAAAGAGTGTTTTTCCTCTTAAAATGGAAAAAATAACAAGTTAGCAGGTTGATGCAAAGGACCTAATAGAGAAGGAAAATTTGATGATGCAGCGGAGAGAAGAACGTGGGTGGAGTCCTGTATGAGCAGACAGGAGAAAGAGACTCTAGGACCCAGTACACATGGAAAACTCAGCCTTTACTAGGGACTCGGTTTACACATAGCGAAAACGCAAACGCAGAGTATATAATGCAGGTGGGTGCGCAGGTGTGATGAGAGAAGCTTCAAGAAGTTCTCTTTCTTGTTCCTTTCATTTTCTGGAAGAAATAGGAAACAAGATCACGAGCTGAGAATGCAGATGGGAGAGGAAGTATAACAAAAGCGCAAGAAGAAAGAAGAGTGGGCTCCCCCAACCACAACAAGCCAGGCTCTCTCCCATCACTGGGCCCAGCACGTGCTACTCCTTCTCTTGAGAATGCCATTGTCATCTCAGAATACCATCTCGTTCCCTGACCACCCCAACCAAAGCAGGTCCTGGGAACTACTGTCCGCCACATTATGCTATTTAGTCTTCTTCTTATGAAATTATCATATTTCTTTTTTTTTTTCTTAAGACAGGGTCTCACTCTGTTGCCTAGACTGGAGTGCAGTGATGCAGTCATAGTTCACTGCAGCCCTCAATCTGCCAGCCTCAAGTGATTATGCCACCTCAGCCTCCCAAGTAGCTGGGCCTACAGAGGTGCACCACCACACCATACAGTCTCTGTATGGTGCCTAGTCTGCTCTCAAACTCCTGGGCTCAAGCAATCCTCCCACCTCGTCCTCCCAAAGTGCTGGGATTACAGGCATGAGCCACCACGCCCAGCCATATTTCTTTATTGTTTGTTTTCTATCATGTCCATGAGATTTTGAGCTCCTTGAGAACAAGGGCTGTCTCTTTTGTTTACTGCTGCATCCCCAATGCCTATGAGTACCTAACCCATGGTAAGTTCTTGATTCACCAACCCATGAGCTAGCTACTGGGAGAGTTTAACCTCCCCAGAGAAGTGCTGTCTGCATGGGACATGTATTTGAGGTCAGTGTCTCTCTGTACTGTGATTCCAGATGGAGAAAGAAGACAAATAAAGGATCAGAAGAGAGAGAGAGGTGATGAAAATCTAGTCATATGTTTGTTATTACCACTTGAATATCAAAGTTAAAACTTGTTGTGCCAATGTCCTTGCCAGTTTATCTACAATGACACTCAAATAGTGAAAGCTGGTTTGGGGCATGGCTTGAATTCACCTCTAAATATGACACTGAGACAACAATTCGGTTTTCAAAGTCTACCAAATCTACTATCAGTAAGGAGGACTCTATTCTATATTTCTTTTCAGTTTTCTCTATTGTAAATTTATTTTTGTCTCCTAAAGTATTGCTTCACATAATCAAAAGAAAATAGTTGCTATTTCCTGACCTTCTCCAAGAAGCTCAGAGTCACACTGCATAGTACTACATTCAGCTTCTATGTCCAACTCTTCACCTTGTAGCTATTGGGGAAATATAAACATAGCACTAGCTAGTTTGTCAGGGGAGCTAAATGTCCTACTAATTTCTTAAAAACAAAAACAAAAACACTTTTTTCTTTAACAGAGAATGAGTGAGTCATCACAACTTGTAATAAATGTAGGTGTCAATTATTTTATGAAGAGTGAATGAAGTTTACATGATGTTTTAAAGTGACTTTTCCTTAGAGACACATCACTTACTTGATTTATGTGGCTGACACTAGCAAAACATTCATTTACAAAAAGCTGTCTTCATCACACACTTCCATAAATGCAAGTTTACGAATTTTTATTACTTTTGTTTTATTTCAGGGTCAAACATAGGGAATGAATAACCTCTGCCTGGCTCATATGCAGCATTTTCATGAGAAGGAAGCTAAGAAATTTGAGGGGACATCGCATAGTCACGTAAGACATGACTAAGATTCTCCTCTTTGCCACTTCTCAAGATCTCATTTATACAAAGTGGCAGAGTCGGCTCTGCTGGTCTTGACCTGTACATCCCCTTTTATGGAAAATATAAACAGGAATTTTTTTTTCATGGCTGGAGGTCTTTCCCTCATCTAAATATTAAAGTCTGACAAGTCTTTCCAATTTAGGGGCGTAGAATCATGTTTGCTACTCCTTAATAATTAGGAGCAGGGTGATTGATAACTATGAAAAGTTGAAAGAGTATCCTGGTGGTTGTAACAAGTTTCAACATGATCCAAAGCTTTGTCAATAACCACAAGGGGAAAAAGAAAACAGAAGGAAAATGCCTCTCTAGAGTCCTTCATTTCGGAGAGAAGAGTGGATGCTACTGATATATCACTATCCCTTGGAAAACGTCTCCACACTGTAGGTGGCCAAATGGTAGCCAGCCCATATTGCGAGAGCGCAGAATCGAGTCCAGCAAGGGAGCCAGGAAACCTGGGTCTCTGACCAGTTCTCTTACTTATCTATGTGACCTTGAAAATCTCATCCAGCATCCTCAGTGGATCTAGAGGAAGCATTTATAGGCTATGGAATAGTGTCCCAGTTCTAAAATTCTGTTTCCATCAGCTAATTTAAAGTCTTAAAGAAAAGTCTGCAAAACATTCCTGAAAGCCTGGATGTTATAGCTGACCTGTTTTTGTAGGCAAATATTCAGTATTATGATGGCTGGCATTGGTATGCTACTTTCCATTTACAATATTTATAATATTTAGAACATTTGAGATTTTACATATATCATCTCATTTATCCCTTTGAGCAATCTTGTGAAATATGTATCACTGTGTCCTTGATAAGCTAGGAAAGAAAGAAAGTGAAAGAGAAAAGAAATGAAGTAACTAGCCTAAGGTCAGAAGGAAGGTGCCATAACTGTCACCCAAGAATCTGTCCTTATCACTTCACTTAGAATTATAATAATCAGCACAAGCCCAGTTACTACACAGAAAATAGAAACAAACAATGAATATGGAGAGAATAAAAGACTCTCTGAGAAAAGAAAGATTACACGTGGCTTCCATGAATTCAGATAATACATTACTTTACCACATCGGGTTTTTTCCCCACCATTTAATTCACTGTTTTTCAGAGAAGTGAGTCTAAAATAAATTTGTCTGTAGTGGCAAATTTCCTAAAACAAATATTAAACACAGCTACTGGGATCTTTGTAGCATGTTATCAAAATAATGAGATATAAATACTCAATTTATATACCACATACCTTTTAACGAAAAGAAAATATACACATCATCCCACAGGCCTGAGCTAAAATTTGTATTTACATTACTCAAGAAAAAGAAAACAAGAAGCAGAATCTTAGAAGAGTTCAAAGATGAAGGTCATGGGAGATATCGTCAACACTTGGTGGTACCATCAGGAATCTTACTGCAAGCTGTAGAAGAACCAAAATGAACAAAATGCAAAAGCAGACCTTGTAATTTTTTTCAAGAGTTATCGCTTGCAGAGCTAGTGCTATTCTAGTTAAAAAGCCATACAAGGCTGGGCGCGGTGGCTCACGCCTGTAATCCCGGCACTTCAGGAGGCCGAGGTGGGCAGATCACGAGGTCAGGAGATCGAGATCATCCTTACTAACATGGTGAAACCCCGTCTCTACTAAAAAATACAAAAAATTAGCTAGGCGTGGTGGCGGGCGCCTGTAGTCCCAGCTACTCGGGAGGCTGAGGCAGGAGAATGGCGTGAACCCGGGAGGCAGAGCTTGCAGTGAGCTGAGATCACGCCACTGCACTTCAGCCTGGGCGACAGAGCGAGACTCCGTCTCAAAAAAAAAAAAAAAAAAAAAAGCCGTACAAGTAGGACTTTATCAAAAGGTACCCAACATATGAACAAGTGATCATAAACCCATCAACAAAAATAACTACAAATCTAGCTGCAGTACTGGTTATTCTACATTTCATCAACACAAGGTATGAACAACTAACGTCTATTTGAATGTTACAGTTTACAAAATGCATTCACATAATTAACTTATTTTATTCTCACAAAAAATTCTACGCACTAAACCTAATTTTACAGGCAAGGAAAGAAAGAGTCAGAGTTCAGTGACCTGAGCATAGTGACCTAGATGATGTCGTCGGATCCTCTCCCTACAATGCTGTTTCTGAAGTAGTAATGAAAAAACTGGGTTGGGATATATTATGTGGGTAATAGCTACATTTATTTAAGCCATTATAAGGTGGGAGAAGTCTATAAAAATAATATGTAGAGCTCCCCTAAACCCCATCTCTACTAAACATACAAAAAATTTAGCCAGCTGTGCTGGCGTGCACCTGTAGTCCCAGCTACTCAGGAGGCTGAGGCAGGAGAATCGCTTGAACCCAGGAGGTGGAGGTTGCAATGAGCCAAGATTGCACCACTGCACTTCAGCCTGGGCAACAGAGTGAGACTCTGAAAAAAAAAAACACCCTAGTTTTCATTGCCTTCTCTACTCGTATCTAATATGCAACTGCACTCCAGCCTGAGTGACAATGCAAGACTCCATCTCAAAAAAAAAAAAAAAAGATTAAATAGCACTCAACTATTTTATTTTAATCCAACACTCTCTGTTGAACCTACTCTTGCTTGTGTCAACCCTTCTAATATTACTCATTGTAGTGGAGAATTCCAAAAATCTCTGGGGATGTCACAATGAGGAATCTGGACACAGTGATAGCTGAGATCTACTCTGAAATGAATATCATATGATCTGGTGAATACTGAGTTTCTTACTAAATAAATCGGCAAAATTATGGCCTTTTAAAATTTATGACTATATAAGTTAGTTGTGAAACTCTGTACACATGATTGTGTATATTTCTTACTGTTTATCCGTGGAAATTATCTATTTGCAAGCAACTGTGCTAGTCTACAAGTGACCAGACTGGTCTTGAAGAGCCAAAAAATAAACTCAAATGAAGAAACTCCCTGAAATATGTTTTGCTACTATGAAAATTGGAGGCATTTCTGACCAACATTAAGCAGGAAAAAAAAATCTACATTTAAGATATTTAGGCTCTGGAAACATTGGATTATTATCTGAAAACTTAATATGAGACACAAAAAGCCACTGAAATTATTTTTTCCATTTGGACAACTTAGCTCAGAATTAATGGTTTTGAAAGACCCTGTGCATTTTTCATAATTTGGAAAGGACAGGCACACCAATCTAAAAATGGACACATTTTTGCATGTCAGTTATAACAGATGCACACAAAAACACATGAAATATATTGTGATTATGACTATACTATATATAGTTATAGTATAACTATAAAGTAATGTAACATATTTTAAACCTATTTTAATCCTTCACAGACAAATAAGTGTGGTCCTTCAAAGAAGTGAATGTAAGAAACTATATACTCATTTCTCTGTTGCTACTAGTGCTTAAAATACTTTTAGAGCCCCTGTTTTGTAATCTTCCAATTTCTGAGTGACCCAAGAAAACAGGTGTGTTACTTGAGCTCCACAATTTGTGTTGCCCTCCTCTGCTACCCCCACCTTTCATTGCCTGCCTGCTTTATTCACTGGACTTGGTCAAATATCTTTTGACCATTTTCAAATATAAAGCCTTCCTTCCAAGTAAGAAAATTTGCCCGCTGAGGTTATCAAAAGAGTACGCCTCAGGCTCTATGGCAGCTCCAAAGTAGAATTCCTGAATATTCTGAGCAATTTCAGTCGTCGGACCTCAAGGCAGGACAGAGAAAGACCTCAAAATTAGCATGAGGACTTTTTCAGCAGACCAACTATTTAAATTGACAATAAAAGTTGGACAAAATGGTCAACTTTGTACGTAAGCCTAATGAAAGCAAATATCAAATGAAAGTAGAAAAAATACAGCTTGTTAAAACAGGAGCCGGGGAGGTCTTTTTCTTCCCTGCAGTGTAGAAAATAATCCATTTAAGGGGTGTACCCTTTTTCTATCTATGTAATACTCAATTTATCTATCCTTGTCTGACAGACTCATACTATTGCAGAAAACCAAAAGATCTAGGTTTGGGTGGGTACCTGGCTCCATATCTTTCTCTGTCCTGCCTTAAGGTCCTACTACTTGGAATCCAATCCAGCCACTATATCTAAAACCAACTGATTTGAAGCTATTGCCTTCTCAACATGCAGACTGACCCAAACAACTACGTGGGGGTCACTGAAGAAACAGAGAAAAATGCACTGATATGAACAAAAAAGACACTACTAGTCAGACTTTGCATCAAGTTTATATTCCCTCCAGATTCCTGAAGAACGTGGACACAGACCCAGGAGCCATTTCATCAGGATGCATAATGTCAAACTCCCTGAAAGGGGGAGACAAGACAAGGACGATTTACAACATTACCAAGTGGGTATACTTTAAATTTTCAGTGAGATCCTGTATCTAAAACAAATTCACCAATAATGTCTGGCAAAAAAATTAAAATGTTATAGAACTGATTCCAAGTAGAACAGATTACTGATAAAAGTGTCATTAGCAATAAAAAGACTAATGGCCCTTCAGACTAAAACTACCATTTTCTATATGCTTCTAACTCCAAGAATCTGTTCCTAAATGATTTCATAATGAAATAAGAAGTGTCATATAGAAAAGCACTCTGTTTGGAGGACACTAAATGAATCACAGGGTTTTCAAAGCGAGCGTCATAAAATGAGTTTACTAGCAGGTAACCAGAAACTACATGACTTCTAACTACTGGAAAACCACCAGTAGCCTCTCAAAAGAGAAAACTCAGAATTTCAATAAATCCTTTTACTGTACCAACTATTTCCATTATAGCAAGGTAAATTGATTTAGAAGTCTATATCCTCAATGAATTTCTAACTTTTCAACAAATTATCACTTAAAATTTCAATACATTATTTGTTTTCTTCATACTTGTGATATATAGATGCATTTCTAGGTTTTTTTTCTTTCCAGGGCAAGTTAAGAATTTTTTGAAAGACATAATGAATATGATATTCTGTTGGAATTAATCCATGGTCAATTCCATTTTGTAAGGAGCTTGTTCCAGACAAAAAGATGCCAATTCCCTAAATGAGTTAGACTCGTTGACATTAGAACTCAGAGATTCTCTATCTTGGATATGGAAGATAATTTGATGTTAAGTTCTCACATACACAACGTATTTCTGATGATACATGGAACACAGGCTCTTTATAACAAATACCCTGAAGATCTTTAATTGGTAGTTAGGAAACATGCTTTTCCTAATCATCAAGTCTCTTAAATATTATGTTTTTAAATATGCATTTAGGGAAACTAATGAGGTAAGATATGAGAGGGATAAAGAAGGTATGTTGTTTTCAAAATTAAAATTTTCAGGACATCAGTCCAACAGGCATAAAACAGCATAAAACAAATAACTAGATAATCAAATAATAAAAACAAACTAGAAGTAATATGAAAGCTTTTTTAAAAACTGTTATTGCACATATGCAATAATTACTTCCATAAAGACTTTTATTATACATTTGTTTTTATGGAATCATAATGTACAAGTGCATGCTATTGTTTAAACACATTCACCACATACCCCATAACAGAATATGATGACAATATGTATTAAGGATAATACAGAAAATGTAGCTAAATGCATTCTGTATTATGGTTCCATATTACAGAATGCAAATGGTTCTGACTAAGCAGACACAGGAGACAGTCGTTAGTGTGCACGCTGTGAATGTATATTATGAATAATGCATAAAACTTGGCTAAACCCTAATGAGTCCATTGACATCCTATGGGGTCCAAAGGAGGCTCAGATCCCAAAGCATGGCCCTGTCCATTCCTACCCACCAATCATTATAAAAAAAGATACTGTGAAAACAAAGGATATTAAACAACACAAATATACTCTCATTCTAGGTAAAGGTTTTGAAATAAGCAGAAAAATTGGAAGAAACTTTGAAAAGAGAGCTAAAAGTCCATCTTACATCATCACTCCACTTGCAGTTTTTGAAAATTATCCACTGCAATTCAAATGGGACAAAAGCTGCAGTTGAGGGTTTCATGTTATTTCTTTTCTTTGCTTTTTTTTTTTTCGGGGAGCTACTATTACAAGCAAGATCTCAGCAATCCCTCAGAAAAGTGACCAAACTCTTAGACCATGGTGGTAGAAAGTCTTCTTTCTTTGAAAGACTAATGCTTACAAAATAAATTATAGTCAATAAAATAGGGAAGTAGATATAATATGTCTAAAAGCATTCTTTAAGAAACTCCTTAAAATTCTGGTTTTTACACAGCTTTTTAAGGAATCAAAAAAGAATGCCATGAGTACATTACTTACAGCACATTTTTTAAAAAATCAATGTTTTTTCCAATAGCCATTAACTAGAGACTCTTAAAACCTGAGTCCTTGAAAAGAGAAAGCATAACATCTATTATCCCTACATGAGTGTACCCCAAGATGAACACCTACATGGGTATGTTTAACGTGTTCACTGAGCCAAAAATGCAGAGCTGAGCAAGCTGTGCTTGAGATGCACAAATTAAGTATGTGACAGAAGTCTGTGCATCCAAAGCCTCTCCTAGGAGTGGGGCTGGGAAAGCAAGGACAGCTGCTTCTTCATGGTGCTCCCAGGAGTGGGTGGGAAACGGGCATTCTGAGAACACATCCCCAGAGTCCAGAGGGGATGCGAGGGCTGGCCACTTGGGGAAGCAGCAAGCCAAGAAAAACCCTGCACTCTCAGAAAACATGCAAGAGCAAAATGTCGAAGTGAGAACTGGAGTTAAAATTCTGGGATGGAGTTCTTGTCAATTTGCCCAGCTCCATGAGGTTTTCCCATCCCTTTACCAGGTACAACAACCAGACCCAGCCAAGGCAAAGGCCCAAACTGGAAGCCACCATGGAGCCCAAGGCATGAAATGCATAACCACCTCCATCACTGAATTCTAAAATGCAGGTCATTTACCATCCCATATTTGGGCTAAAATCGGCTCTTGGCTTAGCTTTACTGGGAATTTAGCCTATGTGCTGTGAATAGAGGGCTCACTGGAAGACCCCTTCTGCAAAATAATACTGTCATAGTTTTCCCGTCTCTCCTCACCCACATAGGCAGAAATACTAACTGTAAACATTGATGAAAAACAACCCTTCATAAGTTTCTATTTAAAGTACAAATACTCCTGGGTATAGCTTAGAAAAATCATGATAAATTTGTTTGTTTTTAATTTGCTTTCTTTTGTGAGAAGAACTAGGACAATAGAGGATGTCTTAGTATGTTTGGGGTAGTTACCAAGCGATCTGAAAAGAGGGTAAAAGGTTAGAGAAGACAGGACACACTGACAGATTAACTTTGCTTGCTTTTCCAATTGCAGTAGCCCAGCCAAGGATTTTGTGATGAGGAATTAAGAGTTTTAACAGACTCTTAAGGTTGAAAACTTTCTGGACACTATATCATTATTTTTGTATTTACAGCTGGGTAAGCGCAGTCACTGTTGCTAGAGCATGAAGTATGAAAATCATACAGAAAAATAAGGTATCTGTTGAAACTGCTTCTGCTGTTTTCCTCGTTCTAAAATTTGCCTCATATCAAGTGCAATAGAACAAAGTTCAGTTCCTGATAGAACCATTCCATAAAGCTATTCTGCCTCTGAAAACCATTCTCTACCACGGCTGGTCCCAGCTCCACTATAAGCGGCTGACAATTGCTTCCCCCGCCCCACCACCCTGTGTTCCTTCACCCCCTCCCAGATGCCACCAAAAGAATCACAGAAAGTCTCTCAGTAGCACTTTGCTTCTCAGCAGGAAGCTGTACTGTTTGTGATATCCATTTTGATTCAAACCTAAATTAGGCCTCTGGAAATAGGTAATGCACAAAAAGAAGCATTTTGTGTCACCAAATTATTATTATAGGTTACTGTTAACCCTTGGAAGATAGAGGTGAGCTCCGTAGCTCCCCACTGAGGTGACTATTTGTCATGAAATCATAGGCCCTACCTCAAAAGATGTTTCAGGTGAGCTTGCAATAAGGCAAACTGTCTAGTTGACCTATAGGATTCTGAAAGCTAGTTTAAGTGGGAAAGCTAAGAGAAATGCCAGTTAAACAAAAGGATCAGCACAGCATGGGGAACCAGCAGTGTGCTAGCACAAGTTTAACAGCTGACAGCACCTAGAGAGAGATGTCGGGATCAAGGCATTTTACTATCAGACCGATTTAAGACCCTTCCCTTCAAAAGCGCTCCTTGCAAAGACTTGTAGGGTTTTGAGGGGCAAAAGTTCAGAGCAACACACATTTTTTTTTAAAGAGGTCATTTGCGATCAAACTGTCAACGAGTCCTATTAAAATAATGAATTCCAGTATGGAATATGCTGATGCTTCTATTTTTTCATACAGTTTAGATAGTAAATAAATTTTACTTTTGAAAATCCCTGCTCAAAAAGTTAAACTTCTGGCCCTAATTAAGATTCAGAAAAGTCTCAGAGCTCACCCTAAAAGTACTCCTGCATTACAATCCTAGCACCAGTTCTTGAAAACCTTTGTCATTTTTACTTTTTCTAATTTAAGCTTTGTAATCTGTGATTCTCCCATATTCTTCATCACTACATTAAAATAAGCAGCATTCGTAATGTTATTTATAAACACAGCTGAATTCAAGGATTCAAATCAAAGGCAACTTTCTATCCACCTATATTAGGGAAAAAAACATGCAGAATATGCATGTCATCTTCTCGTCATTCAGCACAACTCGGGTTCCTTTCTGATTCAAAACTGTAGAAGAGACAGTCATCATGCCACACAATAATATTAGCTTTTCATTCTTCCGTGTGCATTTTTACTCTGTTTTGGTAAAAATATTATCACGTGCTCCTGGCTTATCTCATTAAAATAAATAGACATGACTGAATTCATATCTCTGGAGACACAGTAAACACAATGCAAAATGTAATTCCTCAAATTGGAATAACTGCTCTTTATTGAATAAATAACTAAATAATTAAAGCTTCTTCAAAGTGAGTATCATAGGTTGATGATGAAAAGTAACAGAATTATTCTGCAACTGGTAACATGGAAAAATAAAACAGCTGATAAGAACAACCAAAGTTTTACAGGGGGTTTAGCAGACTCTGGATCCTAGCCAAATTTCATAGCTGCCTAGAGTTTTTAGCTGAGTATCTAAAATTTGAAGGCAGAGTCAGTGTTCCTCTTGCATTTCCTAGACACAACTCATAAAATGATAGGTTCTTTTTAATGTCTAAGAATCTTGTTTAGTTCTCATTCTGCTCAGCAACATAATCTTCAGACTGAGGAAATGCCTGTTGAATCCCGTCAACTGCAGTATATAACATTTTAACATCAGAAGTCCTGGAACCACACACCTCAGGGTCAGGCCAGCAGATTTTCCCAATGCAGTCTCATTCAAGGAATTGTGATTAGCTAATGACTTGGTTTGCTTAGGTTATCTAGCTATCATCTGAATGCCAGCTACTGAGAATAAATCTCTTATGTTTCCATGTTCTAAGATAATTCCTCCATTCAAATACTCAACGCCATTTCATCTAGTCACAGTTAAAGCACCTCCCTGTTGACAAGGCATTTTCTCGAAAGTTTCTGCAGACTATTTGTCCACACTGTACATACCTGCTCAGTCCATCCCCTGGGAAGTTGCTTTTGCCATAGCTTCCTCTTTAAAAATATTCCTACACCCATGCTGGTTTTGTATCTGTTCAGTTCAAATTTAGATTCATTGGTACTTTTCCACAGTTACATTTCTTGTTCGATTGATGTTTCCTTTTATTTATTCTGAAGTTTTCGATGTAAGACAAACAGGAATACCACCTTCTAAAATTACTACTATCCTACCATCCTCCGATGGAACATTAACGGGAAGCAATATTCTCCAAAGCTATGAAGCATACACTGCCCTAAATTACATTGCAGTCGCTGCCCTGAGCTCACACATTTTTGAATAGAAAGGCTCCCAGGGATCTCTCTGTACTGACTGCATTTACTGCTTTAAAATATTTTTAACCCAGACGCTGAAGTGCCAGCCTTGCAGTTCCTCATGCTAATCCCAGCTTGGGTGGCTGTTCTTAAGGGAAAGCATTCAAAACATTGTAACAGTGCATCAACTTTGACCCTTTTCACTTAAACATGAGACTCTTAAAAAAAAGTTTGAATTCCAGAGGGAATCACTGAACTTTGACCTGCTTAAAATTAGTTTTGTTTTAGTGCCTTCACGGTGACTCAACAGGCCAATTTTCCAGACACTTAAGACGTTTCTGCCCCTGAAGATTTCAGTTCAAGTCTACAGCTATGTTCGCCGGTCAGATCAGAACACTTTGTCCCAGGGTTTCAAGCAACAAATTCCCAGATCTCCATCTCTCTGCCAGATGTTGGCATTACTTGGTATTAAGCTGGATCTAAACACACACACACACACACACACACACACACACACACACACTACACGATAAGAAGACAGACTCTAATATTTTTTTCTTCCACTTAGAGCCTTTTAAGAAACAAAGTTTTCCACTCAAAATTCAGTCATGGGGAAATGTTTATCAGAATTGTATAAACATTACTTACTAGCATAACTCCTACAACACTAAAACTCTTAACTTTCGGTTAGCAGTACTATGACATATTTAAAATATGGTCTTTCTAAATCTATCTTTATCAATGGGGAAAAAACACGCTGGGATTTTGTTTTCTAATCTATTACAGATTTTAGATATTGTTAATGAACAATTATCACATCACAAATGAACAATATCACACTGTTATACTTTCTTTCAGTAGAATTTCAAATATGACGTTTGTTGTCAAAAAGTCATGGCAATTAATAAGTAACATAAATTTACCAAAACACTAAAGGTATAGTGCATGTTCAGTATGATTTAGTCCCCCAAAACTCATCCCCCCTTTAAGAAAACAAAACTTTACAAAAACAAATTAGCCAATTTCATTAATATAAACCAACGTGTTTAAAAAGAACAAAGTACCTATTAGTTTGGAACAAGTCCTACATAAACCCTGTGTTTAAAAATGTTTAGAAAAGTCAAGGATACATGCATTCAAGTAAGAAAAAAAACAACTGGGTAGTATGAAGCCAGAAAACAAAGAAATTTTAACACAGGTAGTTAACCAGGGTAAAATAATTACTATAAACACAAATTAGTCTGTATAAATCACATATCATGTTAAACAAGAAGTCATTATTGTCTCCAACTGTTGAGCTACCTTTATTAAAAGGTGATGTTACAAAAGTGTGTTCCAGAGCTTCATGTTCAAACACTGGTTTACACTTAAATCTATCAACTTTCAAAAAGCTACCAATGATATTCTTAAAATATAGACATTTGATCCCTATTGTAATGCACTAAAGCTGGAAGGCAGACATTACAAAGATGGTACAGGGTCACAAAAACTGACCACAGTAAAATTATCTTTTAATTGTTTGCTCTCCTTATACTCAGAAAAGAAAAACTACTCACCTAAGTCTCTCTGGCAAACATTTCCTTAATTTCCTACATATTTAAGAAGGAACACAATAAAGATGTTCAAAGTGGGAGGAAATGGTGAATTTCTGGATACGTATATTAATTTAGTCCTACTTCATTTTCATTTTACTCATAAGTCATTCAACACATAAACACTGAATGACCGCAGAGTTCTTAAAATAAGAAAACATTTGGAATTCCTTCCAGTTATGTTACATTTCAAGCACATGTAACCATATGCGTTCTTTACTGATGGCTAAGAAAATAATTACTTATAGTTTTGAAAACTGGGTCAATTATTTATATGAAGAGGTGAACTGGAATGAAAATTCCAAGTGCTATGAACTAGTGCCTTCAAATGACATAAAAATTAATATGCATTATGTAAGATGCTAATGAATACACATACTTACAGATCAGACAGTCAATGGCAGTATTTAAATAAAATTATACTGAGATGTTCTCACGTAAGGACCTTATCTGAAGAATCTGCCAACATAGGATTAGCATTGTAGTTACTTAATCCTTTGTTTTAATAATAAAATATACTGCTAATTATGTAAGGTATTTGGCCTTGCATTCCAAAAGACATATTCGCATTTTTCTTTGTATACGTTGTAAAAACTAATGCAAGGTAATGTGACTTTTTTAAACAAACATACCTTGTCATCTAAGTTCAAATGTATTTTACCATGTTAATGGTCACCTTAGAACACTACTCACTTAAAGATCAGCCATTATTCACAGTATTTTTCTCTCCATCTGAAACTGTTTTCTAAGTCTGTGCACACATATGCAAGCACACACACTTCTAAATATCCTCAATGGTGACAAATTTCATAATTTGAAAGTCAATTTTAGCCATTTTCATCATTTCAGAGAGACATTTATAGCCAATTCTGGTGAATTAAAAAAGGATGATGAATCTTGGTATAAAATGCGATTAGAAAGTAATGAGATGGATGTTTTAGTCAGGCTTGCAAATGATTCAAAAGACAATTTCGAGAGAGGAAGTTTTTCCAAAATGTTTTGAACAATGGCATCATTGGAAAAGGGGTTTTGCTTCTCTGGGTGACAATTTTGAAAACAACATTAATATGAATGCATAAATTATAGTGCAATCGTTGTTTTCAAAAATCAAACTCTGTACTTTGCAATCATACCCTGCAAATATTAAATAGAGCAAATCTACATTTTTCCTGTAGATGGCTATGTATGTGTATTCTGAAGCTTCCATTGGGTGAAACTAACCATAAGTTGCATTGCAAAATATCATATATAATATAAACTTAACATAACCCTTTTAATCTTTCAAAAAATATGGCATGCAATTTTTTAAAACCCTATTTTCATTGTCAGATATTTACAACAAGCCCCAGTCTGTAGGCTTCTATAAACTTTTCTCTCCTATAAACAGTCAAAATCTGGCAAGAGCTCACTGTGGGATTATGCACAAAAACTGCAAATTTAAACAAGGTGCGAGCTTATACTTTTTCACACATTATTGTATCATGCTGCACCAGAACACTAATGTATGCACAGTTCCAAAATAGCCTGGGCTATTACTGCACAGCCTTGAAAACTACTAATATCCTGATGAGAGCACCTTTCAAAAGCTGCTCCTTTATTATTGCACTTCGGTAAAAGGTTGCTTTCATTATTTGTATTTTACAATAGAAAATAAACGAAGAAATGTCCATGACATTGCATCATCATTCTAAGGTTTTATTTCTTATTAGACTTTTTGTAGTTACAAAAGTTGTTTCATCAATATGACTATGACAATGGGACTCAATACTATTTAATCGACTCAATTATGGAACAAGTGTGCTATTTTTCCTTAGCTGCCCTACTTTCCTTTAAGTTGCATTTGAATTATTGATGAAATTGCAATAAAGCATTTCTTTGTTACACATAGTTTAGAAGTAAAGAAGGATGTTTCATGGTTAATTTTTAGACTCACAGGGATAAAATAAACACACTTGTTGTCCTTTCAAAGAAAGTCAATAGCATGGTACAAGCTTAAAAGAATGACTTTTCCTTTTTTCCCCTATTGTTTTGAGAACATAACGTGCTGAAACAGTGAACATAAATGTAAAAGGAGAAAATGGTAAGTAAGAGTATAGTATAGAAAATTCTGTTCCAGGTCTTCCTAGGTGATAAAAAAATTTAAACTACGATAAATTTAGGCTCTGCTTTTCCTCAAGTATTTCAAAGACCCATTTAGTCACGTAGCAGGCCACGAAAAACAGTACAGTGAATAGTTTTCAGAATAAGGACAACATTTCTTACTTAGGCTACTAGGATCACTACCTGATGTCCCTTCATTCTTTTTTCCAAACAACAGCCAGAATAATCTTTTTAAATCATAATTTTGAATCTTTTAATTACTCTCCAATGCTTTTATGATTAAAAACCCAAAGGCTTAAGAGGACCTACAAGATTCTATGATATATGACCCCTGCCTCCTCCAACCTCAACCTTCACAGCCTTGGCCCTTCTTTTCTGTGCCCTGGCCACACTGCTCTCTTGATCCCTTAACAGTCCAAGCTTTAGCCCATTGCAGAGATTTGTACGTGCTGTTCTCTATGCTTACTCACCCACAACTTCTCCACCTAGTTGGCCCTTAGTGCTTTTCATACCATAGCCCAAATGGCTCTTCCTCATGAAAGCCTTCTGGGACTTTCAGAATAAAACAGGCTACTCTATGTATCCTTACAGCTGCCTGTACTTTTCCTCGATAATACACTCGATAGCACTTATCACTATACATATTTATAATACAACGTTCTTAGCCCACCTACATTCCCCAAGTCGCCTGAGAAACTAATGTGCTCCATTTCTTCTGCAAAATATACGATAGGCCTACCTGGCACCTGAATGGCAGAAAGACTCCTCTAGTAACCCACACCATCCTGCTCTCACCACTTTAATTGTCTGCTTCATCCCAAGTCTGCTTATGTCATTTGTTATTGTAATCATGAAAATTAACTAAATATGACATAATTAGGGAAATATAAGGGCAAAAATGAATGTTTTATTGACACCAAATTGAATGCTTTGTAAAGACGAAAGGCAAATTGTTTATAAGAACCACTATATTAGTTGTCACCTTCGTAACACTGGGATGAAAATGTTTTAAAACTAGAAAATTCTGCACTTAGATTGCTTGCCAAATGCCTTCAAGGTCTCCTCCATTTTTAATAAATCAAAACTAAGAAGCATTCAATATATATTTTGGTGTGGCTTACCCAAGAAGATAATGAGTCTTCACTCAGGACACCCATACTTAAGTCTGAGTTCTATACCAATTAATTGGCAAATTGATAAACACTGATGAACAATGAAACATTGATAAATTAATAAAGCACACATGTTAAATATACTAAAATGTTTAATGTAAACAGCATTTATTTAAGATTCTATGCATTTGTGATTTTTAAAAGAATGAACAGTCCAGCTACCACTCACAACAACACTGGAGGAGAGAGCATCTCTCTAGTCTATTGGTATGGTCAGCTGACTCACCTCCATCTTCCTCATTAGACTGGAAGCTCCGTAAGGGTAAGGACCAAATCTCTTCTGCTTACCATTGTAACCCCCTTACTCAATTCATGTGTAACCAAAAATGGACTTTCAATAAAAAAGGTTTAAATGAATGAATAAGAAGTTAAGATTAATCAAATACAACGCTGTTTATTTTAAATTACTATGAAGATCAATATGTGGCTGGGCATGGTGGCTCACACCTGTAATCCGAGCACTTCGGGAGGCCGAGGCAGGAGGATCACTTGACATCAGGAGTTCCAGACCAGCCTGGCCAACATGGTGAAACTCCATCTCTACCAAAAAATACAAAAGCTAGCCAGGCATGGTGGTACGCGTGTGTGGTCTCAGCTACTCAGGAGGCTGAGGTGGGAGAATCACTTGGACCCAGGAGGCAGAGTTTGCAGTGAACTGAGATTATGCCACTGCACTCCAGCCTGGGTGACAGAGTGAGACCCTGGCTCAAAAAAGTTTTTAAAAATCAGTATGCAAATGCAAATAGTTATAAAGCAATTAACAACAAGTAAGGATGGAGTTACTTGAACATTTCAAGTCATAATATTCTTTTGAGAGACAGTCTACACTCAATAATGGAAAGATCATTTGTACGTATATTTTTAAAGAATCTTAATTTTATTATTTTAAAGATAGCACACTAGCATAACAAGGTTCTGCCTTTTAACTTATGAACTATATTTAAGATTATGTGATTAGGTTTCCTTAGGGACTGAACCATGATTACCATATCCTTATTAAGACATCTATATACTGGTTCCAAATCCAGCTACCTTTTAATTTTATCCATAATGAAAAGTAATAATAATGCTACCCGAAATGTATTTATCCCCTTTCTTCCAAGAAATTTAAAGCAACCAGTATCTCATGAGCAGGTACTGTTAAATATAAAAACAAGAGAACATAATTGAAATGGATTTTTATTAGCAAAATAAAAGATTTTAATAAGGAAGCTATCTTAAGTTCAGGCACAAGATGACTCTAGGATAATTCTTATAAACTCGTCTGAGTTTTACCAGGAAAGTGCTTATAAATATTTAAAATTCCAAAAAGATGGGTAAGAACTTATTATACATATGGAAGGTATTGTGTTTTCAGTTTTTCTATTGCTGAGATGACACTAATAAAGATATCTTTTCATTATTGCATTTAACTGATCTATACATTGATAAATCTGAAAAAAAGAAACAATGGAAGAACATTCAAAAGCATTCTGGGATATAAGGCAGGATATGGATCATAAATTAGAGCCAGATATACAGAAGGGTAATGGTGTCAGTGTGGCCCCAACCTTTTAGTTAATTGTGGGGAATTGCTAAACAGAAAGAAATGCTAAGTCATTATGACCCTGGCTAATGCAAACACACACACAGATATACACTCACATGCATACACACACACATTCCCTCCATGATTTAAAAAAATATTTTAAAGCATCCCAATTCTATTCTAAAACCTAATTTTTCTTCAGTTCACTTTTTAATACTTGGAGCTCATACTACCTCATTTAAATAGTAGCACATGTCAAACCCATTAAATTGCCAAATTCTGTCTCCAACGCACTTTGTCCCCATTTGGTACATAACTTATGCTTTAGAAATCTAATTCAGTAGTATTTGAAGTGGGTGCAAAAAGAAGAAAAAGTCAACTGGCATGTTAGAAGAAAATATTACAGCTTCTAATTACGTTTCTGATTTTATAGATATTCTTTATTTACTCTTTATCTTATCCCCTTTCTGTGTGTTTACTGTTTAAATAGAGTAATATATTTTTTATTGACGGTTTATATACATGATCAGAAAAATTAGGAGAGCACTGACTTAGACGTCCACCTGGGAACCTGAAAAAACCTAGGACTACCCTTTCTGGCTGATTACCTCTTGTCCACGTACTGAGCAACACTATACCCCGTACATAAAGAGACCCCATCACCACCACCATATGTGTAGGTCCAACAAGCTGTCCTACCTCCAGTTAAAATGTTGCCTTGGTTTCATTCCACAAAGACATTTTCTCCAAAGCCAGAAATTCAAGATGATCTACAAGGTTGTATTTGTTAATCCAATTACTAATAAACTGACATGGGGGCCCTCATTTTCACAACAGGAAGAAGTTAATGTTAATGCTCTCCTCTCTCTTGTTTCACCATTTTGTCACACATAACAGTTTTCCTGTGCTTGAGGAAATGCATTATGGATTGCCTTGTCTAATTTTTAGCTAAATTGACCCTCATAAAATGGACAAGGGGTTTAAAAAGGTTTTCTTCTCAAAAAAAAAAATCGACAGATTTTCAAGTAATACGAATAACGCAAACATAAGTAAACCCAGGAAAATGGCAGAATTGCATCTCATGGACCAATTGCTAGTTCTTTGGCATCCGCATTTTAATAAAAATCTGAGAATTCTAAAAAATAGAGAAGTTATCAGAAAGGTTGTTTGTAGTGGATGCTGTGGTGCGCTGCCCAGCGGCACTTGCTCTCCCAGCTGCCAGGAGTATCGGCTGCTGGAAGCTCCCAGTTCAGTCCCTTTCCAAGAATAGCCCTAGCTTAGAGTTGTGGCCCCTCCACAGGGATGGCCCACATCCCACCCCGATGTTCAGTTATAAAGGCCTGGCTCTGGGTCTCCGTTCAGAACATCTCTGAACAGCCATCCAGTTCCAGAGCTCCCCATTGGCGAGCTGAAGCCTCAGCTGCATCACAGTCAACATCTCCTCCTATCCGTCCTTTTCCCTCACCCTCTCGCAGGTGGTGTCCCTGAGAATCCTCCCAGAAACTCACTGCATGCAAATCTACATGTCACAGTAGGTCTCCGGGAAACTCTGACATGACTGTTAGAGGCACCATCGTTTAACCTGGACCTTGCTTTCAGTGTTTATTGGGCCCTGAATATTAACTAAAGTAGCAACACATGTACATAAACTATGAATGTCTGTGTGTTTCTGTGCTTGTGTGTGTATTCTTGGGGATGTGTGCTCTAACAATTTGCCTGATGGAGTATCCCTAAAATATTAATACATCACTGAATATGCAAAGACAGCATTTTAACTGCTGACTTCAGGAGCTAGTTTTCCATTTTTTGCTTACTCTGTCATTCATTCACAAGCAAAGCAGACCATGTTACTTAACAGTATGAGTTTCCCCATGGCCTACACGACAGAATCTAGTGAGTATGAGTCTGTAATAAAAAGATCACCTTGATCTGACTCCTGCCCACCACACAGCCTCATCTCGGCTAGTCCTGCCCTGTACTCTACGCTCTACCTATACCAAACTATCTGTAATTCCAAGAACACAACATGCTATCTCTCACTGCCATGCCTTTCCACTCAGGTTGTCCCATCTTCTTGGAACACACTACCACTCTCTCAGAGCACCACCCCTTGCCTTGCTTAGCTGAACTCACAGTCTTAGCAAGGACAGGTTGGTGGAAGCAGAACATCCAAGGGCAAATAATAAGTGGGTGCTCTGTTGGCAGAAAATCTAAGAAATATAACTGATAAAAAGTTGGTGAGCCTTTTATCACCTAGATCCAACAACTGTAAATTCTACCAGTAATAAAATGGTCCTTGCAGTAGGGTTGACTTCCCCCAGGGCCCGCCCTGGATATGCCACATACCCAGTAAACCATGGCTCAGGAATTCCAGTAAACACTGAGAACTTCCAGTAAAACTTTGGAAGGCTTGGACATAGGCCATTATTAGCTCCAGGAAACAAAATAAGTTGTATTTAAAAAGTCAAAGTAATCAGTATATAATATGCTCAGGAAGACACACGCAACATTTACATAGTCAAAGTAACTGTATTACTAAACTGATTTAACAACAAAAAAAGAAATTATATTGGAACAATAGGAGAAAAAAAATGTGTGGTTTTAGGAAGTAGGGGTAGGAGGAGTATAGTATAAGAGAGCCAAATAGTGAGAAGTCAACTGATATCTAACATTTTTTTTTTTTTTTTTTTTTTTTGAGACGGAGTCTCGCTCTGTCGCCCAGGCCGGACTGCGGACTGCAGTGGCGCAATCTCGGCTCAATGCAAGCTCCGCTTCCCGGGTTCACGCCATTCTCCTGCCTCAGCCTCCCGAGTAGCTGGGACTACAGGCGCCCGCCACCGCGCCCGGCTAATTTTTTGTATTTTTAGTAGAGACGGGGTTTCACCTTGTTAGCCAGGATGGTCTCGATCTCCTGACCTCATGATCCACCCGCCTCGGCCTCCCAAAGTGCTGGGATTACAGGCGTGAGCCACCGCGCCCGGCCTATCTAACATTTTTTTAAACAAGGAAAACAAGGAATAAACATTTTACTTAGAAACACAGAATTGAAAGCAGTAGAAATGGAGTGGGTATAGTTGTCAATAGGACAAAAATGCTATTTTATTATATAGCCTTGGGTTTTATATTATGTGCATACATTATTTTAATGGTATCTAATTGATTAATAAAATACTCAGCTCAGGCATAAGTTGTCTTAGAAAACCTTCTCCAACCTCTCTTCGGTGCTCTCAAAATACTCTATCTGGGTTTATTTCTCTATCACTATACTTATCCCAATAACAAATAACCAGTTTCTGTTACTAGCTCCCCTATCAACTTGAAGTTCTCACAGACAAGTATCAAAATTTATTTATACAGTGTTCGTATCCCCTGGCAGAAATGAGACTTAAATTCAAATCTGAATTCAACAAATATTCACTGAGTTACAAGTAGAGAAAAGTAGTAATAAGACACAGGGTTCTGACTTCAAAGAATAAAGTTTATAACCATAAACTGCTATTGTATGCTGAGATTCATTATGTGCCGGAGATTTTTTTAAGTACCTTGCATTCATTCTATCATTAATTCCTCATAATGGCTTCATAAAGTAAATGTAATTATACCCATTCTGCAGATGAGGAATCAGACTCAGAGGGCTCAAGTAAATAACCCAGCTAGAAGGGAAAATCCAAAATAGCAGTGTTAATATTGAGCTACAGCATCGATGTCCCTTGACACAAACTCACAATATCTCTCAGGAGATAAGACATGCTCACAACATGATTACAATATGCTACAATAGATGCTGAAAGCCATAAAGATAGTTACAGATATAAGTGTCATAAGATCAGAGTGAGAGATATTCAGCTAGTATATTTGGTGAGAATGCTGTGAAAGAGTAAAATGTAATTTGGAAATTAAGGGATGGGCAGGATTTTAGAATATCTGTACGAGGGAGAAGCGTTGTACAAAAGGAAGACATAAAGAGGTGAAGGCAAGTATGTATATGTAGACACGAGGCACTACATGTTCTGTGTCAAATTTCTCCCCACCAGCAGAGTCCCCAGGAACTAGAAGTATGGATTTAAGCACCTACTTTTTAAAGCTGTGAAACATGGAAACACTGGGAGATGACCAGAGGGAGTATCCCAATAGGTTAGTGGAATGGGGATGGAGGGTGGTACAAAGCATCTGAAACAGCATGTTTGTTTCTGAAATCCTTCCTCTTGCCTTCCTCTCTAACACTACTGCTATAGTCCAAGCCACCATGTTTCTCTTGTGTGAATCATTTCAATAGCCTCCTTTCTAGCTCACCCAAATCCGTTCATTCCTGCCTCTCTTAAATGTGATCTACAGGCTGTAGGCACAAATTTTATTGTCCTGAGAAACCTCAATGGGTTCTTCATCACCGTTATTATGAAGACTCAACTCTGTAACATAGCTGAAAAAGCTTAATGATCTGATCCCAATCTCTCTCTACAACCTCATCTCCATCTATTTCCCTTCCACTCTGCTTCAGCCATGCTGCCCTTCTAATTCTAAGAACACACTCTTTTCCCTCCCTCTTTGGAAACCTTACACATGCTATTCCTTTCACCTTGAAAGATTTTTTTCTCCTGTCCTCATTACCTCATTAGCCATCTTTAAAATGTGACATTTTCATGTAAGCATCCTCTAACTGCTCCTCCCTCAAATACATCAGAAACTTCTCTCATATGCTGTATAATCTTCTGTGAAATACAGTTCCACAATTTGCAATCATAAACGCTGATAATTATTTGATTAATGTTGATCTTCCCTAATAGACTTTAATTGCTTGTGTGCAAAGTGTGTGCCTGTTCCACACACCACTGAATCTCTAGCAGTTAACATGGTGTCTGGCTCATAGTAGGCACTCCAGAAATATTTATTGATTACTGAATGAATGAAGAAACAAAACAAAAAGAGAAAGCAAAAATACAGAGCAAAGTGGATTGGGAGCCAAGGAAAGTCAATTGACAAGGAGGTTTAAAGCAGATAGAAAGAGCAATCCTGGAAGAAATCCATGAGTCAGACAGGGCCAGGTGTCAGAAGTGGCTTTTGTGCACTGGCATGGCTTCTGTATGAGCATTCTGAGAAGAGTTAATAGGGCTGATGTGTTGCAGATAGTTTGGGAGTCATCTGAAAATCTCTGTTCAGCTTGAACCAGATCACAAGCAAATTATTCTTGAAAGGAAGGTCTCAAACATGAGCCTGAAAAGATAGTTGGAGACATTGAAGAAGCTCTTAGAAACCAGACTTAAGAATCTTAGTCGCATCCATGTGTGGTACCCAGGCACTCTGAATGTTGGAGAAATATTTCTAAATATTAACAGCATGTCAGGAGGATTGGCCTGATAGTGGTAAATAGAGCAGAGTCGAGGGAAAGATACTAGTTTGGGGAACTTGCAATGATTCAGGGTGAGAGGGGTGAATATAGAAGAAAGGGGAAAATGCAAGCATCATTTTGAGGGATGACTTAACAGGACTAAAAATATATTTTTCTATGTTACAATGAGCAAGAGCTCAGACTTCAGAATCAGTCCACTCTGGGTTCAAGTTTCAGCTATGCCGTTTGCTAGCTATGCTACTTTGAGCAAGCTCAGTTTCCTTGGCTGTATAATGGGACAGCATCTGTAACTATGTTAGAGTTATTAGGAAAATTCAATAAAAATAAACTGCTTAGTACAATGTCTAGCAACAATAACATCAATCAACATCAGTGTCAACTGTGCTTTCAAGTGAGACAGGAGCAGGGGCGCCATGATGGTATACCAGGGAGGAAACGATTCTTGGTGGACAGGTCTTCATGTCATAAGAAGATAGCCACCTATGTTGTTAATTCCTGTCCTGGCTTCTGCTGGATCTTCCTTATAACCCATTTACCTTTCTAGCTTCTGCTCTGGACTCATGCCAAACACAATCTCTGATGACCCTTTTAGAGACCTCATCCTTCAAACAGATGGAGCCATTTCTAAACTTTTGCCTGCAACATTTATTTCCAACTTGCCCTCTTATTCTAACCCTGCCCCCAGAAGCAATCCTAGATACTAACCTCCATGGCTAAATACTCCACTTCTCTCTTCTGAAGAAATATCGGAAAGATTATGTTGAAAATAAGTGCAAAGTTAAACTTGATTTTTAAGAGTTAACAGAGAATGATTATTTCTTTTTCCTCCAAGGATAGGTAATAGCATCAGATTCTGAAATTAAGCACAGCAGGAAGAAAGAGGCTGCATAGATTTCACAGAGTATCACAGGCCTTTGCAATAAAGCACTTAAAAATGCCTTGTATTGCTAATTCTTTACACAATCTCCTTTTATTTCCAAAGCAGTATGCAGGGCTTGAGCCATGAGACACGCATTGATGTTAACATTACACTGCTTGAATTACAGCCATTTTTCTACTAAAACTCTGGTTAGGTTTAGAATTACTTTTTACCTTCCCTCCCCCTGAATATATTTTTCAGATCAAATGAGTAGTTGCCTCTTCCAACAATGCTGAACCCACTTTTGCAGTCATTACCTTAGCAAACATTCTTCCCCTCAAGATTCCAATAACCAGGCCTTGACCTGTATGGGAAATCTGCCTGCTTAAAGATCTCTGGATCGCATGTCACTCTGGGAATTCTAACTGAATGAGGGCAACTCTCTTTTCAGGCTGCTTTCAAGTTCCCATCTCCCCCCAGCCCCAAACCAATACTCCTCATTCATTCATTGAATTATTCACCAAATACTTATTAAATAGCTAATATTAGCAAGACACTGTGCTGGGCACGCTGGTGGATTTTCATAACAGTAAAATGAAAGTGGAATTGTCCATAAAGCACTGCTTGGTGACAGACAATCAGATGTAGACCTCACTGAACGTTAAATAGATTGTCTAAGAATGTGCAGTTTTATGAAGATTTATTATTTTCACGATCACCAGTCTATTGGCTAGCATCTGTAAAGATTTAGCTTCTCTCTTTACAAGATATTTTTGTATAACGTAAATGCTTTTTTCCCCTGTCCATGTGGAAGCGCTGTCGTTTGTTCAATAAATATTTGCTGAGTGCTACAATCATACGGAGAACAAAACAGATCACACGGAGAACAAATAGACAAGGTCCCTATCCTCATGCGGTAACTGTTATCCCAAGATAATAGACACAGAGGACTCATGTTTTGATCCCATACAAACCTTGGGTTAGTGTTTTTCATTGTTTATTTGTTTGTATAAAAGGCACTTTCCTGTAAGGACCATATTAGCCTAATTAAAACCCTGTCCTCGTCTTATCTCACCAGGACTCCTTTTCAGCCTACTCTTTCTCCCCTTCTCTAGCCATAGTAATCATAATCAAACTCTTCTAGTCTGTTTTCTACATGCTGCTCTCTCCTTCTGTGTGTTTTTATTCATTGATTAAACAAACATCTTTAGGCACCCACTATGTCCCAGACATTGTCTTATTTGGGATACAGGACTGGATAAATAGATCAACCTCTTGTCTTCTGTCTACTTAGTCTCCTTCAGTCTGGCCTGTTAAAAAGTTATTTCCAAGGCTAGAATACATATAACTGGCCCCAGGGCCCCCTTCCCCACTCCCCAACCCCTAGATTCCTTATGTCAGGTCCCCTCACTCTTGACTTGAAGCATGTTAATGTTTTATATACTCAAATTACTAAAGGCTCTTTAAATTTTATTTTAGAACTCCTAAAACCACATTATCAAAAAAAAAGTCTTTCTAGCAGTCCAACAATCAGTTGTGCTTTATCTTGGCACTACCACTATTCTGTGAGCATCTTACTTAAATTCCATATGCCATGTATATATAACTTACTACCAAACTAGATCAATGAATTTTTTATCACTGGTTCTCAAACTTTTATGTGCAAAAGAATCACCAGTCACACTTGTTACAAATGCAGGGTTACAGCACTACACCTACAGAGATTCAGGTTCTATATGTCTGGGATGAGACCCAGAAAGCCCCATTTTCAACAAATATCCCAAGTGGTTTTCAACTGGCTGACTGGATGATCACCTTTGAGAAACACTGTTCTGTAATTTCCTTTGATGTCAGTTTTTACGTATTCAGAATCTCTGCTTAAGTCATAAAATACTTTCCCTTAAGTATATGCAACACGCATCTGTGTGTTCAATGAATATTTTTTGGTGAATATAGGGATTAGTGAATATTTGATAATAAGCAACATTTAGAAATCGCTTTATAGGCTGGGTACAGTGGCTCACGCCTGTAATCCCAACACTTTGGGAGGCCAAGGCAGGCAGATCACTTCAGCTCGGGAGTTCAAGACCAGCCTGGGCAACATGATGAAACCCCACCTCTACACAAAATTTAAAACAAACTCCATCTCTACCCAAAATTTAAAGCAAATTAGCTGGGCATGCTGGCGCATGCCTGTGGTCCCAGCTACTCAGGAGGCCGAGGTAGGAGGATCACTTGAGCTCGGGCAGTTGAGGCTGCAGTGAGCCATGATTGTGCCACTGCACTCCAGCCTGGGTAACAGAGTGAGAACTTGTCTCAAAAAATAAGAAAAAGTATAAAAACAAGAAAGAGATCACTTTACAGCAAAGACATAGCTTTCAATAACTATTTCTCATCTCTTCCTCCTAACTGTCTCGTGATAGCCAGGTATTGTTAGTGCTCCCATTTTACAGAGAGGAATCCCACACCAACACCTTGTGATGGAAGAGAATAAAAGTGGCAGAATCAAATAGACTGAAATTCAGGCAAAGACTGTCCCGCTCACTAGAGCTGAGGAAGATGGGCAAGTCACTTGACCACTGGAGTCTCTTGTTCATCTGTGAAAAGGTGCTAATATCCATCTGATAGGAGGGCTGGGAGGGTTAAATGAGATTATCCATGTATGGCATCTAGCACCCCTCCTGGAACACAGTAAACACTCAAGAGCTGTTCGTTTTCCTACTTCCCCATCGTGCAGGGCTGCCTTGACTCAATATGAAACTCATCTTGCAAACTATGCTCACTCAGCAATCATGTATGTGGTTGCTGCTCTGTTTCAGGCATTGTGATTCTGCTAGGACTACAATTCAATGCCCTCAGGGAGCTTACCTTCTAATTGGAAATGTTTTATGTCACCCTATGGTTACCCATTTCAAATCAGGCAGCAGAGTATTTCGAAAACCTTTCATTTCATGCAGTGAGTCCAACACAAGGCAGAGTGGACAGTGGTGCCATGAGAATAGAGAATTTGTGGTAAGAGAAAGGTTAAGAAAAGCCAGCAAGGAGTGATAGGTAAAAGGAGATAGGAAGAGAAGAGCTTCTGGGTGGCCCCAGGAAGTCTCTAAAAATAAATAGAGGACCTATGAAATTTCTTTACATGCTGATAGATCTCTATCTGTTTGTTTCATATGCATGAAAATTATCACTTTAGTTCCTGGTTGGATGTGGAAAAGACACTCCTATTCGGTTAATAGAGAAGGTACGTGGAGATGAGGCTGAGAGTGAAGTAAGAAAATTCAAGACAGAATTATAAGAAATAGTATGCATGTCTTCAAAAGCAGTTCCCAGTGCAAGAGTACATTGATGAGACTGATTCTGCCAGACACATATGAAAGAATGCCAATGGTGCACAGGAATATCAAGCATCACAAGAACTTGCATGCAAACTGCAGTCTACTCCTGATAGTATACATCAAACAACGTCAGCTCTTAGTAGTCCTGAATTACACCGGTACATCTAGGCAGACATCGGATTTTGCCATAGTTCCTAAACCAGAATGGGGATGAGCCAGCAACTATGGAAGGTATAAACCTGCCACAATGGAGGATTAAATCCAAAGTTTAGTGAGAGGTGCCATCTAGGAAACACACTGTCAAAAGTATGAACATCTTTTTCTTTTCCTCTCACAAACGTAAGTTTGTCAGTCTTTTTAAGTAGAGACATTGAAGCAACCCGTGCTCACTCTTCAGGAAAAAATTATGCCAAAAGCTTCACAGTAAGCAGTCCTTATCCTGGGCACAGATTCCCTAGAGGAGTCCCTTGTCTGAGGAATGTGTCAAAAATTAGCTCTCTTTTCCTGCCTCCCATCCTCCTTGGATTCCAAAGTTGTCCCAGTGCCAGTTTCCCACAGTACAACACAGAGAACCACCTAAAAATCTGGGTCAAAATATTAGGGGTCCCAGGAATCCTACTGAAACTCACAGGCTAAGTGGGCGTCTTCTTGTATCCAAAAAGAAAGCTTCCTTGCATACACAAAAGTATTGCTCTCAATCACAATCCTGATTACCAGTCTGACTGAGTCTAAATGACGTGGTCTTCATCCTCCACCACAACCGCCTCCCCGCCGACTCTGGCCCAAAAAAATAGCAACAACTCAATTCTCAGTCCAATAACGTCTTTTCTCAGATGTTGTTCTCCCAGTGGGTAGAAGAATGAACTACTGCAATGCCACCAGCTCCTCTACAGTTTCTTTTAATTTAAAGTTACAACAGGAGGGAAGAAAAGAGACTTTCTATTAAGGGACAACTCCCTGAAGGGGCTCTTAGCTGACAATCGAAGGACTGCTCATGGCAGTGATCAAATCTAAGGCAACAAAGTGCTGGTGGCTCTGCGACTCATCACAGCAGGAGCTCGCGCTGAGGGCCACTTGAGTTCAGTGCTTTGTGGTGCTGCAAGTTGGTTTAGGAACAGTAACACAGGGGAGCAAAGACTTGCAAGGTGTTTGAGGCTCAAGATAAAATGCAGACTTCCAGTGCGTTGCTACTCAACTGAATAGAAAGCCTAGAGAGGTAAGGAAATGAAGAGAGTTCTGCCTCATGCTTTAGGGCCAATTACCTAAAGATGGTCAAGGTCAGTTGGTATAGCTGGTGTACGGTTTATACTCTGATAAAAAATAAGGATTAATGGAAGATAAATGAACCAAGCTATTTTTAAATGATAAGCATTAAAGATGTTTGCTTGCATAAACAATGCCTTCCAATTATATGAAATATCCATTATTTAAATATATTTACAATCACCTGATAAAATTCATCTATAGCTTTCAGATGCATTTTGTGAGTACATCGAAAAGAGTGTAAAATACATCGGGCATTTCCTCCATGCCACAAACAGTACAATGGACTTAGAGATGATCTCGTATAACCTAATTTAATCCCAATTAGTGAGGTGATACTGCCATTACACTCATTTTGCAATTGAGGAAAACAAAGCTCAAAGAAACTCAAAACTCAAAGAGACCTCAAAGAAATTGCCAGGTCTCATGTGTGTGAGTGTGTGTGTGTGACAGAGAGACAGAAAAAGACAGAGTCCAAAGCAAGTGTCCAAAGCAAGTGAAGTACTACTAAACTGGGCTATACTGCCAAACCACAGCTATACCATTCAGATCTCCTGTTTTGAGAGTGTAACTGACTTACTTCCCCAACTGCTTCCCCTATGGCTCTAGCACCACTTAGGCACGGAGGCCATGCTTCCTGTAGCTGCTCCCAGCCAATGACTGACAGTGAGGAATGCTGATACAGGCCATTCTTTCAAGATAGGTGACTCTTCCAATGGCTGACTCTTATTTGCCTAGCCAAACCTTTCATAGGCTGCACTATAGTCAAGCTTCTTCCTACTCAATCGTCTTCCCTTGCCCCTCTCCTTGCATAAGTGTCAAACTTGCCTCATAGTCAAAAGGCTCTCCCGGCCTTGTCCTGCCCTCTCCCCTAATAAACTTCTTACAGGTCTAATCCCATCTTGGCAACTGCTTCTTCAGGAACCCCAATTAATGCAAGAAAATACATTTATTTTCTGTTTTAAGAAGACTTTCCTTTATCTTTGCTTAGTTGTACTGATAGACAAATTCTGTTTCATTGGGAAGAGAAAATAACAACTAATTTCTCCATGTTACTTTACATCACCTCTTCAAATCAGGCAATGGTATGTTTATGGTGCCTTTCTCCTTGCACCCAATTTAAATAAACAAACCAACCTACAAGTTTCTCTTTGAAGGACTGTTGACTCCAGAGAGCAAAACATTGAAAACTCAGATGGATTTCTTTTTCCACACGGACTTTCTGTTTATCCACAGGTACTATAACTTAATATAATGCAGAGGTGAATGACTATCAAACGATTAAATCTCAATAAATTTTCACTAGTTCATATTTGCTAACAGGAAATCAAAAAGATAACAAGAGGAAAAATCTACAGAATTAGGTCCTAAAGTTTTTATTTATCCTTACCTATTATGTAGGGTAAAAATGTTAATTACTGAAGGAGCACTTATATGAATAAAAGATAGAATTCACACTTGCACCAAATACAGCACCTTAATAAAACCACATTGTCAGAGATCATATACAGACCACTGAATCACTATTTTAAAGTGTTGATCTCAGCCTCAAGAAAGTGATACATTTTTTCTTTTTAGACTCAAATAAGTTCAAAGTAAGTACAAAATGAAACTTCAAACGTTATTAATGATCAGAACCTAGACTCGACTGGGAGAGAGAGCTGAGTGTAGCTAACATTTATTGAGCACCTAGTTCATGACAGACACTATGCTAGGCATTTCACACGTAGTATCTAACATAATCCAAACAATACCCCTATAAGAAAGGGCATCATAATTTGCAGTTTAAGAGGTTAAGAAGGCCAGGCACGGTGGCTCACGCTTGTAATCCCAGCACTTTGGGAGGCTGAGGTGGAGGATCACGAGGTCAGGAGATCGAGACCACTCTGACCAACATAGTGAAACCCCACCTCTACTAAAAATACAAAAATTAGCTGGGTGTGGCCGCGCATGCCTGCAATCCCAGCTACTCCAGAGGCTGAGGCACAAGAATCCCTTGAACCCAGGAGGCGGAGGGTTCAACATCCCTCCGCCTGTGGACCAACATAGCGCCACTGCACTCCAGCCTGGTGGCAGAGCAAGACTTCATTTCAAAAAAAAAAAAAAGAAAGAAAGAAAGAAAAAAAGAGGTTAAGAAAAAAAAGGAGGTAGAACCCTGTAAGTTCAGATCTCTAAATAACGTTTTGGATGAATCACAGACCTACAAATGAGATAGCCTTTCTCCTCTCCTGATTCCTTCCTGAATTCCCTCACTTCCAACAGTTTAATTGGTGTTGAAGTAAGAAAAAATGTCTTAAGCTACCAGAGAATACAAACTGCGTATCAAACTAAAGTCCGCTCATCCCTATGACTACTGTATTATTTTTAAGCTATGTACATAGGATATCATAAAAACATACAGTAGTTGAATGACATGTAGCTGAGCATCAGAGATACAATCAGGTCTTTGTTTTGGGGTGTTTTGTTTTTACTTATAATGAACTTTAAGAAATAGAAAATGAATGGACTTATACTTGTAGAATTCAATGCCACCATCACTAGTACTCCCCAAGATACATTTTTATGGCTCAATTTTGAAGGATGGTTATTTAATGGTTATTTACATGCATTCAAATTTTTCCTAATTTTGTCAATATGCTGCCCCTACTGAATGTTATCCTTAATTGCAAGTAAAATCATTAGTTGCCTATAAGGTATGATTTGAGTAGTCCTGAAAAAGTCCTCATGCATGTAAATATTTCCTCCTGGCAGCTTTCCTTGATACCTGTAATTGCAACAAGTTTATCTCTATGGAATTAGACGATCATAATAAACTGCCAAAATAACAGTAATATCATCTAGTTTGAGAATTAAACCATAATGAACTATTAGCAACTTTAAAATAATTAGCTTATGAGCCAGAGGTTAAATGGGGCAAATGAGGCAGGAATTCAGAAGGGCCCATCAAAGCAAAATGGACTGTCAAGGGCCCATCCTGAAGGTCAGGGTCCTCGCTGGTAAAGCCTTCAAAAGTCCCGTGTAGGCAGATAAAGGAGCAGGGCTTTGGAGGAAACAACCCCCCGCGAAATTCCGCTAACTCATAGTTAGCCTACCTTTGACCCTGACTCAATTTTAAAGACAAGGAAATTGAATTTGGTAAAATTTATTAAATAGTCCTACAGAAATGTCCCCATATGGCCTGGCTAAAACAAACTAAAAGTGCCTGATTGTCTGCCCTTCTACTGAGCCTTAAGCACTCCATTTCTCCCCTCTTAAATATCAAAATTCATTATATTTAAGCAAAAGGTTAGATCTTTGCTTCATATTTTTAAAAACTTCACTTTACTCCTTTATTAATGGCAACTTTTCATGCAAACGAACTCTTGGTTAATTTAAGATCTTGAAATTACTTCTCCACATCAGAAATCCCTCTCATAAATATTAGGTATGAGTGATTATTTACGTTACATCACACACACAAAGTAAACAACAAAGACCCCACTCACATTTGAGAATCATTTACTATTCCAACTCCCCAAGCTCCCCCAAATGGGAAATGGAATAACCAGACTGATCATAATTGGATTAAGAACCATAATTCTTTAATTCATTCATCAAATTGAGGCATTTGGAACAGTTTATTTACAGAGTTGTTTAGACAGTTTTGTGTGGTGTTTTTTAAGATAAACCAAAATGCCTTTCTGAAATAAGTTTCAGATCCCAAATCATTAACATATGAAAACCAAATGCAGACAATTTACAAATGGGTGTTTTAAAACAATGTTTGGAACAAAATTGGACTTTTATTTCATTAACTATCTACAAATCTAAGTTCAGGATATAGTTTATTTGAAACAGCCAAGCACTTTCTTCGCCTTTAAAATAAATCTTCATTTCTCAGACTAAAAATTTTTGACCAGTGCATGAGGGAATGCATTTGACTTCAGGCCTAGACAAATAAGTTTCCAGGTTACTCTCAAAACTCCAATTATAGCATTCTCTACCACTGAAGTTGATTGGATATTGGGTGAATCATCCAGGTTATGCCAATCAATTATATCCAACAATTATACCTGCTGGAAATCTAAACAGTATTCAACATTAGAACTCTCCGTTATTTGAAATCCAGTGTATTTTAGGAGATTAGGAAACATAAATTTTGTCCTGTAAGTTTTACTTTTTTATATAATCTGAACATACCCTCAAATCAATGATTACTTATCACTCAGAAAAAGAACAGAGCTTTTCAAGAAGGTAGTACATACTGTAAGCATTAGATCATATTTTAAACTTGCTTTGTAAGTAAAAAAAAAAAAATTCTTTAAGCATTTAAATTCATTCCTTTAACTGGAAAAGGTAAATTTAGAAATTTAAATTCTCCTTATCACTCATAACTCACCCCCACTGAGGACAACCAAAAAGATGACAACATACCTGAGTATAAACTTCACTCTTTTGCTATTTACTATTTATATACTCCACAGATAGCATCTTTCCAAGTGTATATTCATTTTTTTTCTTTTACCAAACCACGTGTCAGTCTAAACAGGATGTGCACTTACATGTATAGAACTAACTTAATTTGAATTAGCCATTGGACCTCAAATGCCTAGTTATTTACCAAACAGGTTTTGGAGTTTTGAATTCTATATACAACATGCCATTCAACCAGAACTGTTTAAGCTCAACAACAAAACTAATACAAGCTTTCCGTATTAAGAATTGAAGTTTTTCCTGTATTAAGAGTTTACACTTGCAAGTCTGTGTCAGATTGGATCAATACTACCCACTCAAAAAGGCTACAAAATGAATTTTTTTAAACCCACAGCAAGAAAAAACTGTTGATTCTTCAGGAACAAGGTTGTTAGAAGAGAGATCACTGGAAAGAAAAGGGGGAAAAAAGAAAGAATTTCAAGCAAGTATGCTACTATGTAATTAACACAAATAACTAAATAATTATGCACATCCCTTCCCACCCCCACAATTAAATGTTTTTAAACAACTCATGTGATGAAAGATCTACCTTTTAGGCAAACAAAAGCAATCCCTAGCAGTTTAAGGATTTAAGGCTGTATTGCATCAGTTTTAAGTGATGCTTATGATTTTTATCTTGTATAGTTCTGAGGAATAAACAGTTGATGGCATAATTTGCAGGAGAACTTTGCACAGTGCCTAAAAGAACTTCCACTGTAAGTACTTATGATTTTAAATCATTGTGGCTGAATTTATCTAGGCTTCTGCCTGGGAGCTATATTTAAATCAGGAAGAAGCACCCCTAGAAACTTTGTTCCATGTATCTGCATTTGAAACCAGATTCCTTCCCTATCTGAGCTAACAGCAATTCTCATACAGCTGAATTCCTTTAAAATTAGACAGATCAAAATTTAGCAGTTCTGTAAAGGCTCTAAGAAATCGTCCTCCTTTTAAATGCTATAAAAGTCAAACTTGAAAAACATTTCCGTATACTTTAAAGCCATCTGGCCCTTAACCTAATCACTCTTGGCCATCGAGCCTCACTCCCGTAATCCTGATCAAAAATTTTCCTCTGGTTTTTCTGATGGAAATGTCCATTGCCTACAAATCTCACATGTGCCTACTTCATTGGCCTGTTTGTGTCTGTGTGTGTGTTTTCAGGGTACTAGGGGCCATTATTTATGAAAAGCAAGGAAACAAATCACTGTCCAGTCCCTTTGCAGATTCCCACACTTACTGCCCCAAATCCCACAGATTTCCCTTGGTCCTGCCCTTGGCTAAAGAACTCTGCTGAGCCAGAAGGCAGTCCCTGGGGACACCTCCTTATGCCTTCCTTGACAAAGTCCTTTGGCTATCTGGGTATGTGAGGATCTCAAGTGGGTTCCAGCAAATCCCTAAACTTTTGTAAGAAAGTACAGTTGACTGCCACCCAGAGTGCCTGGACTGCCTGGCACCGAGTGTAGGGCTCTGCATATTCACAGGATTCCTCGTCTTGACCTGCTTTAGCTGAGAAGGGAACACATTAAAATGAATTCACATTCATCATCACATTCTGAATTTAGTCACAGAAACCAGCGTCTTCAGATATTCACCAGGGTCAATCTATTTATTAATATAGTCGCTTTGCAAAGTGTAGGGAAAATGACTAATAAAATATGTAAACAGTGCTTCGTGTGCATCCGATCAATACTCAACAAACTGCTGCTCTCCAACGCAAACATTTCCAAATCCAATTTGATTTCAACTCGTATAACCTCTTTTCATTGCTTCTTATTGCTGTAGCCCCAAAGTGCAAGCGAGATTTCCCAAACCCGCGCTTAAAGTGACACAACACGTGAGTGGTCTTCACTTGGTACACTGAGTGAGGTGGGGGGAAAAAGTAGTTGCAATTAGAATTAAAGCTTCCGGTCTCTGAAATCCCTAGAATCCTGAAGGATGAGACTTGTTTCAGAAATTCCGGGCGGGAGGGAGGGGGAGTGGTAGGGAGAAGGATTGCAGAAAGCGAAACAAAAAGACGAAAGAGTCGGGAGGTGGGGGTGACTAAGGTTAGGGGGTGGGCCAGGGGTCGCTCTGATATCCTAGAAGGGTTAAGGGGCTTTGTCCAACTTTTAGGGTCTGGCCTTGGACATTGGCCGCGATGCCCAGCACAGCCCAGGGTTCTCCCCGCACTCTCCTCTCGCATCAACCACCTCCACCGCCACCACTTACAAAACAATACCAGCAACAGTACGCAGGCTTCCCAACAAAAATAGAAAGTTATCCCGTCTCCGGGTCGGGGTCCAAGCCGGCGCTCCAGGGTCCCCCGGCCAGCCGCCCCCGGGGATGACAGGGCCACTCCGCGCCTCGGGCCGCCTCCCACCTCTCCGCCACCCCCAGCCCAGTCCCCCTCCCTCTGTACTTGAGGAAACTCCGGCGGCGGCCCCCTCCCTCCTCCGCGGCTCTCCAGCTGGAGCCGGGAAGGAGTGCTGAGTGGCGGGCCCGGCGAGCGGCAGAGGGGAGCTCTGCGCCTTGGAGGTCTGCCCACAACAACATCGGGACGAACAACAAAGTTAAAACGCAGCGATTCACGCACCTTACCCGGTCTCGTTAATGCCTCCTCCGGCGTGGGATGCAAAGTGGCACAGAGGCGGGCTGGGGGCCCCCGGGAGGAGACTGGAGATGGGTTTTGGTGGCTCGCCTTTTTCACTCTGTGTGTGTGTGTCTGTGTGTGTGCGTGTGTGCCGGTGTGTGTGTGTGTGCGCGCGCGTGTCCCTCTCTCTCCCCCCGTCTCTCGCTCGCCCGCTCGCTCGCGCTCCCCGTGTTGCTCTCAAGGACGAGGTGAAATCCCTTTGCTGGTCATGAGGCGGCTTCAGAGACAAACAACACAATGCGAGTGCAAATAACAAAAGGCAAAAAGACAGTAGGAACAATGGGGGAGGCGAGGGCAGCGCACCAGCCGGCGGTCACCGCGGCCCGGCGCCCGCCCCGGGGGGTGCGGCGGGGGCGGGGGGGGGGCGCGGGGGCGGTGCCGGGGGCTCCCGCTCCCTCCAGGTCGCCCCCGAGCTCCCGCAAGCCCACCCTGACCTCCTTCTTGCAGCTCGCCGCCCGGCCGCCCTCTCTATCCATCCGAAGGGAAGGAGCCCCAGAGTTTTCTTCCCCGTCTGCTGCAGAGTAACTAGATTGTAAATAACGCGGCGATTACCCACACCGTGCAGGAATTTTTTTTTTATCTGCCCTCCACTTAAAGGAGCGATAAAAATGAAATGGCAGGAGTGGAAGGAGCCAGGGAGAGCGGGATATCTCTAGATCTCGATGGAGCTCGCATCTATAAATACGCATTCATGTTTAGTCAAGTCCCTTTGTCAACTTCTTCCCGGCGCCTGAGCCTCAGCCGCTGCTCTGCGCCCAGGACCTGGCCCCTCCCGGCCCCCTAGTCCAGTGGTCAGGCGGTCGGGCCGGCAGGGAGGGCGCGCGCGGGGGGCTGCGGGGTCCGTGGAACCTTTCCGGGAGGCGAGCCGCGGGCTGCTGGGCGCGGAGGCTGGAGCCGCGAGAGGTTCGGCTGCTGAAGCGGCCACTGCCTCCCAGAGCCAGGCTCCGCGCCGCGCGTCCCCGCCGCCGCCGGCACTGTGCACCCACCTACTCCTCGGAGATTGGGGTAGGGGAAAAAAGTTTTGAGGCGCTCTCATCTCTGCCTCCGGGGTGGTTGAACTGGTTTGGTTTTGTGTTAAGCGAAGCCAAAAAAAAAAAAAAAATCACCACACACACACACACACACACACACACACACACACACAGACACACACACACACCCCAACCCAATGCCCAAGAACCAGGGAATGAAATTTAGTGATATTTAGGGAGAAATAAGGCTGGGCGCTGGGCTCCGACTCTTTCTGCCGCGACACTTGAGTGGGCGCGTGGAGCCGAGAGAGACCCTCAGAGTCCCATCCCCATCAGAAGAAACTCCGTCGGTGATGCCCTGAGCAGAAGCTGTGGGGCTGATTTAAGTGTGTGCTCTGACAGCTCCCGGGCTGCTCCGGCGCTTATCTCTTCTAATCTTACTTTCATTGACTTAAAACAGCTGCCGGTTTGCCAGGGGAAAAAAATCCTATTAAATCTCAAACCAGGGTGGGGCGGGGGCGGGGGTTCCTGACAGTGATCTTCCCAGAGCTAGTGTCCAGAAAAGAGCAGGGGGAAGGGAGAGCATTCACGGGGGTGGCTGCGTGTTGGGAAGGGGGTGATGGAAAGGGGACTAAGGAAACAATTCGAGCAACACGTTTCTTTTCCTCGCTGTAGCCTTCTCTCCTTTTGCTTTTATGCCGAGGTGCGTGTTCTCTGTCCCCATCTCTGTAATTCTCTGCAGACGCGCAACCATGGACTGCGCCGCGTCCCTGGGCACCCCCAGCATTACCCAGAGTGCAACAACACCATCAGGAGATCAATGACCAGACTCTATTTATTCTTCACGCGCCTAGAAGAGCAGGACTCCGGAGGAGCTTGGGAGCGAGGCTCGGGGCTTGGCTGTCTCTGGGCGATCTCTCCCAGACTTTTTCGGGCTGATTTCTAAACGGCAGTTAGTAAGCAAATGTAATTTCTCAATGCATGCCACACATACCAATCACAATATATTCACCTAGGAAAGTGAGACATCCTTTCTACCCCTTTCCACCCTTGGTAGATTTGTTTCTGGAGGTGGGTTGCTAATACCTGAGATTTTACACTTGTCAAGGGCGGAAACTTTCCCGGGTGTTTGATGATTGATTATGTGGTACCTGTTTTCTAAAAACGGCTAAACACCTTTCCCTGGAACAAAAGTGAGAAATGTAAATCTTAATAACTCAAGGCAAAAATTTCAAAGTGTAAGCACAGCTATTATCCACTCCCACAAAGAAAAGCTTCCTCTTACACAAATATTTGATAGCATAGAGCCCAGTAATTAAGAGAACAATCAAATAAGCTCAGGGCTTTCGTGGGGACTTTAAATTATCATCTGCCTAGAATTTATAAGCAGTGCAATCATTTGCTGCTTGGATATAACTCTGGATATGGCAATCTAAATGTCCATCCTTAAGCAATTTTACTATGTGTTCCTAAGTATTTAATGAGAGAGATGGATAATAATAATATTCAAATTGCTGGTTCAATGTAGCTTCATCAACTGTGTGAAAAAATTGTGTGTGTGTGTGCATGAAACACATTTCCTATATGTTTCCTTTCCTTACATTTTCTCTACCATGCAAGTTTCACATCAGAGCCACTTGCACATATGGCATAAGAATTCGTTGATGATCGTACTCCACCTTAAATTTAAGTGTTACTTTTATTCTAAGAGTTCCCAGTGTATGTTGAATGGTTTCTTCTCTTTTTGTTGTTGTTGTTGTTGTCGTTGTTGTTGTTTGTTGAATGGTTTATTCTCATAGTACATATGTAGTTGCTTTACAAAGTTAGCTATTACTATGTCAGGCCCAGTTCCTTAAATACTGTGCAAGAAGCAAACAGGGCCCAACTACAAAACAAGTTGCCTCTCGCTACTACTTATATGAACATACTTAACGTTTGAAAAGGGATTGTCATTTACAGTGAACATCTGCTGGGTCGTAATCCCTTTCTCTCAGACAACACCCAGGGAAGAAAAAGTCTTCTGGCACCTGACCAGTAGGTTACGAACCTACCTGCTTGGCCTAACCCCACCAAGCAAAGCAGTGCCACCTCCGCAGATTTTCAGCCTCTACTGCTTCTTGAGTGTAACCGTTTCTGGGGCCACTAGGCTTCCTACTGGCAGAAGAAGGGAAGCCAGAGGGAGAGAAGGCACAAAGTTCCAAAACTGCCTAGTGAGATACTGGTGAAACTTGAATTACACCAATCTCTTTCCTCCTTTCGTTCCTACAGGCAGCATAACTTCCAACCACATATAGTTATTGAAACCACATGCCCTTAAGACTAAACCATGATCATTATACAGCAACAGCATAGCTGATCAAAAACTTCCAGTGGGATGTTTGTTTGTGTTGGGCTTAAAAAAAAAATACCCTAATTTGTAGCGGGACTGACACATTAAAGATCAGCGTTTCCATTTATTAAGCATTTGCTATGTACCAGGATGTTGGCCAAATGCTTTTTTAAAAATGTATTTTGTGTCTCCTTCTCACCACAAACTTGCAAGAAATTTTACATCCCTGTTCTTCAGATGAGAAAACTAAAGCTCAGAAAGGTTAAATGACTTGTCCAAGACCATGCAGTTTTTAAGTGATTGACCCAGGATGCAAATCCATTGTCCAGTGTCATGCTTGAGCTTTTTCACTTCACCTTGATGCCATGTACATGTTATATTAGGGCCAGTTTTCAGTGGCAAGTATTATTTCATTAAATAGATAGATATAAAATATCAAATGTATACTATGTTCATGCCAGTCATCAGCTATGTTGGTATCCACACTCGTGTTGGTCATTAGATAACTGAAATTTCCAAGAAAATCGAAATGTGCTATACATGGAGTGTACGTGTGTGTGTGTGCGTGTGTATGTATATATATGACATTTATATATATTTTATGTGTATGAAATTGTCTTATTTTGGAGGCAAGGCGATTATGTATTATATATATATATACATATGTATGTATCCATATGATGTATATAAAAATGCATACAATATATTGTTAAGTAGCTACAATTTTTGAATTCCTATCATTTTACAGGCATTGTTCTAGGTGTTTTATGTATATAAACGTATTTAATCCTCACAGCCACTCCATGAGGTACATAATTTTATTGTATCATTTTACAGATAAGGAAACTGAAGCACTGAGAGGTTATGTAACTAACTTGCCCGAGGTTATACGAATAGCAGGTGAAAGAGCCTGGCTTCAAACCCAGGTAATCTGGCTTCCAGACCCATTCCCTAACCACTCCGCTATACTGCCTTTCAATATATGCACCCAGATGTATACATAATATGCATACATAAATTTATGGGCAGATATATACCATATGCAGCTCTCAAAATATGGGGGAAATAAAAGCATATAACTGACCTCTGTATCATTTCCATCATCATATTCTAGTTGCCTCCCAAGGCAACAAGAAATATTATTGATAGGAGAGGGCTTTACACTGCCCACAGTATTCAAGATTCTCTAATAAGTTTTGAGTCCATCTCAATCCCTCCAACGTATTTGGAGATATTCATGGACTGCTAGGAGATATTAGGAGTATACAATGTTTGACCTTAGCCTATTTTCATAAGGCTCATTTTGAATTTATTCGGTCATATACATTAAAAATAGCAGAGACAAGTTACTTGGGAATCCTAAAGAAGAAAGAGGGATCTTAATAAGTATGAAATCCTGTGACGGCTGGGCGCGGTCGCTCATGGCTGTAATCCCAGCACTTTGGGAGGCTGAGGCGGGTGGATCCCGAGGTCAGGAGTTCGAGACCAGTTTGGCCAACACAGTGAAATCCCATCTCTACTAAAAATACAGAAAATTAGTTAGGTGTGGTGGCGGGCGCCTAAAATCCCAGCTACTCAGGAGGCTGAGGCAGGAGAATCGCGTGAACCAGGGAGGCGGATGTTGCAGTGAGCCGAGATCACACCATTGCACTCCAGCCCTGGCAATAGTGTGAGACTCGGTCTCAAAAAAAAAAAAAAAAAAAAAAAAAAAATCCTGTGACATAGGAGATAGAGGGAAATTTAGGTGATACAAGAGACCAAATATGTCATCTTAATGGTTATGAATTATCCATTTTTATATTTTTCTAAATTAGGGTAGTTTGTCAACCCTTACTCTGTTAGTAAGAGAGTAACATATAACGTTACGATGTCAATTTTAAGTTTAGCAGTTATGGGCCCAAACACTGATACCCTTCAAAGGAACCTTAAAATACTTTTTTATAAGAGTCCCCGATGAGACAGGTTTATTTACCTGTCTCGTCAAATGCAATGTCCATATCAAATTTTGAAAGTGAGCTTCTCAAAACCAGCCAGTGTTGAAAAAGTATTTTGAGATCTTCTTCTCTTGCTCCTTCTCTTCTAAAATATTTAAGGGATTATCTAAGGAAGGAGAAATAACTGACAATAATCTTCCTTGGGCATTCTTAATCCCCATAACATCTGAGATATAGACATCGAAACTATTAACTTTCCTGGGTCTACTGTACCTCTTCGGAAAAACTGAAAAAGGCACCCTATACCTAACAGATGCCACACATTAAGCTCTTACTGAAAAAAACAAAACAAAACAAAACAAAACTTTTAAAGCCCTATTACAGATACATATGTTTTCATTTAAAAACTACTATGAAATCGAGTGTTCTTTTATTTAAACATCCCCCTGTGGTTCTACAAATTAAGGATCGGTAGTACTATATTAACAACGGAGAGCCAAAACCAACTGAACTGGTGAAAAACAGTTGGTAAAACTGCCAACACTGGTTTTGTTGCCGACGTTGACTGAAATGGGAGGCAGCATATATACTAAAGAATGAATTCTAGTTTTTAAAACTTTCCGATTTTTGTATGCATTTAGAAGAAACTCCTCTTTAGCCACAGTTTTGAAAAGTGGAAATAATGTATAAAACCCAGATACTTTGCACAACCAAAACCACAGTCACATTGCTCTTATTATAAGTGAAAAGTGTTTATTACTCTGATTGTTAAATTTTTTCCTTCCTGGGAGAAAAACCAGACGGAAAAACAAAATTGGTTCTATTCAAGTGAAACAACACACAGTCGCCACATCTTGTCTCTTAATTTACTGGTTTTCAGTTCTACTTCTTTCCTTTAATTTAAAAAAATGAGTATATAATGTGGGGGAAGTAGTTTTACACGTGTACTTTTTTTCAATATGTGCATTTGTTTCAGACTTAGCTTACACAATATATTCTGTGTTCTCAGTTGCTATAAAATGTTATCATAAATATATAGAGGAGGTTTATATGCAATGAGATACCTTGATTTTATTTATAAAGAAAAGAGGAATGATTCATATGCTTCGCTGCTTCAAAACTGGTAACAGAACTAATTGTCAAGCAGGGAAATAATATTTTAAGCTTGGGTCCCAGTAGGGTTTAGGTATTTGGGTCTGTGAACTCATGATAACTCCTGTTTCTGTTACTTCTTTATAATTTTTGGTATCAAATATAATTTTGGTGGTACCAAATTTTTGCAACATGGTATCACCAATTGCATTATATGATATGTGAAATATGGTGAACAAATGAAAGCTCAAGAAAAGCACATAAAACAAAGAGGGTGTTTAAAAATATCACTTAAACAAATGTCCTTCTTATTTGAATCTCAGAAAATTATTTGAAGAGCAAATACATTTTTAGTCTCTAAGTATCTGGGACTTCTAACCCCTACTTTCTTATGATGCTCATCAAATTCAGAACTTCATTCATGGGTTGATTTTTTAAAAAAGAATAAATTAAGTGTTTCCATTCAGACTAAACTGTTTTGCACGCACAAAATGGCTACTATCCAGGTAGTTTTGCTCCAGGACAGAGTAATCAATTGGATCACTACTCCACTGACCAGATTTGGTCATGAACCACTTCTATTTCAGCCATCTCTTTGACCATGTGACAGGTCCAGTAAATTTTCAGCTATATTTAATATTTTTTACCTAAGCAAGTAAATGATCAAACTCTTATATAATAAAAAATATTTGAATCCTGCTGGCAGCTTCTGAATGCTGAGTGTTTACCTGGACATAGGGGCTAACAATGCACTTTTCTGCCTTCCTACGGCAGGAAATTATAACATAGAAAGCCTTGTAAATTTTCCAATCCAAAAAAAAAAAAAACTGAAGGAAATAGTGACAAGATTTATCCAAAACAAGATGAGGGGCAAGGGACATAAATGATAGGGACATAGACAATACCATAAATGAGTATGGTATTGTCTGTGGAAATAAAAATTGCTTTAAGTTGGTTATCCAATAATATACATAGCTGAAAGATCTAAGAATGTTGAATTGGCTTGAAAGAAAATGAGAAGAAATCCTCAAAGTAACATCTAATAAAGGCTATTTTTGCAAGGTCTAGGTCTACATGCACAAAACACAAGAGAATCTGGATTACACAGAAAAACAACAAAACTGACTAAACCATTGGAAATAGAACCAACAGGGAAGGAGGAGACAGATGAAGCGTGATTGAATGACTTCTCTGCAAATCGTTTGAGATAAAGGTATTAACCAGCTGTTCTCCAACTTCAAAGAGAATAGAACTAGACATAATGCAGAGCCTGGAATAGAAGGTAGAAGACCCGGAGATGAATTCCAGCTTATTGGAAATAAGAGTTATGGATCTTTGTTACAGTTTTAAATTAAAATAACTGTGAAAATGAGACAAAAGGATAAGAGATCAGGGGAATAAAATGGAGCCACAAAAGGTACATCCCACTTTAAAATTCTGTATCCTTATTAACATGATTTATAGAAGACCTAGTTGTGCCAGGGACTGTGCTAGATTTGAGCCACACATTTCACTTCAACCTCTCTAGCAGCCAAAAGGAAGAAAAAGTGTCCATTTCAATATTTACAATTGTTAGGGAGAAGCCCAATTATTCCTGAAACTAAGACCAAACCAGAACATTTTACTGGGGGCCTTCTCAAGGACACTGAGTAACATTAAGACAAACTTTCTATCAGTGAAAACAGTAAAGAGTTTCTGAGGACCATTTCTTAGATTCCTATAAGGAGAGACACTCCTCTATGGGTCTCGCCTGCTGCTGCAGGTCATGCCAGGTAGGCCAAGAATGCAATGACCTGACCACTCTTTACCCAGGCCGTTTCTCAGGGTTATGTTTGCAGTAATCAAACTTGGAGGGATAAGATAATGTCTCCCTCCAAAACAAAGAGTAGATGCTTGCTATAAAAGCATCAGATTCTCCAAGCTTGGCTATTCATCTGCCATGTGATCCCACCGTGTGTATAGCCTGTAATGCTTACCATTCCTTAGCATACCATGTTTCTCTTTCCCTGACAGCAACTCTGGGCCATTCTGTTCAGTCCATTCCTTGGGTGCAGCCCAATCAAAAGTGGGCCTAGGGGATTCAAGTTTTAATTCTGCTAGGATTATCTCTTGGGTTTAACAAGGTCATAGATCATAAGAACGATGACCACCTGGTTTAGTACACTGTTCACTGAGCTCCCCTACATGGCCCACATGGGTCAAAATGGGGAGCATAATGGGTCTCTGTAAGTTTTGTGAAAATTCATTGTCTCATGTGTACCTCTTCCTTCCAGACAAAAAACCTAAGTCTGGGTCAGAGGTGATTAGGGAAAAGGAAAGCTCTAACTGTTGGAGTGGACACATCAGTTTTGTGGCTGTGAAAGAAGAACAGCTCCCACACTTGGAGAGGGAATGGCCCAGACATAGAGAGAGAACACCTCAGACCAGGAAAGGTGCTAGGTGTGAGGTAGGAACAATTAATGCTCTCTTTGTCCCAGTACCACAGCCTTGCAAGTAATCACATGGTCTGCTTGAGGCAAAAAGCTAAAGCCGGCAATATGACACGCTGCTGGTTCATCATCCCCATCTCTATGCTATAAAATCAGAGAAGCTCATGAGGACCTGGCTGGCCCCAAACTGTTCATTCTGCCATCAAGACAAGCTTCAGGCCGGGTGTAATGGCTCATACCTGTAATCCCAGTGGCTTGGGAAGACAAGGTGGGAGAATTGCTTGAGCCCAAGAGATCAACACCAGCCTGGGCAATATAGGGAGACCCTGTCTCTACAAAACAACAACAAAAAAAGTTTTAATTAGGAGGATGTAGAGTCACATGCTTACAGTCTTAGCTACTGCAGGCCTTAGCTGAGGTGGCAGGATCCCTTGAGCCCAGGAGTTCGAGGCTGCAGTGAGCTATGACCATATCGCTGCACTCCAGCCTGGACAACAGAGTGAGACACTGCCTCTAAAAACAAAAGAAAAGAAAGAGAGAAGCTTCAAACATAGACTCCTCTTGAATATGTACAAACACACAGATTGACACAACCTTGTTTCATTCTGGCTGATAAAAACTCATCTGCTTCTCCTGGTGCCCTAGCATCCTTAGGTTATGCCATGTGTAACATCAAGGCTGCAACTAGTTGGTAACACTACTCAGGTGGCTTAAATGAAACAAGGTATTGGTGATCCAAATCAAATTTCACAACACATCCCTGACTGCTGTGACCTGTGTTTTTATGCAAGGGAAAGTGAGCCATGAATGTCTCTCCATTACAAATGAGGATTGTTTTATTGGTAATTCCCTGTAGTTATGGACAACAATACCAAAGATCATTTAAACTTCTGTGAGTAGTAATGGATAATTGACTGAATTTATACTACATCCTGGCTGTCTAACATAAGACATACTGGTCCCCCTAAGATTTACTCAGAGATGGTTGAAACTGGGACCCTCTGAGGCTTGGATGAGGTCTATAGAGACTTCTGGTTGGCCTCATACTACTGCTTAAAGTTTGGTTAATAGAACCCTTTAATAAGTGCTATACAAAACAAATTGAACAGATTTGTTCCCAACCTCTGTAGGTCAAGTTCATCAGAGTGACCAACAAAGTGGTATACTCATAAAAATTCACTGGAAGCTAATCCTGCACAGGATTGAGGGATGAATTGTTTTAAGAAATAGTCCTCCTATAGGCTTTTGCATCCCTGCTCACCTTGTTGGGCCTGCCAAAAATGCAATGCCCCAATTGCTCTTTACCCAGACCATTACTCAGATTGTTTGCAGGCAGCAACCTAGAGGGTAAGTAATGTCTCCCTCCCAGGCAAAAAGCAGACTTGCTTACTGCTTTCCATTCAAATGGTGGATTCTCCAAGCTCAATGTCTCCCCTGAGGAACCAATGCAAGCATAATGATGCTCATGCTGCTTGCTCTGCCATGGGCGATAGTCCTTTGTCTGACTCAGGAATCTCATATGTTCTGTGGCAACATCCATGAAACCATGGTAGGCAGACATATCAGCTTGTAACAGGAGGGTAAGATCAAGTCCCAGTCCCTTAAGAAATGTCATGCCAGAACACAGTCCTGCATCATCAATTACTAGGGTTCCCACCCTCCACCCCAAGTACTTCCTTTGTGTTGGTCCCAGGTACTTTGTAAGCCCCAGAAGTTGTAGTTATTTTTTGCTGTTGTTGTCATCTTATACAAAAGCCATCTGTGAATGATATTTTTAAGGAGTCCTGGAAGTAATTTTTTTTTTTTTACCCTTTCAGCTGGATTGTCTGGCTTACAAGAGAGGTACTACTAATTGCCTACCTAATATCTATTTTCCTCTTTTCATTAAGAGAGTCATGATTTTGTTTGGGTCAATAGTGTGTCCAGCTAACATCCTATGCTTCCAGGTCTCTCCCACAGCTGGAGGTGGCCAAGGGTCACAATTCTTGCCAATGAAAAAGTCTCTAAGTTGGGCTTCTATTAAAGCTCTTCAAAAGGCAAGCAGACTTAGCACATGCTTTTGCCCTTCCCCTTCTTCTTGCCTGAAACATGGGCATAATGTTAGAAGTTAGAGTAGCAATTTCACGGCTAGGAGTGACAAGTGCACGCTAAGGATGGCTCAGAAGGAATAAGGAAGTGACCTGGATTCTAGAAGTGATTAGAAAGTTTCCCAAGACCCATTGACTGCCTACCTCTGGACTTCTCATTTTGGGAGGCAAATAAAACCCTTATTTTTGGGCCAATATTTTGCTGTTTTCTGTTACCTGTAACTGAATGCAGTTATTAAGCTTTATAGATAGATACATATTTTTCTTTCAATATAGCATCTTCCTCATCTTCTGAAAATCTCTATTTTTTAGGGGAGTGGGTTTTCCCACTGCTTTAGTTGTATGGTCCTTTTCTTTCATGTTCTTCCTTGAAGATAGTGATTGGTTGAGGACTGAATATAAGATCTAAACTTGTCTCTTCAATAGTATGGTTCAATAGTATAGTTGCTCACCCCCCAGGGCAAGTGACTGGGAAAGAAGTGGACTCACAAAACAAACTGGCCAATCAGAGTCTTTACTGGTTTTTGTTTGTTTGCTTTTATCTGTAGCTAGGAGAAATAGCTTTTTCTTCCCTCAGGCCCCAAGCTGTGAGGATGTAAGCCCAGGAGCTGCTGTCAGCCATGAATCCAAGTTTATGGAGGCAACCAACCTAAAAGAATGAGTCAAACACACAGAAAGAGAGGGAGAAAAGTTCTGAGGGCATTTGAGCCCATTATTCCAGCTCAAGAGGTCATCTGAGCTGCCTTTCTATTGTTCCTTTTTTGGTTCTTCCCTTAATTTTGATCCACTCTAGTATCTTTCCAATAGATTTCATGAATTTTATTTGACTCCAGTTAGCTTAAGTTCAGTTTTTGCCATATGCTAAAGAATAGTAACTGATATAAAGGGGAAATGAAAAATGATATAAGAACACATAGAGAGAGTACCTAACTCAGACTTGGTGAGAGCAAGGAAGTTTTCTGGAAGAAATTCCATCCATGCTGTGAGATGAAGGATGAACAGGTGTGAGCCAAAGGAAGCAGAGAAAAGGTGAAAGGAAGGAGCACAACTCCGAAACCATGGACCCAAGTACCAGATGTGAACATCGTCTGCTCATTGGTGGAACTGAAAACAGGTTGATTTAGATTACGGAGGCATGAGGAGTGGCAAAGGGACAGGCAGGAGAGTAAGACTAGAAGATAAGTCCTATAGACATCTTTAAAGAAGTTTCTTTACCCTGCAAGTGTAAGCAGGGAAGGAAGGGATGAGATTTGTAATTTCTGAGGATCATTCTGGCTGCAATGTGGAGAATTGGTAGAGAGAAAAATTGAAGGTGTGGGACTGTAAAAAGGCTGCTGCAGTGACACACAGAGAAACGCAGATGGCCTGGAATATGGTGCTATGGCAGTCTCGGTCCTCCAAGAAGCAGATGCTAAGATGGAATTAGATATGCAAGAGATTTGTTGGGAGAAATGCCTGCGAGGGATGTGAGAACAGGTCTAGGCAGGCTGTGATGCAATGTGATACCTAGGAAAGGAGAGAGGGAAGGAAGCAGGATTGGATGGGAAGGGCTTTAGATGGCACTGTGGCTCTGAGAAAGTCTTGTCTGGCTTGGTCAGCATATTATCTGTTCTCACACTGCTACGAGGAACTAACTGAGACTGGATAATTTACAATGGGAAGAGGTTTAATTGACTCACAGTTCTGCAGGCTGTACAAAAAGCATGGCTGGGAGGCCTCAGGAAACTTATAATCATGGCAGAAGGAAAAAGGGAAGCAAGTACATTTTACTATAGCAGAGCAGGAGAAAGAGAGGGCGAAGGAAGAAGTGCTACACACTTTTAAACCATCAGATCTCGTGAGAACTCTCTCACTATCACGAGAACAGCAAAGGGGAAATCCGTCCCCATGATCCAATCACCTCTCACCAGGTCCCTCCCCCAATATTAGGAATTACAATTCAACATGAGATTTGGGTGGGGACACAGAGCCAAACATATCAGTTGGGATTCGAGTATCCTGAATAAAGATTGTTCATAGAAAAGTTCTGTGTTGGGAGTAGAAGGGCTAGCTCTAGTAGCCCCACCATGCTCAGTTATTGTTTGAAAGCAATCCAGAGAGACCAGAGTCTCGGCAGGAATGCATGGTAGATCAGCAGTTTCTACTGCTGGAGGTGATCAGCCAACTATACTCTTTAAAGCAGGTTCTCCCATAACTGCCACACTTGAGGACACAGAAGGTGAGAAAAACAGACCAAATTAAGAGAAATTTAGCCATTCAGTGATCAGAACTTGGTTGAATGAACAAGAGGTTTTTATATGAACAACTGAAATTATTCATAAAGATTTTTGAGCAAGAGTTTTATAGTCCTCTTGGCTAAGTAATTACAGCAAGCTCCCTGAAGATCAGCATAAAGATCATTTAATAGACACTACCCTTAAGTTTATTCATACCCATATCTGGAACTGATGTTGCAAGGAGAAAAATTTTGGAGCACCTACTGTTTGCTGGTTATCATTCTAGGGGCTACGGATTCAGTGATACAAAAAAAGAAAAAAAAAAGAGATCAAGTACATGCTCCAAGAAATCAGGAATTCTAGAGGAGAAAGACAGATGCAAAGGAAGTCAGTAATAACATCCAGAAAGATCAGACCAGCCTGGGCAACACAGCAAGATCTCATCTCTGGAAAAAAAAAAATTATAAAAAGGTAGCCAGATGTGGTGGCTACTCCCAAGTTACTTGGGAAGCTGGGGCAAGAAGATCACTTGAGCCCAGGAGATTAAGGCTGCAGTGAGCTATGATCACGCCACTGCACTCCAGCCTGGGCAACAGAGCGAGACTCTGTCAAAAAAAAAATAAATAAGATCAGAGAGTGGTAAGTGCTATAAAGAAAATAAAAGAAACTACAATGATCATGATCAACTAACTAGGGAGGTGGGGGAATTACTTTGAACCAGGAATTAATTTTATTTAGAAAAGACCTTCCTTAATGGTGACTAATGTCATTTTTCTGTCCTACTTCAGAATCAGTTCTATGCCTTCTGGAGTACCCTACATTTAGCAATTTCTTTGCACCCCTAGTACCAAAAATTAGGAGCAAACTTGATGTCTTCTTTGGAATGACAATCCTAGAAACACGGAATGCAAAATCTTCTGTACATCTCACCAGGAGACATCAGACCCTTATGTAAAAACCATTCCTAGAAGACTGCTTTGATACCCACAGTTCTAGAAGAGCATGTGCATTTGGCTATTCAGGATCTAGCAACAGCTGCTTGCCCTTCCCTGCTCACTCATTGTTATAAAGATCAAATGAGGTGATGGCTACAAAAGTACTTCATAACCTTAAAAGGTAATTACATCAAGTGCTATTGGATTATAAAAACAATTGGTCCAAATTAAAGATGCTATACACTCATAGAAATAACCAAGAGGTTATAGAATTCCATTGTTGGATGTATTAAATAAAAGCCTAGAAAACCATCATTCTTGGATAGACTATTAGATTGGAATATACTAGGTAGACAAACCTTTGCTGTCCCACTAACAGCATAAAAGCATTGAACAACAAAACATTTACATGTTTATGAAAATTTACCATAATTTCAAGAGAAAGGAAATGATATTATAAAAAGTAAAATAGACTCATGGAATTGAATGTAATAAAAAAATGAAAGAAATTATGACACAGAAACTGGATCTCTTCTGTCTTCTACATGTAAATGCAAAAAACCTGCCTATTGGAAGTTCATGTAAAGACTTTTTAAGATTCAGTCATCCTTTAAAGTTGAATTTCTTTAAATGTGCCCGGTTTGCACTGGTGTTCATCATCATTCAACTCCACAGTTTTCAGGAGAGAATGCTCCCCTAAGGCCACTGTCAGAACTTCCAGCCTTGGCCCCTGCTGTAAATGGAGTTTTAGAAATGAGCTTATGGTTATATAGTTTTGAATCATGCAAAATCTTTTTTGAAGCTGCTCACCCCATCTTCCTTCTACCACCAATACCCCAATATAATACAATACTAGCAAAATTGAGAATGAGAGGGTTACTTCTTAAGAAAATAAAATTAAAATACACCAGTTGAAATCTTAAAATACGACATTTCTATCATAATTGAAGACTAAAAAGCTTCTTTTTGTAAATTTCAAAATTTTGCAAAAGACTAGCAAACTAGAATATTTAGTGCCTTTCTCCAGGGGCCACTTTCATGTTGAATTGATCTGAAGCAATTGTCTATGCTGTATTATGCGCTGGCATGTAGGAGGAGAAAGGAAACTTCAGAGGAACTAATTCAGTGAACTGTGGCCCTGGCACACAATTAGGATGATGGCACTTTGTCTGACCAAGTTTCAATGTGGTCAAGTCCACAGCTCCCACAGCTCAGCCTCCAGCTGCAGGTCAAAGTGAAGAAAATTCTAAAACAAACAATCCAGAAGTAAGAAGTGAATTTTTTAAAAGAATTTTTAAGTTTATTTTTTCTATTTGGAGAGTGAGATTGACAATAAAAGTGTTAATAAGAAATTAACATGTATTGAGAACATTTTTTTTGTGCCAGGTATTTATGGTGCTAAGCTTTTATATACATTATCTCATTTAATCTCCATTATAATCCTAAAAGACAAGTACTATTAATACTGTATATTACCAATGAGGAAACTGGGGCACGAAGAGGATAAGTAACTTTCCCAAGGTCACACAGCTCATATCTGCCTCACAGAAACGCCAGGAAAGATAAAACAACAAATCTCAGTGGTATACATTGATATTCAAGAAAATGGGACCAGATACGTGAAGAAAATTTAAATGATTATTGTACATTTTAAAGGATTTTTACATTTGTTATTATAAATAAGCAGAAAATTAGATTATGAATAAATTATTAAAAATAACTCAAGATAGGTTTCTGGTTTCAGCTCTAACATATAAAGCTTAGAAGTCATCATTCCAAAATTCAGTGACTTTTCTGGGACCCATCAGAAAACAGGTCTCAGGGCAAACCATTACTCTAAAATCTGGAGAGACAGGCACATCCAGAGAAACACAGTCAAGATCTGCTTACCTGAATCAGAAGATTAAGGTAAGCCAAACATTTGCAGAAACATTTAAATGGTAATTTTGATGACCTGCTGGAGGCTGTGTGTGAATTAGTTTGAGAGTTAGAAATGTTCTATCTTAAACAGCACCCGCCCAACTTTGGACTAGTATGAGAGTTAGAAATGTTCTATCTTAAACAGCACCCACCCAACTTTGGTGGACCAGGAACCCCACCAGGTTCTCACTGATGAAGATCCATATTCTCCTAGCTCTGGCAAGGTAGTAGATAGGTAATCACTGTGAAATAGCACACTCAGAGCCTTTTCCATAACAAAAGTCTATTCTACCAGAGCCTTATTCCTGTTGGGAGAAGGACATTTCTCCCACTCCAGTCCCCTCTAGCCTTGTGGTCTCACCTATATCACCTAAGAGGGAGAAAACATAGTAGGGCTTCAAGGAAACAGATGGGGAGTCCTGCAGCCAGGAAAAGGAGTAGGGAGCTAGGGGACAGGGGACGAGAGAGGGAAACTATGCCACAGGAGAAATGCTCGTGAAGGTCTCAGCCCCAAGACACAGGCCCACTAAAAAACTGAGATTTCATCAGATTATAGAATGTTCTCCCCTCACCCACACTTTATCACCACCATAATAGGGTGTCAGTATAATAACAGTGGATTATAGCTAAAGAATTGCAAGACAGAGATATTTCTCTGGGAAGGAGTATTTAGGGAAGCCCAAAGTCAAGAGAGACAAAAGCAAGAATGCTAGAAGAATTTGAAGCCTCTGCCACGTATAGCTACATCAAACACAAACCCAGCCTGACTCCTAGCTATATTAATATGAACACTCATGGTAAAGCCCTATTTATCTCAGTTCCTAATATCCAGTACAACCTGCCCAGCTCTCAATAAAAAAATTACAAGGCATGCCAAAAGGCAAGACAAACTCAGTCCGAAGAGAAAAAGCAATCATTAGAATTAGACTCTGATATTAGAGATTGAAATTATCAGATGGAAATTAAAATAGCCATGATTAATATGCTAAGGGCTCTAATAGAAAAGAAGACAACATAAAATAACAGATGGGTAATGAAAGAGAAAAGTGGAAACTATAAGAAAGAATCAAAAGGAAATGTTAACAGTTAAATGCACTGGAACAGAAATGAAGAATGGCTTTGATGAGTTCATCAGTGATTGGATGTGACTGAACAGAGAAATAGTGAACATAGGTCAATAGAAACTTCCCAAACTGAAATGCAAAGAGGAAAAAAAAAAGCATGAAAAAACAGAACAGAACATCCAAGAACTGTGAGATCATTTCAAAGATGTAACATATGCATCACTGGAATACCAGAAGGAGAAGAAAGTAAGAACAGGCAGAAGAAATAGTTGAAGTAATATTGGCCACAAATTTTCCAAAGTTAATGACAGACACTGTATGGGCTTGAAGACTGCACCACCTCAATTAATTTCCACTCAGAACCCTAGAATGTGACCTTATTTGAAAACAAGGTCTTTGTGGATTTAATTAATTAAGAGGAAGTCATACTGGATTTGGGTGGGCCCTAAATCCAATGAATGCTGTCCTTATAAGCATTCATACACACAAAGGAAAGATGGCCATGTGAAGATAGAGGCAGAAATTGGAATGATGCAGCTACCAGCAAGGAATGCCAAGGATGACCAGCAACCAAATGCTGGAAGAGGCAAAAAAGGATTCTTTCCCTAGAGAAGTTTCAGATGGAGCATGGGCCTGCTAACAGCTGCATTTCAGACTTTTAGCCTCCAGAACTGTGAAGGAATACATTTCTGTTGTTATCAATGGCTCATTTTGTGGTAAGTAATTTGTTATGGCAGCCCTAGAAAATTAATACAGTTACCAAACTACAAATTCAGGAAGCACAGATAACACCATGCTGAATAAAGACTTTTAAAAACCCATATCTAGGCATACCATATTCAAACTGCAGAAAACCAAAGTCACAGAGATAATCTTTTAGAAGAAGCCAGATGACAGGAAATAAGCCAGAAAAGCAAAGGTAAGAATTACAGTGGAGTGAAGTAAAAAATTTAAAGCATTGCAAGAATAAATTCCACCATCCTGGAATTCTATACCCAGCAAACTTTGTCCTTCAAAACTGAAAGAAGAAAGACTTTCTAAGACAAACAAAAACTGAAGATATTCATTCCTAGCAGATCTGACCTACAAAAAATATTGAAAGAAATTCTTCAAGCAGAAGGAAAATGAGAGAAGTCAGAAACTTGAGTCTACTATATAAAGAAAGGAAGAGAATTAGAGAAGTAATAAAGGAAAGTAAAATAAAGTTTTTTAATTATCAAGTGGTCTAAAAAATAATAGTTTGTATAAAGAAATAATAGTATGTTATTAATGTTTTGGGTGATTAGAGCAAATGGTTAAATTAAATGAACGACAACAATGTCACAAGGGAGAGAAAGGAAGAACTGGGAATACTCTTCTAAGGGAAACTTCACTACATTTGAAGTGCAATAGCATTATTTGAAGGCAGACATAGATTATTTTAAAACTTATATCTTACAAGGAAATAAAAGAGGATACAAACAAATGGAAGAAAATTCCATGCTCATGGGTAGGAAGAATCAATATCGTGAAAATGGCCATACTGCCCAAGGTAATTTACAGATTCAATGCCATCCCCATCAAGCTACCAATGACTTTCTTCACAGAATTGGAAAAAACTACTTTAAAGTTCATATGGAACCAAAAAAGAGCCCGCATCGCCAAGTCAATCCTAAGCCAAAAGAACAAAGCTGGAGGCATCACACTACCTGACTTTGAACTATACTACTAGGCTACAGTAACCAAAACAGCGTGGTACTGGTACCAAAACAGAGATACAGATCAATGGAACAGAACAGAGCCCTCAGAAATAACGCCACTTATCTACAACTATCTGATCTTTGACAAACCTGAGAAAAACAAGCATTGGGGAAAGGATTCCCTATTTAATAAATGGTGCTGGGAAAACTGGCTAGCCATATGTAGAAAGCTGAAACTGGATCCCTTCCTTACACCTTATACAAAAATCAATTCAAGATGGATTAAAGACTTAAACATTAGACCTAAAACCATAAAAACCCTAGAAGAAAACCTAGGCATTACCATTCAGGACATAGGCATGGGCAAGGACTTCATGTCTAAAACACCAAAAGCAATGGCAATAAAATCCAAAATCGACAAACGGGATCTAATTAAACTAAAGAGCTTCTGCACAGCAAAAGAAACTATCATCAGAGTGAACAGGCAACCTACAAAATGGGAGAAAATTTTCGCAACCTACTCATCTGACAAAGGGCTAATATCCAGAATCTACAATGAACTCAAACAAATGTACAAGAAAAAAACATACAACCCCATCAAAAAGTGGGCAAAGGACATGAACAGACACTTCTCAAAAGAAGACATTTATGCAGCCAAAAAACACATGAAAAAATGCTCACCATCACTGGCCATCAGAGAAATGCAAATCAAAACCACAATGAGATACCATCTCACACCAGTTAGAATGGCAATCATTAAAAAGTCAGGAAACAACAGGTGCTGGAGAGGATGTGGAGAAATAGGAACACTTTTACACTGTTGGTGGGACTGTAAACTAGTTCAACCATTGTGGAAGTCAGTGTGGCGATTCCTCAGGGATCTAGAATTAGAAATACCATTTGACCCAGCCATCCCATTACTGGGTATATACCCAAAGGACTATAAATCATGCTGCTAAAAAGACACATGCACACGTATGTTTATTGCGGCACTATTCACAATAGCAAAGACTTAGAACCAACCCAAATGTTCAACAGTGATAGACTGGATTAAGAAAATGTGGCACATATACACCATGGAATACTATGCAGCCATAAAAAATGATGAGTTCATGTCCTTTGTAGGGACATGGATGAAATTGGAAATCATCATTCTCAGTAAACTATCGCAAGAACAAAAAACGAAACACCGCATATTCTCACTCATAGGTGGGAATTGGACAATGAGAACACATGGACACAGGAAGGGGAACATCACACTCTGGGGACTGTTGTGGGGTGGGGGGAAGGGGGAGGGATAGCATTGGGAGATATATCTAATGCTAGATGATGAGTTAGTGGGTGCAGTGCACCAGCATGGCACATGTATACATATGTAACTAACTTGCACATTGTGAACATGTACCCTAAAACTTAAAGTATAATAATAATAAAGAAAAAAAAAAGAAAAAAAAACTTATATCTTAAAATCTAGGGAAAACCACAATTTTAAAAAAACAGTATGATTTATACATGAAGAGAGAAGATGAAATGAAATCATATAAAATGCTCAGTTAAACCAGTAAATGCAGGAAAAGAAGGGGCAAAAAAAAAAAAATTAACAAATTCAATAAAGAGAAAATAGTTACAGATATAGTAGCTATTAATCCAATTACAGTTGACCTTTGAACAATGTGGGGGTTAGGGGTGCTGTCCCTGCATGCAGTTGAAAATTTGTGTATGACTTTTGACTACGCAAAAACTTAACTACTAATAGCCTACTGTTGACTGGAATTCTTAACAATAACATAAACAGTCTATTAACACATATTTTGTATTAAATATATTATATATTGGATTCTTACAATAAGGTAAACTAAAGAAAAGAAAATATTATTAAGAAAATCTTAAGGAAGAAAAGATATATTTACCAATCATTAGATGGAAGTGGATCATCGTAAAGGTCGTCATCCTCATCATCTTCATGTTGAGTAGGCCAAGGAGGAGGAGGAAAATAAGGTATCAGTCTTGCTGTCTCAGGAGTGGCAGAAGTGGAAGAAAATTTGTGTGTAAGAGAAGCCACGCGTGCAACCCGAAAGTGGACTTCCGGGTCACGGCGGAGCCGGCTCTCACGTGGAGGCGGGGAAGTTTGGCCCACCGGAAAGTAGACCTGGGCCCTGGGATCCCAGAGAAGAAAAAGAAGAAGAAAGTGGTCAAAGAACCAGGGACTCAATACTCAATTTTAAACAATGATGATTACTTTGCCCATGTTTCTCCTATAAAAGCCACAGCCCCCTCTAAGAGTGTGGTCCACGGGCAGGCACCTGAGATGCCTCTAGTGAAGAAAAAGAAGAAAGAGAAGGGTGTCAGCACCCTTTGCGAGGGGCACGTAGAACCTGAGACCACGCTGCGTGCCAGACGGACAGAGAAGTCATCCAGCCCAAGGAACCAGGTGCTTGGCCATTTGGAGTTCCTCAGTGGGCAGAAGAAAAGGAAGTCATCTCTGGCCATCTCCCATGCCTCTGGGGTGAAAATCTCCCCAGACCCCAGACAGGGTGAGGAGGAAACCAGAGTTGGCAAGAAGCTTAAAAAACTTAAGAAGGAAAAAAAGGGGGCCCAGGACCCCACAGCTTTCTCAGTCCAGGACCCTTGGTTCTGCGAGGTCGGGGATGCTGTGGACACTTGCTCAGTGGGGAAGGAGGGTGAGGAACAGGTAGCCTTGGGGCAGAAGCGGAAGCACAAGAGCCCCAGGGAACACGGTGGGAAGGCGAAGAAGAAAAAAAAATCCACCAGGAGGGAGACGCCCTCCCAAGCCACTCCAAGCCCTCCAGGTCCATGGAGAGCTGCCCTAGGAAACGAAGTAAAAAGAAGCCAGTCAAAGTGGAGGCTCCGGAATACATCCCCATAGGAGATGGCCCTAAAACCCCCGCGAAGAAAAAGATGAAGTCCAAGAAGAAGGTAAAGCAGCCAGTCATTGAGGAGCCGGCTCTGCAAAGGAAGAAAAAGAAAAGGAAAGAGAGTGGGGTAGCAGGAGACCCTTGAAAGGAGGAAACAGACACGGACTTGGAGGTGGTGTTGGAAAAGAAAGGCAACATGGACTAGGCGCACATAGACCAGGGGCGAAAGGCCTTGCAAGAAGAGACTGATCGCCAGTCAGGCAAAACGGAAGCTTCTGAAACCAGGAAGTGGACGGGAAGCCAGTTTGGCCAGTGGGATACTGCTGGTTTTGAGAACGAGGAACAGAAACTGAAATTTCTCAAACTTACGGGTGGCTTCAAAAACTTGTCCCCTTCGATTAGCCCCCACCCCCACCCCCACCCTCCCGCCCCACCCAGCCCGATTGCAAGGTCCAACGTGGCCCTCAGTAAGAAGGTGGCCGACAGTCTGCAGCAGAGCCTGCAGCGGGAATATGGCCTGGCCATGAGCTGAAAGTACAGCCGCGGAGCCGGCCTCGGCTTCTCCACCGCCCCGAACAAGATCTTTTATATTGACAGGAATGCTTCCAAGTCAGTCAAGCTGGAAGATTAAACTCTAAAGTTTCGTCTCCCCAAAACTGCCACAATTATCCCATTTATGCTGGAGGTTGCAAATTATTTTGTGTGAAAAGTCAGATCTTGGTAATGACC